>NC_000017.11:24439910-24751133 GCF_000001405.40 Homo sapiens | reverse complement strand
ACTTGCAGATTCTAGAAAAAGAGTGTTTCATAGCTGCTCTTTCCAAAGGAAAGTTCAACTCTGGGAGTTGAATACAAACATCACCAAAAAGTTCCTGAGAATGCATCTGTCTAGTTTTTCTATGAAGCTATTCCCTTTACTACCATAGGCCTCAAAGCGCTCCAAATCTCCACTTGCACATTCCACAAGAAGAGTGTTTCCAAACTGCTCTATCAATAGGAATGTTCAACTCTGTGAGGTGAATGCAATCATCACAAAGCAGTTTCTGAGAATGCTTCCGTTTAGTTAGGTGCAGTTATCCCGTTTCCAACGAAATCCTCAGAGAGGTCCAAATATCCCCTTGTAGATTCTACAAAAAGTGTGTCTCAAACCTGCTCCATCCAAAGGAATGTTCAGCTCTGTGAGTTCAACTCAATCATCACAAAGTATTTTCTGAGAATGCTTTTGTCTAGATTTTATGCGAAGATGTACCCGTTTCAAACGAAGGCCACAGAGTGGTCCAAATATCCACTTGCAGATCCTACAAAAAGAGTGTTTCAAACCTGAACTCTCAAAGGAAGGTTCAACTCTGGGATTTGAATGCAAACATCACCAAGAAGTTTCTGAGAATGCTTCTGTTTAGTTTTTATGTGAAGATATTCCCGTTTCCAAAGACATCTTCGGAGAGGTCCACATATCCACTTGCAGATTCCACAAAAAGAGAGTTTCAACACTGCTCTATCCATAGGAGGGTTCAACTCTGTGAGTTGAATGCAATCATCACAGAGAAGTTTCTGAGAAGGCTTCTCTCCAGTTTTTATGTGACCATAATTCGTTTTCCACCACAGGCCTGAAAGCGCTCCAAATGTCCACTTGCAGACATTACGAAAAGCATGTTTCAGAAGTACTCTATGAAAAGCAACGTGAAACTCTGGGAGTTGAACACAAACATCACAGAGAAGTTTCTGAGAATGCTTCTGTTTTAGTTCTGTGCGTTTTATCCCGTTTCCAACGAAATCCTCAGAGAGGCCCAAATATCCACTTGCAGATTCCACAGAAAGAGTGATTGGAAACTGCTGTTTGAAAAGGAACCTTCAACTACTGTGAGTTGAATGCAATCATCACAAAGAAGTTTCTGACAATGCTTCTGTTTTAGTTCTGTGCGGTTTATCCCGTTTCCAACGAAATCCTCAGAGAGGACCAAACATCCACTTGCAGTTTCTACAAAAAGAGTGTTTCAAAGCTGCACTATCAAAGAAAGGTTCAGCACTGTGAGTTGAATGCAAACATCACGAAGAGGGCTCTGAGAATGCTTCTGTTTAGTTCTGTGCGGTTTATCCCGTTTCCAACGAAATCCTCAGAGAGGACCAAATATCCACTTGCAGTTTCTACAAGAAGAGTGTTTCAAAGCTGAACTATCAAAGAAAGGTTCAGCACTGTGAGTTGAATGCAAACATCACGAAGAGGGTTCTGAGAATGCTTCTGTCTTCTTTCTATAGGAAGTTATTTCCTTTACTACGGTAGGCCTCAAAGAAGTGCAATTATCCCCTTGCAGTTTCTACAAAAAGAGTGTTTCAAACCTGAACTATCAAAGAAAGGTTCCACACTGTGAGTTGAATGCAGACATCACGAAGAAGGTTCTGAGAATGCTTCTGTTTAGTCAGCTGAAATTATCCCGTTTCCAACGAATTCCTCAGAGAGGTCCAAATATGCACTTGCAGATTCTGCAGAAAGTGTGTTTCTAAACTGCTCCATCGCAAGGAATGTTCAGCTCTGTGAGTTCCACTCAATCATCCCAAAGAATTTTCTGAGAAAGCTTCTGTCTAGATGTCATGTGAAGATATACCCGTTTCGAACGAAGGACACAGAGTGGTCCAAATATCCACTTGTAGATCCTGCAAAAAGAGTGTTTCAAACGTGAACTTTGAAAGGCAAGTTCAACTCTGGGATTTGAATGCAAACATCACAAAGAAGATTCTGAGACTGCTTCTGTATAGTTTTTATGTGAAGATGATTCCGTTTCCAACGAAATCTTCAAAGAGGTCCACATGTCCCCTTGCGGATGCCACAGAAAGAGAGTTTCAAAACTGCGCTCTCAAAAGGAGTGTTCAACTCCGTGAGTTGAATGCAGTCATCACAGAGAAGCTTCTGAGAATGCTTCTATCTAGTATTTAGGTGAAGATATTTCCTTTTCCACCACAAACCACAAAGCCCTCCAAACGTCCACTTGCAGATTCTAGAAAAAGAGTGTTTCATAGCTGCTCTTTCCAAAGGAAAGTTCAACTCTGGGAGTTGAATACAAACATCACCAAAAAGTTCCTGAGAATGCATCTGTCTAGTTTTTCTATGAAGCTATTCCCTTTACTACCATAGGCCTCAAAGCGCTCCAAATCTCCACTTGCACATTCCACAACAAGAGTGTTTCCAAACTGCTCTATCAATAGGAATGTTCAACTCTGTGAGGTGAATGCAATCATCACAAAGCAGTTTCTGAGAATGCTTCCGTTTAGTTAGGTGCAGTTATCCCGTTTCCAACGAAATCCTCAGAGAGGTCCAAATATCCACTTGTAGATTCTACAAAAAGTGTGTCTCAAACCTGCTCCATCCAAAGGAATGTTCAGCTCTGTGAGTTAAACTCAATCATCACAAAGTATTTTCTGAGAATGCTTCTGTCTAGATTTTATGCGAAGATATACCCGTTTCGAACGAAGGCCACAGAGTGGTCCAAATATCCACTTGCAGATCCTACAAAAAGAGTGTTTCAAACCTGAACTATCAAAGGAAGGTTCTACTCTGGGATTTGAATGCAAACATCACCAAGAAGTTTCTGAGAATGCTTCTGTTTAGCTTTCCTGTGAAGATTCTCCCGTTTCCAACGAAATCTTCAAAATAGGTCCAAATATCCACTTGCAGATTCCACACAAAGAGTGATTGGAAACTGCTCTTTGAAAAGGAACCTTCAACTCTGTGAGTTGAATGCAATCATCACAAAGAAGTTTCTGACAATGCTTCTATCTAGCTTTTACGGGAAGTTAATTCCTTTTACACCACAGGCCTCAAAGCCCTCCAAATGTCCACTTGCAGATTCTGGAAAAAGAGTGTTTCAAAACTTCTCTCTCGAAAGGAACGTTCAACTCTGTGAGTTGAATGCAAGCATCACAAAGAAGTTTCTGAGAATGCTACTGTCTAGCTTTTATATGAAGCTATTTCCTTTACTACCATAGGCCTCAAAGCGGTCCATATCTCCACTTGCAGATTCTACACAAAGAGAGTTTCCAAACTGCTCTGTCAAAGGGAATGTTCAACTCTGTGACTTGAATGCAATCATCACAAAGTAGTTTCTGAGAATGCTTCTGTTTAGTTCTGTGCGGTTTATCCCGTTTCCAACGAAATCCTCAGAGAGGCCCAAATATCCACTTGCACATTCTACAAATAGTGTGTTTCGAAACTGCTCCATCCAAAGGAATGTTCAGCTCTGTGAGTTAAACTCAGTCGTCACCAAGAGTTTTCTGTGAATGCTTCTGTTTTAGTTCTGTGCGGGTTATCCCGTTTCCAACGAAATCCTCAGAGAGGTCCAAATATCTACTTGCAGTTTCTACAGAAAGACCGTTTCAAACCTGAACTATCAAAGAAAGGTTCAACACTGTGAGTTGAATGCAAACATCACGAAGAAGGTTCCTGAGAATGCTTCTGTTTAGTTCTGTGCGGTTTATCCCGTTTCCAACGAAATCCTCAGAGAGGACCAAATATCCACTTGCAGTTTCTACAAGAAGAGTGTTTCAAAGCTGAACTATCAAAGAAAGGTTCAGCACTGTGAGTTGAATGTAAACATCACGAAGAGGGTTCTGAGAATGCTTCTGTCTTCTTTCTATAGGAAGTTATTTCCTTTACTACGGTAGGCCTCAAAGAAGTGCAATTATCCCCTTGCAGTTTCTACAAAAAGAGTGTTTCAAACCTGAACTATCAAAGAAAGGTTCCACACTGTGAGTTGAATGGAGACATTACGAAGAAGGTTCTGAGAATGCTTCTGTTTAGTCAGCTGAAATTATCCCGTTTCCAACGAATTCCTCAGAGAGGTCCAAATATGCACTTGCAGATTCTGCAGAAAGTGTGTTTCTAAACTGCTACATCGCAAGGAATGTTCAGCTCTGTGAGTTCCACTCAATCATCCCAAAGAATTTTCTGAGAAAGCTTCTGTCTAGATGTCATGTGAAGATATACCCGTTTCGAACGAAGGACACAGAGTGGTCCAAATATCCACTTGTAGATCCTGCAAAAAGAGTGTTTCAAACGTGAACTTTGAAAGGAAAGTTCAACTCTGGGATTTGAATGCAAACATCACAAAGAAGATTCTGAGACTGCTTCTGTATAGTTTTGATGTGAAGATGATTCCGTTTCCAACGAAATCTTCAAAGAGGTCTACATGTCCCCTTGCAGATACCACAGAAACAGAGTTTCAAAACTGCGCTCTCAAAAGGAGTGTTCAACTCCGTGAGTTGAATGCAGTCATCACAGAGAAGCTTCTGAGTATGCTTCTATCTAGTATTTAGGTGAAGATATTTCCTTTTCCACCACAAACCACAAAGCCCTCCAAACGTCCACTTGCAGATTCTAGAAAAAGAGTGTTTCATAGCTGCTCTTTCCAAAGGAAAGTTCAACTCTGGGAGTTGAATACAAACATCACCAAAAAGTTCCTGAGAATGCATCTGTCTAGTTTTTCTATGAAGCTATTCCCTTTACTACCATAGGCCTCAAAGCGCTCCAAATCTCCACTTGCACATTCCACAACAAGAGTGTTTCCAAACTGCTCTATCAATAGGAATGTTCAACTCTGTGAGGTGAATGCAATCATCACAAAGCAGTTTCTGAGAATGCTTCCGTTTAGTTAGGTGCAGTTATCCCGTTTCCAACGAAATCCTCAGAGAGGTCCAAATATCCACTTGTAGATTCTACAAAAAGTGTGTCTCAAACCTGCTCCATCCAAAGGAGTGTTCAGCTCTGTGAGTTCAACTCAATCATCACAAAGTAGTTTCTGAGAATGCTTCTGTCTAGATTTTATGCGAAGATATACCCGTTTCGAACGAAGGCCACAGAGTGGTCCAAATAGCCACTTGCAGATCCTACAAAAAGAGTGTTTCAAACCTGAACTATCAAAGGAAGGTTCAACTCTGGGATTTGAATGCAAACATCACCAAGAAGTTTCTGAGAATGCTTCTGTTTAGTTTTTATGTGAAGATATTCCCGTTTCCAAAGACATCTTCGGAGAGGTCCACATATCCACTTGCAGATTCCACAAAAAGAGAGTTTCAACACTGCTCTATCCATAGGAGGGTTCAACTCTGTGAGTTGAATGCAATCATCACAGAGAAGTTTCTGAGAAGGCTTCTCTCCAGTTTTTATGTGACCATAATTCGTTTTCCACCACAGGCCTGAAAGCGCTCCAAATGTCCACTTGCAGACACTACGAAAAGCATGTTTCAGAACTACTCTATGAAAAGCAACGTGAAACTCTGGGAGTTGAACACAAACATCACAGAGAAGTTTCTGAGAATGCTTCTGTTTTAGTTCTGTGCGTTTTATCCCGTTTCCAACGAAATCCTCAGAGAGGCCCAAATATCCACTTGCAGATTCCACAGAAAGAGTGATTGGAAACTGCTGTTTGAAAAGGAACCTTCAACTCTGTGAGTTGAATGCAATCATCACAAAGAAGTTTCTGACAATGCTTCTGTTTTAGTTCTGTGCGGTTTATCCCGTTTCCAACGAAATCCTCAGAGAGGACCAAACATCCACTTGCAGTTTCTACAAAAAGAGTGTTTCAAAGCTGCACTATCAAAGAAAGGTTCAGCACTGTGAGTTGAATGCAAACATCACGAAGAGGGCTCTGAGAATTCTTCTGTTTAGTTCTGTGCGGTTTATCCCGTTTCCAACGAAATCCTCAGAGAGGACCAAATATCCACTTGCAGTTTCTACAAGAAGAGTGTTTCAAAGCTGAACTATCAAAGAAAGGTTCAGCACTGTGAGTTGAATGCAAACATCACGAAGAGGGTTCTGAGAATGCTTCTGTCTTCTTTCTATAGGAAGTTATTTCCTTTACTACGGTAGGCCTCAAAGAAGTGCAATTATCCCCTTGCAGTTTCTACAAAAAGAGTGTTTCAAACCTGAACTATCAAAGAAAGGTTCCACACTGTGAGTTGAATGCAGACATCACGAAGAAGGTTCTGAGAATGCTTCTGTTTAGTCAGCTGAAATTATCCCGTTTCCAACGAATTCCTCAGAGAGGTCCAAATATGCACTTGCAGATTCTGCAGAAAGTGTGTTTCTAAACTGCTCCATCGCAAGGAATGTTCAGCTCTGTGAGTTCCACTCAATCATCCCAAAGAATTTTCTGAGAAAGCTTCTGTCTAGATGTCGTGTGAAGATATACCCGTTTCGAACGAAGGACACAGAGTGGTCCAAATATCCACTTGTAGATCCTGCAAAAAGAGTGTTTCAAACGTGAACTTTGAAAGGAAAGTTCAACTCTGGGATTTGAATGCAAACATCACAAAGAAGATTCTGAGACTGCTTCTGTATAGTTTTTATGTGAAGATGATTCCGTTTCCAACGAAATCTTCAAAGAGGTCTACATGTCCCCTTGCAGATGCCACAGAAAGAGAGTTTCAAAACTGCGCTCTCAAAAGGAGTGTTCAACTCCGTGAGTTGAATGCAGTCATCACAGAGAAGCTTCTGAGAATGCTTCTATCTAGTATTTAGGTGAAGATATTTCCTTTTCCACCACAAACCACAAAGCCCTCCAAACGTCCACTTGCAGATTCTAGAAAAAGAGTGTTTCATAGCTGCTCTTTCCAAAGGAAAGTTCAACTCTGGGAGTTGAATACAAACATCACCAAAAAGTTCCTGAGAATGCATCTGTCTAGTTTTTCTATGAAGCTATTCCCTTTACTACCATAGGCCTCAAAGCGCTCCAAATCTCCACTTGCACATTCCACAACAAGAGTGTTTCCAAACTGCTCTATCAATAGGAATGTTCAACTCTGTGAGGTGAATGCAATCATCACAAAGCAGTTTCTGAGAATGCTTCCGTTTAGTTAGGTGCAGTTATCCCGTTTCCAACGAAATCCTCAGAGAGGTCCAAATATCCACTTGTAGATTCTACAAAAAGTGTGTCTCAAACCTGCTCCATCCAAAGGAATGGTCAGCTCTGTGATTTAAACTCAATCATCACAAAGTATTTTCTGAGAATGCTTCTGTCTAGATTTTATGCGAAGATATACCCGTTTCGAACGAAGGCCACAGAGTGGTCCAAATAGCCACTTGCAGATCCTACAGAAAGAGTGTTTCAAACCTGAACTATCAAAGGAAGGTTCAACTCTGGGATTTGAATGCAAACATCACCAAGAAGTTTCTGAGAATGCTTCTGTTTAGTTTTTATGTGAAGATATTCCCGTTTCCAAAGACATCTTCGGAGAGGTCCACATATCCACTTGCAGATTCCACAAAAAGAGAGTTTCAACACTGCTCTATCCATAGGAGGGTTCAACTCTGTGAGTTGAATGCAATCATCACAGAGAAGTTTCTGAGAAGGCTTCTCTCCAGTTTTTATGTGACCATAATTCGTTTTCCACCACAGGCCTGAAAGCGCTCCAAATGTCCACTTGCAGACACTACGAAAAGCATGTTTCAGAACTACTCTATGAAAAGCAACGTGAAACTCTGGGAGTTGAACACAAACATCACAGAGAAGTTTCTGAGAATGCTTCTGTTTTAGTTCTGTGCGTTTTATCCCGTTTCCAACGAAATCCTCAGAGAGGCCCAAATATCCACTTGCAGATTCCACAGAAAGAGTGATTGGAAACTGCTGTTTGAAAAGGAACCTTCAACTCTGTGAGTTGAATGCAATCATCACAAAGAAGTTTCTGACAATGCTTCTGTTTTAGTTCTGTGCGGTTTATCCCGTTTCCAACGAAATCCTCAGAGAGGACCAAACATCCACTTGCAGTTTCTACAAAAAGAGTGTTTCAAAGCTGCACTATCAAAGAAAGGTTCAGCACTGTGAGTTGAATGCAAACATCACGAAGAGGGCTCTGAGAATTCTTCTGTTTAGTTCTGTGCGGTTTATCCCGTTTCCAACGAAATCCTCAGAGAGGACCAAATATCCACTTGCAGTTTCTACAAGAAGAGTGTTTCAAAGCTGAACTATCAAAGAAAGGTTCAGCACTGTGAGTTGAATGCAAACATCACGAAGAGGGTTCTGAGAATGCTTCTGTCTTCTTTCTATAGGAAGTTATTTCCTTTACTACGGTAGGCCTCAAAGAAGTGCAATTATCCCCTTGCAGTTTCTACAAAAAGAGTGTTTCAAACCTGAACTATCAAAGAAAGGTTCCACACTGTGAGTTGAATGCAGACATCACGAAGAAGGTTCTGAGAATGCTTCTGTTTAGTCAGCTGAAATTATCCCGTTTCCAACGAATTCCTCAGAGAGGTCCAAATATGCACTTGCAGATTCTGCAGAAAGTGTGTTTCTAAACTGCTCCATCGCAAGGAATGTTCAGCTCTGTGAGTTCCACTCAATCATCCCAAAGAATTTTCTGAGAAAGCTTCTGTCTAGATGTCGTGTGAAGATATACCCGTTTCGAACGAAGGACACAGAGTGGTCCAAATATCCACTTGTAGATCCTGCAAAAAGAGTGTTTCAAACGTGAACTTTGAAAGGAAAGTTCAACTCTGGGATTTGAATGCAAACATCACAAAGAAGATTCTGAGACTGCTTCTGTATAGTTTTTATGTGAAGATGATTCCGTTTCCAACGAAATCTTCAAAGAGGTCTACATGTCCCCTTGCAGATGCCACAGAAAGAGAGTTTCAAAACTGCGCTCTCAAAAGGAGTGTTCAACTCCGTGAGTTGAATGCAGTCATCACAGAGAAGCTTCTGAGAATGCTTCTATCCTAGTATTTAGGTGAAGATATTTCCTTTTCCACCACAAACCACAAAGCCCTCCAAACGTCCACTTGCAGATTCTAGAAAAAGAGTGTTTCATAGCTGCTCTTTCCAAAGGAAAGTTCAACTCTGGGAGTTGAATACAAACATCACCAAAAAGTTCCTGAGAATGCATCTGTCTAGTTTTTCTATGAAGCTATTCCCTTTACTACCATAGGCCTCAAAGCGCTCCAAATCTCCACTTGCACATTCCACAACAAGAGTGTTTCCAAACTGCTCTATCAATAGGAATGTTCAACTCTGTGAGGTGAATGCAATCATCACAAAGCAGTTTCTGAGAATGCTTCCGTTTAGTTAGGTGCAGTTATCGCGTTTCCAACGAAATCCTCAGAGAGGTCCAAATATCCACTTGTAGATTCTACAAAAAGTGTGTCTCAAACCTGCTCCATCCAAAGGAATGTTCAGCTCTGTGAGTTAAACTCAATCATCACAAAGTATTTTCTGAGAATGCTTCTGTCTAGATTTTATGTGAAGATGTACCCGTTTGGAACGAAGGCCACAGAGTGGTCCAAATATCCACTTGCAGATCCTACAAAAAGAGTGTTTCAAACCTGAACTATCACAGGAAGGTTCAACTCTGGGATTTGAATGCAAACATCACCAAGAAGTTTCTGAGAATGCTTCTGTTTAGTTTTTAGGTGAAGATATTCCCGTTTCCAAAGACATCTTCGGAGAGGTCCACATATCCACTTGCAGATTCCACAAAAAGAGAGTTTCAACACTGTTCTATCCATAGGAGGGTTCAAATCTGTGAGTTGAATGCAATCATCACAGAGAAGGTTCTGAGAAGTCTTCTCTCCAGTTTTTATGGGACCATAATTCGTTTTCCACCACAGGCCTGAAAGCGCTCCAAATGTCCACTTGCAGACACTACGAAAAGCATGTTTCAGAACTACTCTATGAAAAGCAATGTGAAACTCTGGGAGTTGAACACAAACATCACAGAGAAGTTTCTGAGAATGCTTCTGTTTAGCTTTTCTGTGAAGATTCTCCCGTTTCCAACGAAATCTTCAAAGAGGTCCAAATATCCACTTGCAGATTCCACAGAAAGAGTGTTTGGAAACTGCTGTTTGTAAAGGAACCTTCATTCTCTGTGAGTTGAATGCAATCATCACAAAGAAGTTTCTGACAATGCTTCTATCTAGCTTTTACGGGAAGATAATTCCTTTTCCACCACAGGCCTCAAAGCCCTCCAAATGTCCACTTGCAGATTCTGAAAAAAGAGTGTTTCAAAGCTTCTCTCTCGAAAGGAAAGTTCAACTCTGTGAGTTGAATGCAAGCATCACAAAGAAGTTTCTGAGAATGCTACTGTCTAGCTTTTATATGAAGCTATTTCCTTTACTACTATAGTCCTCAAAGCATTCCATATCTCCACTTGCAGATTCTACACAAAGAGAGTTTCCAAACTGCTCTGTCAAAGGGAATGTTCAGCTCTGTGACTTGAATGCAATCATCACAAAGTAGTTTCTGAGAATGCTTCTGTTTAGTTCTGTGCGGTTTATCGCGTTTCCAATGAAATCCTCAGAGAGGCCCAAATATCCACTTGCACATTCTACAAATAGTGTGTTTCGAAACTGCTCCATCCAAAGGAATGTTCAGCTCTGTGAGTTAAACTCAGTCGTCACCAAGAGTTTTCTGTGAATGCTTCTGTTTTAGTTCTGTGCGGTTTATCCCGTTTCCAACGAAATCCTCAGAGAGGTCCAAATATCTACTTGCAGTTTCTACAGAAAGACCGTTTCAAACCTGAACTATCAAAGAAAGGTTCCACACTGTGAGTTGAATGCAGACATCACGAAGAAGGTTCTGAGAATGCTTCTGTTTAGTTCTGTGCGGTTTAACCCGTTTCCAACGAAATCCTCAGAGAGGACCAAATATCCACTTGCAGTTTCTACAAGAAGAGTGTTTCAAAGCTGAACTATCAAAGAAAGGTTCAGCACTGTGAGTTGAATGCAAACATCACGAAGAGGGTTACTGAGAATGCTTTCTGTCTTCTTTCTATAGGAAGTTATTTCCTTTACTACGGTAGGCCTCAAAGAAGTGCAATTATCCCCTTGCAGTTTCTACAAAAAGAGTGTTTCAAACCTGAACTATCAAAGAAAGGTTCCACACTGTGAGTTGAATGCAGACATCACGAAGAAGGTTCTGAGAATGCTTCTGTTTAGTCAGCTGAAATTATCCCGTTTCCAACGAATTCCTCAGAGAGGTCCAAATATGCACTTGCAGATTCTGCAGAAAGTGTGTTTCTAAACTGCTACATCGCAAGGAATGTTCAGCTCTGTGAGTTCCACTCAATCATCCCAAAGAATTTTCTGAGAAAGCTTCTGTCTAGATGTCGTGTGAAGATATACCCGTTTCGAACGAAGGACACAGAGTGGTCCAAATATCCACTTGTAGATCCTGCAAAAAGAGTGTTTCAAACGTGAACTTTGAAAGGAAAGTTCAACTCTGGGATTTGAATGCAAACATCACAAAGAAGATTCTGAGACTGCTTCTGTATAGTTTTTATGTGAAGATGATTCCGTTTCCAACGAAATCTTCAAAGAGGTCTACATGTCCCCTTGCAGATGCCACAGAAAGAGAGTTTCAAAACTGCGCTCTCAAAAGGAGTGTTCAACTCCGTGAGTTGAATGCAGTCATCACAGAGAAGCTTCTGAGAATGCTTCTATCTAGTATTTAGGTGAAGATATTTCCTTTTCCACCACAAACCACAAAGCCCTCCAAACGTCCACTTGCAGATTCTAGAAAAAGAGTGTTTCATAGCTGCTCTTTCCAAAGGAAAGTTCAACTCTGGGAGTTGAATACAAACATCACCAAAAGGTTCCTGAGAATGCATCTGTCTAGTTTTTCTATGAAGCTATTCCCTTTACTACCATAGGCCTCAAAGCGCTCCAAATCTCCACTTGCACATTCCACAACAAGAGTGTTTCCAAACTGCTCTATCAATAGGAATGTTCAACTCTGTGAGGTGAATGCAATCATCACAAAGCAGTTTCTGAGAATGCTTCCGTTTAGTTAGGTGCAGTTATCCCGTTTCCAACGAAATCCTCAGAGAGGTCCAAATATCCACTTGTAGATTCTACAAAAAGTGTGTCTCAAACCTGCTCCATCCAAAGGAATGGTCAGCTCTGTGATTTAAACTCAATCATCACAAAGTATTTTCTGAGAATGCTTCTGTCTAGATTTTATGCGAAGATATACCCGTTTCGAACGAAGGCCACAGAGTGGTCCAAATAGCCACTTGCAGATCCTACAGAAAGAGTGTTTCAAACCTGAACTATCAAAGGAAGGCTCAACTCTGGGATTTGAATGCAAACATCACCAAGAAGTTTCTGAGAATGCTTCTGTTTAGTTTTTATGTGAAGATATTCCCGTTTCCAAAGACATCTTCGGAGAGGTCCACATATCCACTTGCAGATTCCACAAAAAGAGAGTTTCAACACTGCTCTATCCATAGGAGGGTTCAACTCTGTGAGTTGAATGCAATCATCACAGAGAAGTTTCTGAGAAGGCTTCTCTCCAGTTTTTATGTGACCATAATTCGTTTTCCACCACAGGCCTGAAAGCGCTCCAAATGTCCACTTGCAGACACTACGAAAAGCATGTTTCAGAACTACTCTATGAAAAGCAACGTGAAACTCTGGGAGTTGAACACAAACATCACAGAGAAGTTTCTGAGAATGCTTCTGTTTTAGTTCTGTGCGTTTTATCCCGTTTCCAACGAAATCCTCAGAGAGGCCCAAATATCCACTTGCAGATTCCACAGAAAGAGTGATTGGAAACTGCTGTTTGAAAAGGAACCTTCAACTCTGTGAGTTGAATGCAATCATCACAAAGAAGTTTCTGACAATGCTTCTGTTTTAGTTCTGTGCGGTTTATCCCGTTTCCAACGAAATCCTCAGAGAGGACCAAACATCCACTTGCAGTTTCTACAAAAAGAGTGTTTCAAAGCTGCACTATCAAAGAAAGGTTCAGCACTGTGAGTTGAATGCAAACATCACGAAGAGGGCTCTGAGAATTCTTCTGTTTAGTTCTGTGCGGTTTATCCCGTTTCCAACGAAATCCTCAGAGAGGACCAAATATCCACTTGCAGTTTCTACAAGAAGAGTGTTTCAAAGCTGAACTATCAAAGAAAGGTTCAGCACTGTGAGTTGAATGCAAACATCACGAAGAGGGTTCTGAGAATGCTTCTGTCTTCTTTCTATAGGAAGTTATTTCCTTTACTACGGTAGGCCTCAAAGAAGTGCAATTATCCCCTTGCAGTTTCTACAAAAAGAGTGTTTCAAACCTGAACTATCAAAGAAAGGTTCCACACTGTGAGTTGAATGCAGACATCACGAAGAAGGTTCTGAGAATGCTTCTGTTTAGTCAGCTGAAATTATCCCGTTTCCAACGAATTCCTCAGAGAGGTCCAAATATGCACTTGCAGATTCTGCAGAAAGTGTGTTTCTAAACTGCTACATCGCAAGGAATGTTCAGCTCTGTGAGTTCCACTCAATCATCCCAAAGAATTTTCTGAGAAAGCTTCTGTCTAGATGTCGTGTGAAGATATACCCGTTTCGAACGAAGGACACAGAGTGGTCCAAATATCCACTTGTAGATCCTGCAAAAAGAGTGTTTCAAACGTGAACTTTGAAAGGAAAGTTCAACTCTGGGATTTGAATGCAAACATCACAAAGAAGATTCTGAGACTGCTTCTGTATAGTTTTTATGTGAAGATGATTCCGTTTCCAACGAAATCTTCAAAGAGGTCTACATGTCCCCTTGCAGATGCCACAGAAAGAGAGTTTCAAAACTGCGCTCTCAAAAGGAGTGTTCAACTCCGTGAGTTGAATGCAGTCATCACAGAGAAGCTTCTGAGAATGCTTCTGTCTAGTATTTAGGTGAAGATATTTCCTTTTCCACCACAAACCACAAAGCCCTCCAAACGTCCACTTGCAGATTCTAGAAAAAGAGTGTTTCATAGCTGCTCTTTCCAAAGGAAAGTTCAACTCTGGGAGTTGAATACAAACATCACCAAAAAGTTCCTGAGAATGCATCTGTCTAGTTTTTCTATGAAGCTATTCCCTTTACTACCATAGGCCTCAAAGCGCTCCAAATCTCCACTTGCACATTCCACAACAAGAGTGTTTCCAAACTGCTCTATCAATAGGAATGTTCAACTCTGTGAGGTGAATGCAATCATCACAAAGCAGTTTCTGAGAATGCTTCCGTTTAGTTAGGTGCAGTTATCCCGTTTCCAACGAAATCCTCAGAGAGGTCCAAATATCCACTTGTAGATTCTACAAAAAGTGTGTCTCAAACCTGCTCCATCCAAAGGAATGTTCAGCTGCTGTGAGTTAAACTCAATCATCACAAAGTATTTTCTGAGAATGCTTCTGTCTAGATTTTATGCAAAGATATACCCGTTTCGAACGAAGGCCACAGAGTGGTCCAAATATCCACTTGCAGATCCTACAAAAAGAGTGTTTCAAACCTGAACTATCAAAGGAAGGTTCTACTCTGGGATTTGAATGCAAACATCACCAAGAAGTTTCTGAGAATGCTTCTGTTTAGCTTTCCTGTGAAGATTCTCCCGTTTCCAACGAAATCTTCAAAATAGGTCCAAATATCCACTTGCAGATTCCACAGAAAGAGTGATTGGAAACTGCTCTTTGAAAAGGAACCTTCAACTCTGTGAGTTGAATGCAATCATCACAGAGAAGTTTCTGAGAAGGCTTCTATCTAGCTTTTACGGGAAGATAATTCCTTTTCCACCACAGGCCTCAAAGCCCTCCAAATGTCCACTTGCAGATTCTGGAAAAAGAGTGTTTCAAAGCTTCTCTCTCGAAAGGAAAGTTCAACTCTGTGAGTTGAATGCAAGCATCACAAAGAAGTTTCTGAGAATGCTACTGTCTAGCTTTTATATGAAGCTATTTCCTTTACTACCATAGGCCTCAAAGCGGTCCATATCTCCACTTGCAGATTCTACACAAAGAGAGTTTCCAAACTGCTCTGTCAAAGGGAATGTTCAACTCTGTGACTTGAATGCAATCATCACAAAGTAGTTTCTGAGAATGCTTCTGTTTAGGTCTGTGCGGTTTATCCCGTTTCCAACGAAATCCTCAGAGAGGCCCAAATATCCACTTGCACATTCTACAAATAGTGTGTTTCGAAACTGCTCCATCCAAAGGAATGTTCAGCTCTGTGAGTTAAACTCATTCGTCACCAAGAGTTTTCTGTGAATGCTTCTGTTTTAGTTCTGTGCGGGTTATCCCGTTTCCAACGAAATCCTCAGAGAGGTCCAAATATCTACTTGCAGTTTCTACAGAAAGACCGTTTCAAACCTGAACTATCAAAGAAAGGTTCAACACTGTGAGTTGAATGCAAACATCACGAAGAAGGTTCTGAGAATGCTTCTGTTTAGTTCTGTGCAGTTTATCCCGTTTCCAACGAAATGCTCAGAGAGGACCAAATATCCACTTGCAGTTTCTACAAAAAGAGTGTTTCAAAGCTGAACTATCAAAGAAAGGTTCAGCACTGTGAGTTGAATGCAAACATCACGAAGAGGGTTCTGAGAATGCTTCTGTCTTCTTTTTATAGGAAGTTATTTCCTTTACTATGGTACTCCTCAAAGAGTGCAATTATCCCCTTGCAGTTTCTACAAAAAGAGTGTTTCAAACCTGAACTATCAAAGAAAGGTTCCACACTGTGAGTTGAATGCAGACATCACGAAGAAGGTTCTGAGAATGCTTCTGTTTAGTCAGCTGAAATTATCCCGTTTCCAACGAATTCCTCACAGAGGTCCAAATATGCACTTGCAGATTCTGCAGAAAGTGTGTTTCTAAACTGCTACATCGCAAGGAATGCTCAGCTCTGTGAGTTCAACTCAATCATCCCAAAGAATTTTCTGAGAAAGCTTCTGTCTAGATGTCATGTGAAGATATACCCGTTTCGAACGAAGGACACAGAGTGGTCCAAATATCCACTTGTAGATCCTGCAAAAAGAGTGTTTCAAACGTGAACTTTGAAAGGAAAGTTCAACTCGGGGATTTGAATGCAAACATCACAAAGAAGATTCTGAGACTGCTTCTGTATAGTTTTTATGTGAAGATGATTCCGTTTGCAACGAAATCTTCAAAGAGGTCTACATGTCCCCTTGCAGATGCCACAGAAAGAGAGTTTCAAAACTGCGCTCTCAAAAGGAGTGTTCAACTCCGTGAGTTGAATGCAGTCATCACAGAGAAGCTTCTGAGAATGCTTCTATCTAGTATTTAGGTGAAGATATTTCCTTTTCCACCACAAACCACAAAGCCCTCCAAACGTCCACTTGCAGATTCTAGAAAAAGAGTGTTTCATAGCTGCTCTTTCCAAAGGAAAGTTCAACTCTGGGAGTTGAATACAAACATCACCAAAAAGTTCCTGTGAATGCATCTGTCTAGTTTTTCTATGAAGCTATTCCCCTTACTACCATATTCCTCAAAGCGCTAAAAAATCTCCACTTGCACATTCCACAACAAGAGTGTTTCCAAACTGCTCTATCAATAGGGATGTTCAACTCTGTGAGGTGAATGCAATCATCACAAAGCAGTTTCTGAGAATGCTTCCGTTTAGTTAGGTGCAGTTATCCCGTTTCCAACGAAATCCTCAGAGAGGTCCAAATATCCACTTGTAGATTCTACAAAAAGTGTGTCTCAAACCTGCTCCATCCAAAGGAATGTTCAGCTCTGTGAGTTAAACTCAATCATCACAAAGTATATTCTGAGAATGCTTCTGTCTAGATTTTATGCGAAGATATACCCGTTTCGAACGAAGGCCACAGAGTGGTCCAAATAGCCACTTGCAGATCCTACAGAAACAGTGTTTCAAACCTGAACTATCAAAGGAAGGTTCAACTCTGGGATTTGAATGCAAACATCACCAAGAAGTTTCTGAGAATGCTTCTGTTTAGTTTTTATGTGAAGATATTCCCGTTTCCAAAGACATCTTCGGAGAGGTCCACATATCCACTTGCAGGTTCCACAAAAAGAGAGTTTCAACACTGCTCTATCCATAGGAGGGTTCAACTCTGTGAGTTGAATGCAATCATCACAGAGAAGTTTCTGAGAAGGCTTCTCTCCAGTTTTTATGTGACCATAATTCGTTTTCCACCACAGGCCTGAAAGCGCTCCAAATGTCCACTTGCAGACACTACGAAAAGCATGTTTCAGAACTACTCTATGAAAAGCAACGTGAAACTCTGGGAGTTGAACACAAACATCACAGAGAAGTTTCTGAGAATGCTTCTGTTTAGCTTTTCTGTGAAGATTCTCCCGTTTCCAACGAAATCTTCAAAGAGGTCGAAATATCCACTTGCAGATTCCACAGAAAGAGTGATTGGAAACTGGTATTTGAAAAGGAACCTTCAACTCTGTGAGTTGAATGCAATCATCACAAAGAAGTTTCTGACAATGCTTCTATCTAGCTTTTACGGGAAGATAATTCCTTTTCCACCACAGGCCTCAAAGCTCCCCAAATGTCCACTTGCACATTCTGGAAAAAGAGTGTTTCAAAGCTTCTCTCTCGAAAGGAAAGTTCAACTCTGTGAGTTGAATGCAAGCATCACAAAGAAGTTTCTGAGAATGCTACTGTCTAGCTTTTATATGAAGCTATTTCCTTTACTACCATAGGCCTCAAAGCGGTCCATATCTCCACTTGCAGATTCTACACAAAGAGAGTTTCCAAACTGCTCTGTCAAAGGGAATGTTCAACTCTGTGACTTGAATGCAATCATCACAAAGTAGTTTCTGAGAATGCTTCTGTTTTAGTTCTGTGCGTTTTATCCCGTTTCCAACGAAATCCTCAGAGAGGCCCAAATATCCACTTGCAGATTCTACAAATAGTGTGTTTCGAAACTGCTCCATCCAAAGGAATGTTCAGCTCTGTGAGTTAAACTCAGTCGTCACCAAGAGTTTTCTGTGAATGCTTCTGTTTTAGTTCTGTGCGGTTTATCCCGTTTCCAACGAAATCTTCAGAGAGGACCAAATATCCACTTGCAGTTTCTACAAAAAGAGTGTTTCAAAGCTGCACTATCAAAGAAAGGTTCAGCACTGTGAGTTGAATGCAAACACCAGGAAGAGGGCTCTGAGAATTCTTCTGTTTAGTTCTGTGCGGTTTATCCCGTTTCCAACGAAATCCTCAGAGAGGACCAAATATCCCCTTGCAGTTTCTACAAGAAGAGTGTTTCAAAGCTGAACTATCAAAGAAAGGTTCAGCACTGTGAGTTGAATGCAAACATCACGAAGAGGGTTCTGAGAATGCTTCTGTCTTCTTTTTATAGGAAGTTATTTCCTTTACTACGGTAGGCCTCAACGAAGTGCAATTATCCCCTTGCAGTTTCTACAAAAAGAGTGTTTCAAACCTGAACTATCAAAGAAAGGTTCCACACTGTGAGTTGAATGCAGACATCACGAAGAAGGTTCTGAGAATGCTTCTGTTTAGTCAGCTGAAATTATCCCGTTTCCAACGAATTCCTCAGAGAGGTCCAAATATGCACTTGCAGATTCTGCAGAAAGTGTGTTTCTAAACTGCTACATCGCAAGGAATGTTCAGCTCTGTGAGTTCCACTCAATCATCCCAAAGAATTTTCTGAGAAAGCTTCTGTCTAGATGTCGTGTGAAGATATACCCGTTTCGAACGAAGGACACAGAGTGGTCCAAATATCCACTTGTAGATCCTGCAAAAAGAGTGTTTCAAACGTGAACTTTGAAAGGAAAGTTCAACTCTGGGATTTGAATGCAAACATCACAAAGAAGATTCTGAGACTGCTTCTGTATAGTTTTTATGTGAAGATGATTCCGTTTCCAACGAAATCTTCAAAGAGGTCTACATGTCCCCTTGCAGATGCCACAGAAAGAGAGTTTCAAAACTGCGCTCTCAAAAGGAGTGTTCAACTCCGTGAGTTGAATGCAGTCATCACAGAGAAGCTTCTGAGAATGCTTCTATCTAGTATTTAGGTGAAGATATTTCCTTTTCCACCACAAACCACAAAGCCCTCCAAACGTTCACTTGCAGATTCTAGAAAAAGAGTGTTTCATAGCTGCTCTTTCCAAAGGAAAGTTCAACTCTGGGAGTTGAATACAAACATCACCAAAAAGTTCCTGAGAATGCATCTGTCTAGTTTTTCTATGAAGCTATTCCCTTTACTACCATAGGCCTCAAAGCGCTCCAAATCTCCACTTGCACATTCCACAACAAGAGTGTTTCCAAACTGCTCTATCAATAGGAATGTTCAACTCTGTGAGGTGAATGCAATCATCACAAAGCAGTTTCTGAGAATGCTTCCGTTTAGTTAGGTGCAGTTATCCCGTTTCCAACGAAATCCTCAGAGAGGTCCAAATATCCACTTGTAGATTCTACAAAAAGTGTGTCTCAAACCTGCTCCATCCAAAGGAATGGTCAGCTCTGTGATTTAAACTCAATCATCACAAAGTATTTTCTGAGAATGCTTCTGTCTAGATTTTATGCGAAGATATACCCGTTTCGAACGAAGGCCACAGAGTGGTCCAAATAGCCACTTGCAGATCCTACAGAAAGAGTGTTTCAAACCTGAACTATCAAAGGAAGGTTCAACTCTGGGATTTGAATGCAAACATCACCAAGAAGTTTCTGAGAATGCTTCTGTTTAGTTTTTATGTGAAGATATTCCCGTTTCCAAAGACATCTTCGGAGAGGTCCACATATCCACTTGCAGATTCCACAAAAAGAGAGTTTCAACACTGCTCTATCCATAGGAGGGTTCAACTCTGTGAGTTGAATGCAATCATCACAGAGAAGTTTCTGAGAAGGCTTCTCTCCAGTTTTTATGTGACCATAATTTGTTTTCCACCACAGGCCTGAAAGCGCTCCAAATGTCCACTTGCAGACACTACGAAAAGCATGTTTCAGGACTACTCTATGAAAAGCAACGTGAAACTCTGGGAGTTGAACACAAACATCACAGAGAAGTTTCTGAGAATGCTTCTGTTTAGCTTTTCTGTGAAGATTCTCCCGTTTCCAACGAAATCTTCAAAGAGGTCGAAATATCCACTTGCAGATTCCACAGAAAGAGTGATTGGAAACTGCTGTTTGAAAAGGAACCTTCAACTCTGTGAGTTGAATGCAATCATCACAAAGAAGTTTCTGACAATGCTTCTATCTAGCTTTTACGGGAAGACAATTCCTTTTCCACCACAGGCCTCAAAGCTCCCCAAATGTCCACTTGCACATTCTGGAAAAAGAGTGTTTCAAAGCTTCTCTCTCGAAAGGAAAGTTCAACTCTGTGAGTTGAATGCAAGCATCACAAAGAAGTTTCTGAGAATGCTACTGTCTAGCTTTTATATGAAGGTATTTCCTTTACTACCATAGGCCTCAAAGCGGTCCATATCTCCACTTGCAGATTCTACACAAAGAGAGTTTCCAAACTGCTCTGTCAAAGGGAATGTTCAACTCTGTGACTTGAATGCAATCATCACAAAGTAGTTTCTGAGAATGCTTCTGTTTTAGTTCTGTGCGTTTTATCCCGTTTCCAACGAAATCCTCAGAGAGGCCCAAATATCCACTTGCAGATTCTACAAATAGTGTGTTTCGAAACTGCTCCATCCAAAGGAATGTTCAGCTCTGTGAGTTAAACTCAGTCGTCACCAAGAGTTTTCTGTGAATCCTTCTGTTTTAGTTCTGTGCGGTTTATCCCGTTTCCAACGAAATCCTCAGAGAGGACCAAATATCCACTTGCAGTTTCTACAAAAAGAGTGTTTCAAAGCTGCACTATCAAAGAAAGGTTCAGCACTGTGAGTTGAATGCAAACATCACGAAGAGGGCTCTGAGAAATCTTCTGTTTAGTTCTGTGCGGTTTATCCCGTTTCCAACGAAATCCTCAGAGAGGACCAAATATCCACTTGCAGTTTCTACAAGAAGAGTGTTTCAAAGCTGAACTATCAAAGAAAGGTTCAGCACTGTGAGTTGAATGCAAACATCACGAAGAGGGTTCTGAGAATGCTTCTGTCTTCTTTCTATAGGAAGTTATTTCCTTTACGACGGTAGGCCTCAAAGAAGTGCAATTATCCCCTTGCAGTTTCTACAAAAAGAGTGTTTCAAACCTGAACTATCAAAGAAAGGTTCCACACTGTGAGTTGAATGCAGACATCACGAAGAAGGTTCTGAGAATGCTTCTGTTTAGTCAGCTGAAATTATCCCGTTTCCAACGAATTCCTCAGAGAGGTCCAAATATGCACTTGCAGATTCTGCAGAAAGTGTGTTTCTAAACTGCTACATCGCAAGGAATGTTCAGCTCTGTGAGTTCAACTCAATCATCCCAAAGAATTTTCTGAGAAAGCTTCTGTCTAGATGTCGTGTGAAGATATACCCGTTTCGAACGAAGGACACAGAGTGGTCCAAATATCCACTTGTAGATCCTGCAAAAAGAGTGTTTCAAACGTGAACTTTGAAAGGAAAGTTCAACTCTGGGATTTGAATGCAAACATCACAAAGAAGATTCTGAGACTGCTTCTGTATAGTTTTTATGTGAAGATGATTCCGTTTCCAACGAAATCTTCAAAGAGGTCTACATGTCCCCTTGCGGATGCCACAGAAAGAGAGTTTCAAAACTGCGCTCTCAAAAGGAGTGTTCAACTCCGTGAGTTGAATGCAGTCATCACAGAGAAGCTTCTGAGAATGCTTCTATCTAGTATTTAGGTGAAGATATTTCCTTTTCCACCACAAACCACAAAGCCCTCCAAACGTCCACTTGCAGATTCTAGAAAAAGAGTGTTTCATAGCTGCTCTTTCCAAAGGAAAGTTCAACTCTGGGAGTTGAATACAAACATCACCAAAAAGTTCCTGAGAATGCATCTGTCTAGTTTTTCTATGAAGCTATTCCCTTTACTACCATAGGCCTCAAAGCGCTCCAAATCTCCACTTGCACATTCCACAACAAGAGTGTTTCCAAACTGCTCTATCAATAGGAATGTTCAACTCTGTGAGGTGAATGCAATCATCACAAAGCAGTTTCTGAGAATGCTTCCGTTTAGTTAGGTGCAGTTATCCCGTTTCCAACGAAATCCTCAGAGAGGTCCAAATATCCACTTGTAGATTCTACAAAAAGTGTGTCTCAAACCTGCTCCATCCAAAGGAATGGTCAGCTCTGTGATTTAAACTCAATCATCACAAAGTATTTTCTGAGAATGCTTCTGTCTAGATTTTATGCGAAGATATACCCGTTTCGAACGAAGGCCACAGAGTGGTCCAAATAGCCACTTGCAGATCCTACAGAAAGAGTGTTTCAAACCTGAACTATCAAAGGAAGGTTCAACTCTGGGATTTGAATGCAAACATCACCAAGAAGTTTCTGAGAATGCTTCTGTTTAGTTTTTATGTGAAGATATTCCCGTTTCCAAAGACATCTTCGGAGAGGTCCACATATCCACTTGCAGATTCCACAAAAAGAGAGTTTCAACACTGCTCTATCCATAGGAGGGTTCAACTCTGTGAGTTGAATGCAATCATCACAGAGAAGTTTCTGAGAAGGCTTCTCTCCAGTTTTTATGTGACCATAATTCGTTTTCCACCACAGGCCTGAAAGCGCTCCAAATGTCCACTTGCAGACACTACGAAAAGCATGTTTCAGAACTACTCTATGAAAAGCAACGTGAAACTCTGGGAGTTGAACACAAACATCACAGAGAAGTTTCTGAGAATGCTTCTGTTTTAGTTCTGTGCGTTTTATCCCGTTTCCAACGAAATCCTCAGAGAGGCCCAAATATCCACTTGCAGATTCCACAGAAAGAGTGATTGGAAACTGCTGTTTGAAAAGGAACCTTCAACTCTGTGAGTTGAATGCAATCATCACAAAGAAGTTTCTGACAATGCTTCTGTTTTAGTTCTGTGCGGTTTATCCCGTTTCCAACGAAATCCTCAGAGAGGACCAAACATCCACTTGCAGTTTCTACAAAAAGAGTGTTTCAAAGCTGCACTATCAAAGAAAGGTTCAGCACTGTGAGTTGAATGCAAACATCACGAAGAGGGCTCTGAGAATTCTTCTGTTTAGTTCTGTGCGGTTTATCCCGTTTCCAACGAAATCCTCAGAGAGGACCAAATATCCACTTGCAGTTTCTACAAGAAGAGTGTTTCAAAGCTGAACTATCAAAGAAAGGTTCAGCACTGTGAGTTGAATGCAAACATCACGAAGAGGGTTCTGAGAATGCTTCTGTCTTCTTTCTATAGGAAGTTATTTCCTTTACTACGGTAGGCCTCAAAGAAGTGCAATTATCCCCTTGCAGTTTCTACAAAAAGAGTGTTTCAAACCTGAACTATCAAAGAAAGGTTCCACACTGTGAGTTGAATGCAGACATCACGAAGAAGGTTCTGAGAATGCTTCTGTTTAGTCAGCTGAAATTATCCCGTTTCCAACGAATTCCTCAGAGAGGTCCAAATATGCACTTGCAGATTCTGCAGAAAGTGTGTTTCTAAACTGCTACATCGCAAGGAATGTTCAGCTCTGTGAGTTCCACTCAATCATCCCAAAGAATTTTCTGAGAAAGCTTCTGTCTAGATGTCGTGTGAAGATATACCCGTTTCGAACGAAGGACACAGAGTGGTCCAAATATCCACTTGTAGATCCTGCAAAAAGAGTGTTTCAAACGTGAACTTTGAAAGGAAAGTTCAACTCTGGGATTTGAATGCAAACATCACAAAGAAGATTCTGAGACTGCTTCTGTATAGTTTTTATGTGAAGATGATTCCGTTTCCAACGAAATCTTCAAAGAGGTCTACATGTCCCCTTGCAGATGCCACAGAAAGAGAGTTTCAAAACTGCGCTCTCAAAAGGAGTGTTCAACTCCGTGAGTTGAATGCAGTCATCACAGAGAAGCTTCTGAGAATGCTTCTATCTAGTATTTAGGTGAAGATATTTCCTTTTCCACCACAAACCACAAAGCCCTCCAAACGTCCACTTGCAGATTCTAGAAAAAGAGTGTTTCATAGCTGCTCTTTCCAAAGGAAAGTTCAACTCTGGGAGTTGAATACAAACATCACCAAAAGGTTCCTGAGAATGCATCTGTCTAGTTTTTCTATGAAGCTATTCCCTTTACTACCATAGGCCTCAAAGCGCTCCAAATCTCCACTTGCACATTCCACAACAAGAGTGTTTCCAAACTGCTCTATCAATAGGAATGTTCAACTCTGTGAGGTGAATGCAATCATCACAAAGCAGTTTCTGAGAATGCTTCCGTTTAGTTAGGTGCAGTTATCCCGTTTCCAACGAAATCCTCAGAGAGGTCCAAATATCCACTTGTAGATTCTACAAAAAGTGTGTCTCAAACCTGCTCCATCCAAAGGAATGGTCAGCTCTGTGATTTAAACTCAATCATCACAAAGTATTTTCTGAGAATGCTTCTGTCTAGATTTTATGCGAAGATATACCCGTTTCGAACGAAGGCCACAGAGTGGTCCAAATAGCCACTTGCAGATCCTACAGAAAGAGTGTTTCAAACCTGAACTATCAAAGGAAGGTTCAACTCTGGGATTTGAATGCAAACATCACCAAGAAGTTTCTGAGAATGCTTCTGTTTAGTTTTTATGTGAAGATATTCCCGTTTCCAAAGACATCTTCGGAGAGGTCCACATATCCACTTGCAGATTCCACAAAAAGAGAGTTTCAACACTGCTCTATCCATAGGAGGGTTCAACTCTGTGAGTTGAATGCAATCATCACAGAGAAGTTTCTGAGAAGGCTTCTCTCCAGTTTTTATGTGACCATAATTCGTTTTCCACCACAGGCCTGAAAGCGCTCCAAATGTCCACTTGCAGACACTACGAAAAGCATGTTTCAGAACTACTCTATGAAAAGCAACGTGAAACTCTGGGAGTTGAACACAAACATCACAGAGAAGTTTCTGAGAATGCTTCTGTTTTAGTTCTGTGCGTTTTATCCCGTTTCCAACGAAATCCTCAGAGAGGCCCAAATATCCACTTGCAGATTCCACAGAAAGAGTGATTGGAAACTGCTGTTTGAAAAGGAACCTTCAACTCTGTGAGTTGAATGCAATCATCACAAAGAAGTTTCTGACAATGCTTCTGTTTTAGTTCTGTGCGGTTTATCCCGTTTCCAACGAAATCCTCAGAGAGGACCAAACATCCACTTGCAGTTTCTACAAAAAGAGTGTTTCAAAGCTGCACTATCAAAGAAAGGTTCAGCACTGTGAGTTGAATGCAAACATCACGAAGAGGGCTCTGAGAATTCTTCTGTTTAGTTCTGTGCGGTTTATCCCGTTTCCAACGAAATCCTCAGAGAGGACCAAATATCCACTTGCAGTTTCTACAAGAAGAGTGTTTCAAAGCTGAACTATCAAAGAAAGGTTCAGCACTGTGAGTTGAATGCAAACATCACGAAGAGGGTTCTGAGAATGCTTCTGTCTTCTTTCTATAGGAAGTTATTTCCTTTACTACGGTAGGCCTCAAAGAAGTGCAATTATCCCCTTGCAGTTTCTACAAAAAGAGTGTTTCAAACCTGAACTATCAAAGAAAGGTTCCACACTGTGAGTTGAATGCAGACATCACGAAGAAGGTTCTGAGAATGCTTCTGTTTAGTCAGCTGAAATTATCCCGTTTCCAACGAATTCCTCAGAGAGGTCCAAATATGCACTTGCAGATTCTGCAGAAAGTGTGTTTCTAAACTGCTACATCGCAAGGAATGTTCAGCTCTGTGAGTTCCACTCAATCATCCCAAAGAATTTTCTGAGAAAGCTTCTGTCTAGATGTCATGTGAAGATATACCCGTTTCGAACGAAGGACACAGAGTGGTCCAAATATCCACTTGTAGATCCTGCAAAAAGAGTGTTTCAAACGTGAACTTTGAAAGGAAAGTTCAACTCTGGGATTTGAATGCAAACATCACAAAGAAGATTCTGAGACTGCTTCTGTATAGTTTTTATGTGAAGATGATTCCGTTTCCAACGAAATCTTCAAAGAGGTCCACATGTCCCCTTGCGGATGCCACAGAAGGAGAGTTTCAAAACTGCGCTCTCAAAAGGAGTGTTCAACTCCGTGAGTTGAATGCAGTCATCACAGAGAAGCTTCTGAGAATGCTTCTATCTAGTATTTAGGTGAAGATATTTCCTTTTCCACCACAAACCACAAAGCCCTCCAAACGTCCACTTGCAGATTCTAGAAAAAGAGTGTTTCATAGCTGCTCTTTCCAAAGGAAAGTTCAACTCTGGGAGTTGAATACAAACATCACCAAAAAGTTCCTGAGAATGCATCTGTCTAGTTTTTCTATGAAGCTATTCCCTTTACGACCATAGGCCTCAAAGCGCTCCAAATCTCCACTTGCACATTCCACAACAAGAGTGTTTCCAAACTGCTCTATCAATAGGAATGTTCAACTCTGTGAGGTGAATGCAATCATCACAAAGCAGTTTCTGGGAATGCTTCCGTTTAGTTAGGTGCAGTTATCCCGTTTCCAACGAAATCCTCAGAGAGGTCCAAATATCCACTTGTAGATTCTACAAAAAGTGTGTCTCAAACCTGCTCCATCCAAAGGAATGTTCAGCTCTGTGAGTTCAACTCAATCATCACAAAGTATTTTCTGAGAATGCTTCTGTCTAGATTTTATGCGAAGATGTACCCGTTTCGAACGAAGGCCACAGAGTGGTCCAAATATCCACTTGCAGATCCTACAAAAAGAGTTTTTCAAACCTGAACTATCAAAGGAAGGTTCAACTCTGGGATTTGAATGCAAACATCACCAAGAAGTTTTGAGAATGCTTCTGTTTAGTTTTTATGTGAAGATATTCCCGTTTCCAAAGACATCTTCGGAGAGGTCCACATATCCGCTTGCAGATTCCACAAAAAGAGAGTTTCAACACTGCTCTATCCATAGGAGGGTTCAACTCTGTGAGTTGAATGCAATCATCACAGAGAAGTTTTTGAGAAGGCTTCTCTCCAGTTTTTATGTGACCATAATTCGTTTTCCACCACAGGCCTGAAAGCGCTCCAAATGTCCACTTGCAGACACTACGAAAAGCATGTTTCAGAACTACTCTATGAGAAGCAATGTGAAACTCTGGGAGTTGAACACAAACATCACAGAGAAGTTTCTGAGAATGCTTCTGTTTATCTTTTTTGTGAAGATTCTCCCGTTTCCAACGAAATCTTCAAAGAGGTCCAAATATCCACTTGCAGATTCCACAGAAAGAGTGATTGGAAACTGCTCTTTGAAAAGGAACCTTCAACTCTGTGACTTGTATGCAATCATCACAAAGAAGTTTCTGACAATGCTTCTATCTAGCTTTTACGGGAAGATAATTCCTTTTCCACCACAGGCCTCAAAGCCCTCCAAATGTCCACTTGCAGATTCTGGAAAAAGAGTGTTTCAAAGCTTCTCTCTCGAAAGGAAAGTTCAACTCTGTGAGTTGAATGCAAGCATCACAAAGAAGTTTCTGAGAATGCTACTGTCTAGCTTTTATATGAAGCTATTTCCTTTACTACCATAGGCCTCAAAGCGGTCCATATCTCCACTTGCAGATTCTACACAAAGAGAGTTTCCAAACTGCTCTGTCAAAGGGAATGTTCAACTCTGTGACTTGAATGCAATCATCACAAAGTAGTTTCTGAGAATGCTTCTGTTTAGTTCTGTGCGGTTTATCCCGTTTCCAACGAAATCCTCAGAGAGGCCCACATATCCACTTGCACATTCTACAAATAGTGTGTTTCGAAACTGCTCCATCCAAAGGAATGTTCAGCTCTGTGAGTTAAACTCAGTCGTCACCAAGAGTTTTCTGTGAATGCTTCTGTTTTAATTCTGTGTGGTTTATCCCGTTTCCAACGAAATCCTCAGAGAGGTCCAAATATCTACTTGCAGTTTCTACAGAAAGACCGTTTCAAACCTGAACTATCAAAGAAAGGTTCAACACTGTGAGTTGAATGCAAACATCACGAAGAAGGTTCTGAGAATGCTTCCGTTTTAGTTCCGTGCGGTTTATCCCGTTTCCAACGAAATCCTCAGAGAGGACCAAATATCCACTTGCAGTTTCTACAAAAAGAGTGTTTCAAAGCTGCACTATCAAAGAAAGGTTCAGCACTGTGAGTTGAATGCAAACATCACGAAGAGGGTTCTGAGAACGCTTCTGTTTAGTTCTCTGCGGTTTATCCCGTTTCCAACGAAATCCTCAGAGAGGACCAAATATCCACTTGCAGTTTCTACAAGAAGAGTGTTTCAAAGCTGAACTATCAAAGAAAGGTTCAGCACTGTGAGTTGAATGCAAACATCACGAAGAGGGTTCTGAGAATGCTTCTGTCTTCTTTCTATAGGAAGTTATTTCCTTTACTACGGTAGGCCTCAAAGAAGTGCAATTATCCCCTTGCAGTTTCTACAAAAAGAGTGTTTCAAACCTGAACTATCAAAGAAAGGTTCCACACTGTGAGTTGAATGCAGACATCACGAAGAAGGTTCTGAGAATGCTTCTGTTTAGTCAGCTGAAATTATCCCGTTTCCAACGAATTCCTCAGAGAGGTCCAAATATGCACTTGCAGATTCTGCAGAAAGTGTGTTTCTAAACTGCTACATCGCAAGGAATGTTCAGCTCTGTGAGTTCCACTCAATCATCCCAAAGAATTTTCTGAGAAAGCTTCTGTCTAGATGTCGTGTGAAGATATACCCGTTTCGAACGAAGGACACAGAGTGGTCCAAATATCCACTTGTAGATCCTGCAAAAAGAGTGTTTCAAACGTGAACTTTGAAAGGAAAGTTCAACTCTGGGATTTGAATGCAAACATCACAAAGAAGATTCTGAGACTGCTTCTGTATAGTTTTTATGTGAAGATGATTCCGTTTCCAACGAAATCTTCAAAGAGGTCTACATGTCCCCTTGCAGATGCCACAGAAAGAGAGTTTCAAAACTGCGCTCTCAAAAGGAGTGTTCAACTCCGTGAGTTGAATGCAGTCATCACAGAGAAGCTTCTGAGAATGCTTCTATCTAGTATTTAGGTGAAGATATTTCCTTTTCCACCACAAACCACAAAGCCCTCCAAACGTCCACTTGCAGATTCTAGAAAAAGAGTGTTTCATAGCTGCTCTTTCCAAAGGAAAGTTCAACTCTGGGAGTTGAATACAAACATCACCAAAAAGTTCCTGAGAATGCATCTGTCTAGTTTTTCTATGAAGCTATTCCCTTTACTACCATAGGCCTCAAAGCGCTCCAAATCTCCACTTGCACATTCCACAACAAGAGTGTTTCCAAACTGCTCTATCAATAGGAATGTTCAACTCTGTGAGGTGAATGCAACCATCACAAAGCAGTTTCTGAGAATGCTTCCGTTTAGTTAGGTGCAGTTATCCCGTTTCCAACGAAATCCTCAGAGAGGTCCAAATATCCACTTGTAGATTCTACAAAAAGTGTGTCTCAAACCTGCTCCATCCAAAGGAATGGTCAGCTCTGTGATTTAAACTCAATCATCACAAAGTATTTTCTGAGAATGCTTCTGTCTAGATTTTATGCGAAGATATACCCGTTTCGAACGAAGGCCACAGAGTGGTCCAAATAGCCACTTGCAGATCCTACAGAAAGAGTGTTTCAAACCTGAACTATCAAAGGAAGGTTCAACTCTGGGATTTGAATGCAAACATCACCAAGAAGTTTCTGAGAATGCTTCTGTTTAGTTTTTATGTGAAGATATTCCCGTTTCCAAAGACATCTTCGGAGAGGTCCACATATCCACTTGCAGATTCCACAAAAAGAGAGTTTCAACACTGCTCTATCCATAGGAGGGTTCAACTCTGTGAGTTGAATGCAATCATCACAGAGAAGTTTCTGAGAAGGCTTCTCTCCAGTTTTTATGTGACCATAATTCGTTTTCCACCACAGGCCTGAAAGCGCTCCAAATGTCCACTTGCAGACACTACGAAAAGCATGTTTCAGAACTACTCTATGAAAAGCAACGTGAAACTCTGGGAGTTGAACACAAACATCACAGAGAAGTTTCTGAGAATGCTTCTGTTTTAGTTCTGTGCGTTTTATCCCGTTTCCAACGAAATCCTCAGAGAGGCCCAAATATCCACTTGCAGATTCCACAGAAAGAGTGATTGGAAACTGCTGTTTGAAAAGGAACCTTCAACTCTGTGAGTTGAATGCAATCATCACAAAGAAGTTTCTGACAATGCTTCTGTTTTAGTTCTGTGCGGTTTATCCCGTTTCCAACGAAATCCTCAGAGAGGACCAAACATCCACTTGCAGTTTCTACAAAAAGAGTGTTTCAAAGCTGCACTATCAAAGAAAGGTTCAGCACTGTGAGTTGAATGCAAACATCACGATGAGGGCTCTGAGAATTCTTCTGTTTAGTTCTGTGCGGTTTATCCCGTTTCCAACGAAATCCTCAGAGAGGACCAAATATCCACTTGCAGTTTCTACAAGAAGAGTGTTTCAAAGCTGAACTATCAAAGAAAGGTTCAGCACTGTGAGTTGAATGCAAACATCACGAAGAGGGTTCTGAGAATGCTTCTGTCTTCTTTCTATAGGAAGTTATTTCCTTTACTACGGTAGGCCTCAAAGAAGTGCAATTATCCCCTTGCAGTTTCTACAAAAAGAGTGTTTCAAACCTGAACTATCAAAGAAAGGTTCCACACTGTGAGTTGAATGCAGACATCACGAAGAAGGTTCTGAGAATGCTTCTGTTTAGTCAGCTGAAATTATCCCGTTTCCAACGAATTCCTCAGAGAGGTCCAAATATGCACTTGCAGATTCTGCAGAAAGTGTGTTTCTAAACTGCTACATCGCAAGGAATGTTCAGCTCTGTGAGTTCCACTCAATCATCCCAAAGAATTTTCTGAGAAAGCTTCTGTCTAGATGTCGTGTGAAGATATACCCGTTTCGAACGAAGGACACAGAGTGGTCCAAATATCCACTTGTAGATCCTGCAAAAAGAGTGTTTCAAACGTGAACTTTGAAAGGAAAGTTCAACTCTGGGATTTGAATGCAAACATCACAAAGAAGATTCTGAGACTGCTTCTGTATAGTTTTTATGTGAAGATGATTCCGTTTCCAACGAAATCTTCAAAGAGGTCTACATGTCCCCTTGCAGATGCCACAGAAAGAGAGTTTCAAAACTGCGCTCTCAAAAGGAGTGTTCAACTCCGTGAGTTGAATGCAGTCATCACAGAGAAGCTTCTGAGAATGCTTCTGTCTAGTATTTAGGTGAAGATATTTCCTTTTCCACCACAAACCACAAAGCCCTCCAAACGTCCACTTGCAGATTCTAGAAAAAGAGTGTTTCATAGCTGCTCTTTCCAAAGGAAAGTTCAACTCTGGGAGTTGAATACAAACATCACCAAAAAGTTCCTGAGAATGCATCTGTCTAGTTTTTCTATGAAGCTATTCCCTTTACTACCACAGGCCTCAAAGCGCTCCAAATCTCCACTTGCACATTCCACAACAAGAGTGTTTCCAAACTGCTCTATCAATAGGAATGTTCAACTCTGTGAGGTGAATGCAATCATCACAAAGCAGTTTCTGAGAATGCTTCCGTTTAGTTAGGTGCAGTTATCCCGTTTCCAACGAAATCCTCAGAGAGGTCCAAATATCCACTTGTAGATTCTACAAAAAGTGTGTCTCAAACCTGCTCCATCCAAAGGAATGGTCAGCTCTGTGATTTAAACTCAATCATCACAAAGTATTTTCTGAGAATGCTTCTGTCTAGATTTTATGCGAAGATATACCCGTTTCGAACGAAGGCCACAGAGTGGTCCAAATAGCCACTTGCAGATCCTACAGAAAGAGTGTTTCAAACCTGAACTATCAAAGGAAGGTTCAACTCTGGGATTTGAATGCAAACATCACCAAGAAGTTTCTGAGAATGCTTCTGTTTAGTTTTTATGTGAAGATATTCCCGTTTCCAAAGACATCTTCGGAGAGGTCCACATATCCACTTGCAGATTCCACAAAAAGAGAGTTTCAACACTGCTCTATCCATAGGAGGGTTCAACTCTGTGAGTTGAATGCAATCATCACAGAGAAGTTTCTGAGAAGGCTTCTCTCCAGTTTTTATGTGACCATAATTCGTTTTCCACCACAGGCCTGAAAGCGCTCCAAATGTCCACTTGCAGACACTACGAAAAGCATGTTTCAGAACTACTCTATGAAAAGCAATGTGAAATTCTGGGAGTTGAACACAAACATCACAGAGAAGTTTCTGAGAATGCTTCTGTTTAGCTTTTCTGTGAAGATTCTCCCGTTTCCAACGAAATCTTCAAAGAGGTCCAAATATCCACTTGCAGATTCCACAGAAAGAGTGATTGGAAACTGCTGTTTGAAAAGGAACCTTCAACTCTGTGAGTTGAATGCAATCATCACAAAGTAGTTTCTGACAATGCTTCTATCTAGCTTTTACGGGAAGATAATTCCTTTTCCACCACAGGCCTCAAAGCCCTCCAAATGTCCACTTGCAGATTCTGGAAAAAGAGTGTTTCAAAGCTTCTCTCTCGAAAGGAAAGTTCAACTCTGTGAGTTGAATGCAAGCATCACAAAGAAGTTTCTGAGAATGCTACTGTCTAGCTTTTATATGAAGCTATTTCCTTTACTACCATAGGCCTCAAAGCGGTCCATATCTCCACTTGCAGATTCTACACAAAGAGAGTTTCCAAACTGCTCTGTCAAAGGGAATGTTCAACTCTGTGACTTGAATGCAATCATCACAAAGTAGTTTCTGAGAATGCTTCTGTTTAGTTCTGTGCGGTTTATCCCGTTTCCAACGAAATCCTCAGAGAGGCCTAAATATCCACTTGCACATTCTACAAATAGTGTGTTTCGAAACTGCTCCATCCAAAGGAATGTTCAGCTCTGTGAGTTAAACTCAGTCGTCACCAAGAGTTTTCTGTGAATGCTTCTGTTTTAGTTCTGTGCGGGTTATCCCGTTTCCAACGAAATCCTCAGAGAGGTCCAAATATCTACTTGCAGTTTCTACAGAAAGACCGTTTCAAACCTGAACTATCAAAGAAAGGTTCAACACTGTGAGTTGAATGCAAACATCACGAAGAAGGTTCTGAGAATGCTTCTGTTTTAGTTCTGTGCGGTTTATCCCGTTTCCAACGAAATCCTCAGGGAGGACAAAACATCCACTTGCAGTTTCTACAAAAAGAGTGTTTCAAAGCTGCACTATCAAAGAAAGGTTCAGAACTGTGAGTTGAATGCAAACATCACGAAGAGGGCTCTGAGAATGCTTCTGTTTAGTTCTGTGCGGTTTATCCCGTTTCCAACGAAATCCTCAGAGAGGACCAAATATCCACTTGCAGTTTCTACAAGAAGAGTGTTTCAAAGCTGAACTATCAAAGAAAGCTTCAGCACTGTGAGTTGAATGCAAACATCACGAAGAGGGTTCTGAGAATGCTTCTGTCTTCTTTCTATAGGAAGTTATTTCCTTTACTACGGTAGGCCTCAAAGAAGTGCAATTATCCCCTTGCAGTTTCTACAAAAAGAGTGTTTCAAACCTGAACTATCAAAGAAAGGTTCCACACTGTGAGTTGAATGCAGACATCACGAAGAAGGTTCTGAGAATGCTTCTGTTTAGTCAGCTGAAATTATCCCGTTTCCAACGAATTCCTCAGAGAGGTCCAAATATGCACTTGCAGATTCTGCAGAAAGTGTGTTTCTAAACTGCTACATCGCAAGGAATGTTCAGCTCTGTGGGTTCCACTCAATCATCCCAAAGAATTTTCTGAGAAAGCTTCTGTCTAGATGTCGTGTGAAGATATACCCGTTTCGAACGAAGGACACAGAGTGGTCCAAATATCCACTTGTAGATCCTGCAAAAAGAGTGTTTCAAACGTGAACTTTGAAAGGAAAGTTCAACTCTGGGATTTGAATGCAAACATCACAAAGAAGATTCTGAGACTGCTTCTGTATAGTTTTTATGTGAAGATGATTCCGTTTCCAACGAAATCTTCAAAGAGGTCTACATGTCCCCTTGCAGATGCCACAGAAAGAGAGTTTCAAAACTGCGCTCTCAAAAGGAGTGTTCAACTCCGTGAGTTGAATGCAGTCATCACAGAGAAGCTTCTGAGAATGCTTCTATCTAGTATTTAGGTGAAGATATTTCCTTTTCCACCACAAACCACAAAGCCCTCCAAACGTCCACTTGCAGATTCTAGAAAAAGAGTGTTTCATAGCTGCTCTTTCCAAAGGAAAGTTCAACTCTGGGAGTTGAATACAAACATCACCAAAAAGTTCCTGAGAATGCATCTGTCTAGTTTTTCTATGAAGCTATTCCCTTTACTACCATAGGCCTCAAAGCGCTCCAAATCTCCACTTGCACATTCCACAACAAGAGTGTTTCCAAACTGCTCTATCAATAGGAATGTTCAACTCTGTGAGGTGAATGCAATCATCACAAAGCAGTTTCTGAGAATGCTTCCGTTTAGTTAGGTGCAGTTATCCCGTTTCCAACGAAATCCTCCGAGAGGTCCAAATATCCACTTGTAGATTCTACAAAAAGTGTGTCTCAAACCTGCTCCATCCAAAGGAATGTTCAGCTCTGTGATTTAAACTCAATCATCACAAAGTATTTTCTGAGAATGCTTCTGTCTAGATTTTATGCGAAGATATACCCGTTTCGAACGAAGGCCACAGAGTGGTCCAAATAGCCACTTGCAGATCCTACAAAAAGAGTGTTTCAAACCTGAACTATCAAAGGAAGGTTCAACTCTGGGATTTGAATGCAAACATCACCAAGAAGTTTCTGAGAATGCTTCTGTTTAGTTTTTATGTGAAGATATTCCCTTTTCCAAAGACATCTTCGGAGAGGTCCACATATCCACTTGCAGATTCCACAAAAAGAGAGTTTCAACACTGCTCTATACATAGGAGGGTTCAACTCTGTGAGTTGAATGCAATCATCACAGAGAAGTTTCTGAGAAGGCTTCTCTCCAGTTTTTATGTGACCATAATTCGTTTTCCACCACAGGCCTGAAAGCGCTCCAAATGTCCACTTGTAGACACTACGAAAAGCATGTTTCAGAACTACTCTATGAAAAGCAATGTGAAACTCTGGGAGTTGAACACAAACATCACAGAGAAGTTTCTGAGAATGCTTCTGTTTTAGTTCTGTGCGTTTTATCCCGTTTCCAATGAAATCCTCAGAGAGGCCCAAATATCCACTTGCAGATTCCACAGAAAGAGTGATTGGAAACTGCTGTTTGAAAAGGAACCTTCAACTCTGTGAGTTGAATGCAATCATCACAAAGAAGTTTCTGACAATGCTTCTGTTTTAGTTCTGTGCGGTTTATCCCGTTTCCAACGAAATCCTCAGAGAGGACCAAACATCCACTTGCAGTTTCTACAAAAAGAGTGTTTCAAAGCTGCACTATCAAAGAAAGGTTCAGCACTGTGAGTTGAATGCAAACATCACGAAGAGGGCTCTGAGAATTCTTCTGTTTAGTTCTGTGCGGTTTATCCCGTTTCCAACGAAATCCTCAGAGAGGACCAAATATCCACTTGCAGTTTCTACAAGAAGAGTGTTTCAAAGCTGAACTATCAAAGAAAGGTTCAGCACTGTGAGTTGAATGCAAACATCACGAAGAGGGTTCTGAGAATGCTTCTGTCTTCTTTCTATAGGAAGTTATTTCCTTTACTACGGTAGGCCTCAAAGAAGTGCAATTATCCCCTTGCAGTTTCTACAAAAAGAGTGTTTCAAACCTGAACTATCAAAGAAAGGTTCCACACTGTGAATTGAATGCAGACATCACGAACAAGGTTCTGAGAATGCTTCTGTTTAGTCAGCTGAAATTATCCCGTTTCCAACGAATTCCTCAGAGAGGTCCACATATGCACTTGCAGATTCTGCAGAAAGTGTGTGTCTAAACTGCTACATCGCAAGGAATGTTCAGCTCTGTGAGTTCCACTCAATCATCCCAAAGAATTTTCTGAGAAAGCTTCTGTCTAGATGTCGTGTGAAGATATACCCGTTTCGAACGAAGGACACAGAGTGGTCCAAATATCCACTTGTAGATCCTGCAAAAAGAGTGTTTCAAACGTGAACTTTGAAAGGAAAGTTCAACTCTGGGATTTGAATGCAAACATCACAAAGAAGATTCTGAGACTGCTTCTGTATAGTTTTTATGTGAAGATGATTCCGTTTCCAACGAAATCTTCAAAGAGGTCTACATGTCCCCTTGCAGATGCCACAGAAAGAGAGTTTCAAAACTGCGCTCTCAAAAGGAGTGTTCAACTCCGTGAGTTGAATGCAGTCATCACAGAGAAGCTTCTGAGAATGCTTCTATCTAGTATTTAGGTGAAGATATTTCCTTTTCCACCACAAACCACAAAGCCCTCCAAACGTCCACTTGCAGATTCTAGAAAAAGAGTGTTTCATAGCTGCTCTTTCCAAAGGAAAGTTCAACTCTGGGAGTTGAATACAAACATCACCAAAAAGTTCCTGAGAATGCATCTGTCTAGTTTTTCTATGAAGCTATTCCCTTTACTACCATAGGCCTCAAAGCGCTCCAAATCTCCACTTGCACATTCCACAACAACAGTGTTTCCAAACTGCTCTATCAATAGGAATGTTCAACTCTGTGAGGTGAATGCAATCATCACAAAGCAGTTTCTGAGAATGCTTCCGTTTAGTTAGGTGCAGTTATCGCGTTTCCAACGAAATCCTCAGAGAGGTCCAAATATCCACTTGTAGATTCTACAAAAAGTGTGTCTCAAACCTGCTCCATCCAAAGGAATGTTCAGCTCTGTGAGTTAAACTCAATCATCACAAAGTATTTTCTGAGAATGCTTCTGTCTAGATTTTATGTGAAGATGTACCCGTTTCGAACGAAGGCCACAGAGTGGTCCAAATATCCACTTGCAGATCCTACAAAAAGAGTGTTTCAAACCTGAACTATCACAGGAAGGTTCAACTCTGGGATTGGAATGCAAACATCACCAAGAAGTTTCTGAGAATGCTTCTGTTTAGTTTTTATGCGAAGATATTCCCGTTTCCAAAGACATCTTCGGAGAGGTCCACATATCCACTTGCAGATTCCACAAAAAGAGAGTTTCAACAATGCTCTATCCATAGGAGGGTTCAAATCTGTGACTTGAATGCAATCATCACAGAGAAGTTTCTGAGAAGGCTTCCCTCCAGTTTTTATGGGACCATAATTCGTTTTCCACCACAGGCCTGAAAGCGCTCCAAATGTCCACTTGCAGACACTACGAAAAGCATGTTTCAGAACTACTCTATGAAAAGCAATGTGAAACTCTGGGAGTTGAACACAAACATCACAGAGAAGTTTCTGAGGATGCTTCTGTTTAGCTTTTCTGTGAAGATTCTCCCGTTTCCAACGAAATCTTCAAAGAGGTCCAAATATCCACTTGCAGATTCCACAGAAAGAGTGTTTGGAAACTGCTGTTTGTAAAGGAACCTTCATCTCTGTGAGTTGAATGCAATCGTGACAAAGAAGTTTCTGACAATGCTTCTATCTAGCTTTTACGGGAAGTTAATTCCTTTTCCACCACACGCCTCAAAGCCCTCCAAATGTCCACTTGCAGATTCTGGAAAAAGAGTGTTTCAAAGCTTCTCTCTCGAAAGGAAAGTTCAACTCTGTGAGTTGAATGCAAGCATCACAAAGAAGTTTCTGAGAATGCTACTGTCTAGCTTTTATATGAAGCTATTTCCTTTACTACCATAGGCCTCAAAGCGGTCCATATCTCCACTTGCAGATTCTACACAAAGAGAGTTTCCAAACTGCTCTGTCAAAGGGAATGTTCAACTCTGTGACTTGAATGCAATCATCACAAAGTAGTTTCTGAGAATGCTTCTGTTTAGTTCTGTGCGGTTTATCCCGTTTCCAACGAAATCCTCAGAGAGGCCCAAATATCCACTTGCACATTCTACAAATAGTGTGTTTCGAAACTGCTCCATCCAAAGGAATGTTCAGCTCTGTGAGTTAAACTCAGTCGTCACCAAGAGTTTTCTGTGAATGCTTCTGTTTTAGTTCTGTGCGGGTTATCCCGTTTCCAACGAAATCCTCAGAGAGGTCCAAATATCTACTTGCAGTTTCTACAGAAAGACCGTTTCAAACCTGAACTATCAAAGAAAGGTTCAACACTGTGAGTTGAATGCAAACATCACGAAGAAGGTTCTGAGAATGCTTCTGTTTAGTTCTGTGCGGTTTATCCCTTTTCCAACGAAATCCTCAGAGAGGACCAAATATCCACTTGCAGTTTCTACAAGAAGAGTGTTTCAAAGCTGAACTATCAAAGAAAGGTTCAGCACTGTGAGTTGAATGCAAACATCACGAAGAGGGTTCTGAGAATGCTTCTGTCTTCTTTCTATAGGAAGTTATTTCCTTTACTACGGTAGGCCTCAAAGAAGTGCAATTATCCCCTTGCAGTTTCTACAAAAAGAGTGTTTCAAACCTGAACTATCAAAGAAAGGTTCCACACTGTGAGTTGAATGCAGACATCACGAAGAAGGTTCTGAGAATGCTTCTGTTTAGTCAGCTGAAATTATCCCGTTTCCAACGAATTCCTCAGAGAGGTCCAAATATGCACTTGCAGATTCTGCAGAAAGTGTGTTTCTAAACTGCTACATCGCAAGGAATGTTCAGCTCTGTGAGTTCCACTCAATCATCCCAAAGAATTTTCTGAGAAAGCTTCTGTCTAGATGTCATGTGAAGATATACCCGTTTCGAACGAAGGACACAGAGTGGTCCAAATATCCACTTGTAGACCCTGCAAAAAGAGTGTTTCAAACGTGAACTTTGAAAGGAAAGTTCAACTCTGGGATTTGAATGCAAACATCACAAAGAAGATTCTGAGACTGCTTCTGTATAGTTTTTATGTGAAGATGATTCCGTTTCCAACGAAATCTTCAAAGAGGTCTACATGTCCCCTTGCAGATGCCACAGAAAGAGAGTTTCAAAACTGCGCTCTCAAAAGGAGTGTTCAACTCCGTGAGTTGAATGCAGTCATCACAGAGAAGCTTCTGAGAATGCTTCTATCTAGTATTTAGGTGAAGATATTTCCTTTTCCACCACAAACCACAAAGCCCTCCAAACGTCCACTTGCAGATTCTAGAAAAAGAGTGTTTCATAGCTGCTCTTTCCAAAGGAAAGTTCAACTCTGCGAGTTGAATACAAACATCACCAAAAAGTTCCTGAGAATGCATCTGTCTAGTTTTTCTATGAAGCTATCCCCTTTACTACCATAGGCCTCAAAGCGCTCCAAATCTCCACTTGCACATTCCACAACAAGAGTGTTTCCAAACTGCTTTATCAATAGGAATGTTCAACTCTGTGAGGTGAATGCAATCATCACAAAGCAGTTTCTGAGAATGCTTCCGTTTAGTTAGGTGCAGTTATCGCGTTTCCAACGAAATCCTCAGAGAGGTCCAAATATCCACTTGTAGATTCTACAAAAAGTGTGTCTCAAACCTGCTCCATCCAAAGGAATGTTCAGCTCTGTGAGTTAAACTCAATCATCACAAAGTATTTTCTGAGAATGCTTCTGTCTAGATTTTATGTGAAGATGTACCCGTTTCGAACGAAGGCCACAGAGTGGTCCAAATATCCACTTGCAGATCCTACAAAAAGAGTGTTTCAAACCTGAACTATCACAGGAAGGTTCAACTCTGGGATTGGAATGCAAACATCACCAAGAAGTTTCTGAGAATGCTTCTGTTTAGTTTTTATGTGAAGATATTCCCGTTTCCAAAGACATCTTCGGAGAGGTCCACATATCCACTTGCAGATTCCACAAAAAGAGAGTTTCAACAATGCTCTATCCATAGGAGGGTTCAAATCTGTGAGTTGAATGCAATCATCACAGAGAAGTTTCTGAGAAGGCTTCTCTCCAGTTTTTATGGGACCATAATTCGTTTTCCACCACAGGCCTGAAAGCGCTCCAAATGTCCACTTGCAGACACTACGAAAAGCATGTTTCAGAACTACTCTATGAAAAGCAATGTGAAACTCTGGGAGTTGAACACAAACATCACAGAGAAGTTTCTGAGAATGCTTCTGTTTAGCTTTTCTGTGAAGATTCTCCCGTTTCCAACGAAATCTTCAAAGAGGTCCAAATATCCACTTGCAGATTCCACAGAAAGAGTGTTTGGAAACTGCTGTTTGTAAAGGAACCTTCATCTCTGTGAGTTGAATGCAATCATCACAAAGAAGTTTCTGACAATGCTTCTATCTAGCTTTTACGGGAAGATAATTCCTTTTCCACCACAGGCCTCAAAGCCCTCCAAATGTCCACTTGCAGATTCTGGAAAAAGAGTGTTTCAAAGCTTCTCTCTCGAAAGGAAAGTTCAACTCTGTGAGTTGAATGCAAGCATCACAAAGAAGTTTCTGAGAATGCTACTGTCTAGCTTTTATATGGAGCTATTTCCTTTACTACCATAGTCCTCAAAGCATTCCATATCTCCACTTGCAGATTCTACACAAAGAGAGTTTCCAAACTGCTCTGTCAAAGGGAATGTTCAGCTCTGTGACTTGAATGCAATCATCACAAAGTAGTTTCTCAGAATGCTTCTGTTTTAGTTCTGTGCGGTTTATCCCGATTCCAACGAAATCCTCAGAGAGGCCCAAATATCCACTTGCAGATTCTACAAATAGTGTGTTTCGAAACTGCTCCATCCAAAGGAATGTTCAGCTCTGTGAGTTAAACTCAGTCGTCACCAAGCGTTTTCTGTGAATGCTTCTGTTTAGTTCTGTGCGGTTTATCCCGTTTCCAACGAAATCCTCAGAGAGGACCAAATATCCACTTGCAGTTTCTACAAAAAGAGTGTTTCAAAGCTGAACTATCAAAGAAAGGTTCAGCAGTGTGAGTTGAATGCAATTATCACGAAGAAGGTTCTGAGAATGCTTCTGTCTTCTTTTTATAGGAAGTTATTTCCTTTACTACGGTAGGCCTCAAAGAAGTGCAATTATCCCCTTGCAGTTTCTACAAAAAGAGTGTTTCAAACCTGAACTATCAAAGAAAGGTTCCACACTGTGAGTTGAATGCAGACATCACGAAGAAGGTTCTGAGAATGCTTCTGTTTAGTCAGCTGAAATTATCCCGTTTCCAACGAATTCCTCAGAGAGGTCCAAATATGCACTTGCAGATTCTGCAGAAAGTGTGTTTCTAAACTGCTACATCACAAGGAATGTTCAGCTCTGTGAGTTCAACTGAATCATCCCAAAGAATTTTCTGAGAAAGCTTCTGTCTAGATGTCGTGTGAAGTTATACCCGTTTCGAACGAAGGACACAGAGTGGTCCAAATATCCACTTGTAGATCCTGCAAAAAGAGTGTTTCAAACGTGAACTTTGAAAGGAAAGTTCAACTCTGGGATTTGAATGCAAACATCACAAAGAAGATTCTGAGACTGCTTCTGTATAGTTTTTATGTGAAGATGATTCCGTTTCCAACGAAATCTTCAAAGAGGTCTACATGTCCCCTTGCAGATGCCACAGAAAGAGAGTTTCAAAACTGCGCTCTCAAAAGGAGTGTTCAACTCCGTGAGTTGAATGCAGTCATCACAGAGAAGCTTCTGAGAATGCTTCTATCTAGTATTTAGGTGAAGATATTTCCTTTTCCACCACAAACCACAAAGCCCTCCAAACGTCCACTTGCAGATTCTAGAAAAAGAGTGTTTCATAGCTGCTCTTTCCAAAGGAAAGTTCAACTCTGGGAGTTGAATACAAACATCACCAAAAAGTTCCTGAGAATGCATCTGTCTAGTTTTTCTATGAAGCTATTCCCTTTACTACCATAGGCCTCAAAGCGCTCCAAATCTCCACTTGCACATTCCACAACAAGAGTGTTTCCAAACTGCTCTATCAATAGGAATGTTCAACTCTGTGAGGTGAATGCAATCATCACAAAGTAGTTTCTGAGAATGCTTCCGTTTAGTTAGGTGCAGTTATCGCGTTTCCAACGAAATCCTCAGAGAGGTCCAAATATCCACTTGTAGATTCTACAAAAAGTGTGTCTCAAACCTGCTCCATCCAAAGGAATGTTCAGCTCTGTGAGTTAAACTCAATCATCACAAAGTATTTTCTGAGAATGCTTCTGTCTAGATTTTATGTGAAGATGTACCCGTTTCGAACGAAGGCCACAGAGTGGTCCAAATATCCACTTGCAGATCCTACAAAAAGAGTGTTTCAAACCTGAACTATCACAGGAAGGTTCAACTCTGGGATTTGAATGCAAACATCACCAAGAAGATTCTGAGAATGCTTCTGTTTAGTTTTTATGTGAAGATATTCCCGTTTCCAAAGACATCTTCGGAGAGGTCCACATATCCACTTGCAGATTCCACAAAAAGAGAGTTTCAACAATGCTCTATCCATAGGAGGGTTCAAATCTGTGAGTTGAATGCAATCATCACAGAGAAGTTTCTGAGAAGGCTTCTCTCCAGTTTTTATGGGACCATAATTCGTTTTCCACCACAGGCCTGAAAGCGCTCCAAATGTCCACTTGCAGACACTACGAAAAGCATGTTTCAGAACTACTCTATGAAAAGCAATGTGAAACTCTGGGAGTTGAACACAAACATCACAGAGAAGTTTCTGAGAATGCTTCTGTTTAGCTTTTCTGTGAAGATTCTCCCGTTTCCAACGAAATCTTCAAAGAGGTCCAAATATCCACTTGCAGATTCCACAGAAAGAGTGTTTGGAAACTGCTGTTTGTAAAGGAACCTTCATCTCTTTGAGTTGAATGCAATCATCACAAAGAAGTTTCTGACAATGCTTCTATCTAGCTTTTACGGGAAGTTAATTCCTTTTCCACCACAGGCCTCAAAGCCCTCCAAATGTCCACTTGCAGATTCTGGAAAAAGAGTGTTTCAAAGCTTCTCTCTCGAAAGGAAAGTTCAACTCTGTGAGTTGAATGCAAGCATCACAAAGAAGTTTCTGAGAATGCTACTGTCTAGCTTTTATATGAAGCTATTTCCTTTACTACCATAGGCCTCAAAGCGGTCCATATCTCCACTTGCAGATTCTACACAAAGAGAGTTTCCAAACTGCTCTGTCAAAGGGAATGTTCAACTCTGTGACTTGAATGCAATCATCACAAAGTAGTTTCTGAGAATGCTTCTGTTTAGTTCTGTGCGGTTTATCCCGTTTCCAACGAAATCCTCAGAGAGGTCCAAATATCCACTTGCACATTCTACAAATAGTGTGTTTCGAAACTGCTCCATCCAAAGGAATGTTCAGCTCTGTGAGTTAAACTCAGTCGTCACCAAGAGTTTTCTGTGAATGCTTCTGTTTTAGTTCTGTGCGGTTTATCCCGTTTCCAACGAAATCCTCAGAGAGGTCCAAATATCTACTTGCAGTTTCTACAGAAAGACCGTTTCAAACCTGAACTATCAAAGAAAGGTTCAACACTGTGAGTTGAATGCAAACATCACGAAGAAGGTTCTGAGAATGCTTCTGTTTAGTTCTGTGCGGTTTATCCCGTTTCCAACGAAGTCCTCAGAGAGGACCAAATATCCACTTGCAGTTTCTACAAGAAGAGTGTTTCAAAGCTGAACTATCAAAGAAAGGTTCAGCACTGTGAGTTGAATGCAAACATCACGAAGAGGGTTCTGAGAATGCTTCTGTCTTCTTTCTATAGGAAGTTATTTCCTTTACTACGGTAGGCCTCAAAGAAGTGCAATTATCCCCTTGCAGTTTCTACAAAAAGAGTGTTTCAAACCTGAACTATCAAAGAAAGGTTCCACACTGTGAGTTGAATGCAGACATCACGAAGAAGGTTCTGAGAATGCTTCTGTTTAGTCAGCTGAAATTATCCCGTTTCCAACGAATTCCTCAGAGAGGTCCAAATATGCACTTGCAGATTCTGCAGAAAGTGTGTTTCTAAACTGCTACATCGCAAGGAATGTTCAGCTCTGTGAGTTCCACTCAATCATCCCAAAGAATTTTCTGAGAAAGCTTCTGTCTAGATGTCGTGTGAAGATATACCCGTTTCGAACGAAGGACACAGAGTGGTCCAAATATCCACTTGTAGATCCTGCAAAAAGAGTGTTTCAAACGTGAACTTTGAAAGGAAAGTTCAACTCTGGGATTTGAATGCAAACATCACAAAGAAGATTCTGAGACTGCTTCTGTATAGTTTTTATGTGAAGATGATTCCGTTTCCAACGAAATCTTCAAAGAGGTCTACATGTCCCCTTGCAGATGCCACAGAAAGAGAGTTTCAAAACTGCGCTCTCAAAAGGAGTGTTCAACTCCGTGAGTTGAATGCAGTCATCACAGAGAAGCTTCTGAGAATGCTTCTATCTAGTATTTAGGTGAAGATATTTCCTTTTCCACCACAAACCACAAAGCCCTCCAAACGTCCACTTGCAGATTCTAGAAAAAGAGTGTTTCATAGCTGCTCTTTCCAAAGGAAAGTTCAACTCTGGGAGTTGAATACAAACATCACCAAAAGGTTCCTGAGAATGCATCTGTCTAGTTTTTCTATGAAGCTATTCCCTTTACTACCATAGGCCTCAAAGCGCTCCAAATCTCCACTTGCACATTCCACAACAAGAGTGTTTCCAAACTGCTCTATCAATAGGAATGTTCAACTCTGTGAGGTGAATGCAATCATCACAAAGCAGTTTCTGAGAATGCTTCCGTTTAGTTAGGTGCAGTTATCCCGTTTCCAACGAAATCCTCAGAGAGGTCCAAATATCCACTTGTAGATTCTACAAAAAGTGTGTCTCAAACCTGCTCCATCCAAAGGAATGGTCAGCTCTGTGATTTAAACTCAATCATCACAAAGTATTTTCTGAGAATGCTTCTGTCTAGATTTTATGCGAAGATATACCCGTTTCGAACGAAGGCCACAGAGTGGTCCAAATAGCCACTTGCAGATCCTACAGAAAGAGTGTTTCAAACCTGAACTATCAAAGGAAGGTTCAACTCTGGGATTTGAATGCAAACATCACCAAGAAGTTTCTGAGAATGCTTCTGTTTAGTTTTTATGTGAAGATATTCCCGTTTCCAAAGACATCTTCGGAGAGGTCCACATATCCACTTGCAGATTCCACAAAAAGAGAGTTTCAACACTGCTCTATCCATAGGAGGGTTCAACTCTGTGAGTTGAATGCAATCATCACAGAGAAGTTTCTGAGAAGGCTTCTCTCCAGTTTTTATGTGACCATAATTCGTTTTCCACCACAGGCCTGAAAGCGCTCCAAATGTCCACTTGCAGACACTACGAAAAGCATGTTTCAGAACTACTCTATGAAAAGCAACGTGAAACTCTGGGAGTTGAACACAAACATCACAGAGAAGTTTCTGAGAATGCTTCTGTTTTAGTTCTGTGCGTTTTATCCCGTTTCCAACGAAATCCTCAGAGAGGCCCAAATATCCACTTGCAGATTCCACAGAAAGAGTGATTGCAAACTGCTGTTTGAAAAGGAACCTTCAACTCTGTGAGTTGAATGCAATCATCACAAAGAAGTTTCTGACAATGCTTCTGTTTTAGTTCTGTGCGGTTTATCCCGTTTCCAACGAAATCCTCAGAGAGGACCAAACATCCACTTGCAGTTTCTACAAAAAGAGTGTTTCAAAGCTGCACTATCAAAGAAAGGTTCAGCACTGTGAGTTGAATGCAAACATCACGAAGAGGGCTCTGAGAATTCTTCTGTTTAGTTCTGTGCGGTTTATCCCGTTTCCAACGAAATCCTCAGAGAGGACCAAATATCCACTTGCAGTTTCTACAAGAAGAGTGTTTCAAAGCTGAACTATCAAAGAAAGGTTCAGCACTGTGAGTTGAATGCAAACATCACGAAGAGGGTTCTGAGAATGCTTCTGTCTTCTTTCTATAGGAAGTTATTTCCTTTACTACGGTAGGCCTCAAAGAAGTGCAATTATCCCCTTGCAGTTTCTACAAAAAGAGTGTTTCAAACCTGAACTATCAAAGAAAGGTTCCACACTGTGAGTTGAATGCAGACATCACGAAGAAGGTTCTGAGAATGCTTCTGTTTAGTCAGCTGAAATTATCCCGTTTCCAACGAATTCCTCAGAGAGGTCCAAATATGCACTTGCAGATTCTGCAGAAAGTGTGTTTCTAAACTGCTACATCGCAAGGAATGTTCAGCTCTGTGAGTTCCACTCAATCATCCCAAAGAATTTTCTGAGAAAGCTTCTGTCTAGATGTCCTGTGAAGATATACCCGTTTCGAACGAAGGACACAGAGTGGTCCAAATATCCACTTGTAGATCCTGCAAAAAGAGTGTTTCAAACGTGAACTTTGAAAGGAAAGTTCAACTCTGGGATTTGAATGCAAACATCACAAAGAAGATTCTGAGACTGCTTCTGTATAGTTTTTATGTGAAGATGATTCCGTTTCCAACGAAATCTTCAAAGAGGTCCACATGTCCCCTTGCGGATGCCACAGAAAGAGAGTTTCAAAACTGCGCTCTCAAAAGGAGTGTTCAACTCCGTGAGTTGAATGCAGTCATCACAGAGAAGCTTCTGAGAATGCTTCTATCTAGTATTTAGGTGAAGATATTTCCTTTTCCACCACAAACCACAAAGCCCTCCAAACGTCCACTTGCAGATTCTAGAAAAAGAGTGTTTCATAGCTGCTCTTTCCAAAGGAAAGTTCAACTCTGGGAGTTGAATACAAACATCACCAAAAAGTTCCTGAGAATGCATCTGTCTAGTTTTTCTATGAAGCTATTCCCTTTACTACCATAGGCCTCAAAGCGCTCCAAATCTCCACTTGCACATTCCACAACAAGAGTGTTTCCAAACTGCTCTATCAATAGGAATGTTCAACTCTGTGAGGTGAATGCAATCATCACAAAGCAGTTTCTGAGAATGCTTCCGTTTAGTTAGGTGCAGTTATCCCGTTTCCAACGAAATCCTCAGAGAGGTCCAAATATCCACTTGTAGATTCTACAAAAAGTGTGTCTCAAACCTGCTCCATCCAAAGGAATGGTCAGCTCTGTGATTTAAACTCAATCATCACAAAGTATTTTCTGAGAATGCTTTTGTCTAGATTTTATGCGAAGATATACCCGTTTCGAACGAAGGCCACAGAGTTGTCCAAATAGCCACTTGCAGATCCTACAGAAAGAGTGTTTCAAACCTGAACTATCAAAGGAAGGTTCAACTCTGGGATTTGAATGCAAACATCACCAAGAAGTTTCTGAGAATGCTTCTGTTTAGTTTTTATGTGAAGATATTCCCGTTTCCAAAGACATCTTCGGAGAGGTCCACATATCCACTTGCAGATTCCACAAAAAGAGAGTTTCAACACTGCTCTATCCATAGGAGGGTTCAACTCTGTGAGTTGAATGCAATCATCACAGAGAAGTTTCTGAGAAGGCTTCTCTCCAGTTTTTATGTGACCATAATTCGTTTTCCACCACAGGCCTGAAAGCGCTCCAAATGTCCACTTGCAGACACTACGAAAAGCATGTTTCAGAACTACTCTATGAAAAGCAACGTGAAACTCTGGGAGTTGAACACAAACATCACAGAGAAGTTTCTGAGAATGCTTCTGTTTTAGTTCTGTGCGTTTTATCCCGTTTCCAACGAAATCCTCAGAGAGGCCCAAATATCCACTTGCAGATTCCACAGAAAGAGTGATTGGAAACTGCTGTTTGAAAAGGAACCTTCAACTCTGTGAGTTGAATGCAATCATCACAAAGAAGTTTCTGACAATGCTTCTATCTAGCTTTTACGGGAAGATAATTCCTTTTCCACCACAGGCCTCAAAGCTCCCAAAATGTCCACTTGCACATTCTGGAAAAAGAGTGTTTCAAAGCTTCTCTCTCGAAAGGAAAGTTCAACTCTGTGAGTTGAATGCAAGCATCACAAAGAAGTTTCTGAGAATGCTACTGTCTAGCTTTTATATGAAGCTATTTCCTTTACTACCATAGGCCTCAAAGCGGTCCATATCTCCACTTGCAGATTCTACACAAAGAGAGTTTCCAAACTGCTCTGTCAAAGGGAATGTTCAACTCTGTGACTTGAATGCAATCATCACAAAGTAGTTTCTGAGAATGCTTCTGTTTTAGTTCTGTGCGTTTTATCCCGTTTCCAACGAAATCCTCAGAGAGGCCCAAATATCCACTTGCAGATTCTACAAATAGTGTGTTTCGAAACTGCTCCATCCAAAGGAATGTTCAGCTCTGTGAGTTAAACTCAGTCGTCACCAAGAGTTTTCTGTGAATGCTTCTGTTTTAGTTCTGTGCGGTTTATCCCGTTTCCAACGAAATCCTCAGAGAGGACCAAATATCCACTTGCAGTTTCTACAAAAAGAGTGTTTCAAAGCTGCACTATCAAAGAAAGGTTCAGCACTGTGAGTTGAATGCAAACATCACGAAGAGGGCTCTGAGAATGCTTCTGTTTAGTTCTGTGCGGTTTATCCCGTTTCCAACGAAATCCTCAGAGAGGACCAAATATCCACTTGCAGTTTCTACAAGAAGAGTATTTCAAAGCTGAACTATCAAAGAAAGGTTCAGCACCGTGAGTGGAATGCAAACATCACGAAGAGGGTTCTGAGAATGCTTCTGTCTTCTTTCTATAGGAAGTTATTTCCTTTACTACGGTAGGCCTCAAAGAAGTGCAATTATCCCCTTGCAGTTTCTACAAAAAGAGTGTTTCAAACCTGAACTATCAAAGAAAGGTTCCACACTGTGCGTTGAATGTAGACATCACGAAGAAGGTTCTGAGAATGCTTCTGTTTAGTCAGCTGAAATTATCCCGTTTCCAACGAATTCCTCAGAGAGGTCCAAATATGCACTTGCAGATTCTGCAGAAAGTGTGTTTCTAAACTGCTACATCGCAAGGAATGTTCAGCTCTGTGAGTTCCACTCAATCATCCCAAAGAATTTTCTGAGAAAGCTTCTGTCTAGATGTCGTGTGAAGATATACCCGTTTCGAACGAAGGACACAGAGTGGTCCAAATATCCACTTGTAGATCCTGCAAAAAGAGTGTTTCAAACGTGAACTTTGAAAGGAAAGTTCAACTCTGGGATTTGAATGCAAACATCACAAAGAAGATTCTGAGACTGCTTCTGTATAGTTTTTATGTGAAGATGATTCCGTTTCCAACGAAATCTTCAAAGAGGTCTACATGTCCCCTTGCAGATGCCACAGAAAGAGAGTTTCAAAACTGCGCTCTCAAAAGGAGTGTTCAACTCCGTGAGTTGAATGCAGTCATCACAGAGAAGCTTCTGAGAATGCTTCTATCTAGTATTTAGGTGAAGATATTTCCTTTTCCACCACAAACCACAAAGCCCTCCAAACGTCCACTTGCAGATTCTAGAAAAAGAGTGTTTCATAGCTGCTCTTTCCAAAGGAAAGTTCAACTCTGGGAGTTGAATACAAACATCACCAAAAGGTTCCTGAGAATGCATCTGTCTAGTTTTTCTATGAAGCTATTCCCTTTACTACCATAGGCCTCAAAGCGCTCCAAATCTCCACTTGCACATTCCACAACAAGAGTGTTTCCAAACTGCTCTATCAATAGGAATGTTCAACTCTGTGAGGTGAATGCAATCATCACAAAGCAGTTTCTGAGAATGCTTCCGTTTAGTTAGGTGCAGTTATCCCGTTTCCAACGAAATCCTCAGAGAGGTCCAAATATCCACTTGTAGATTCTACAAAAAGTGTGTCTCAAACCTGCTCCATCCAAAGGAATGGTCAGCTCTGTGATTTAAACTCAATCATCACAAAGTATTTTCTGAGAATGCTTCTGTCTAGATTTTATGCGAAGATATACCCGTTTCGAACGAAGGCCACAGAGTGGTCCAAATAGCCACTTGCAGATCCTACAGAAAGAGTGTTTCAAACCTGAACTATCAAAGGAAGGTTCAACTCTGGGATTTGAATGCAAACATCACCAAGAAGTTTCTGAGAATGCTTCTGTTTAGTTTTTATGTGAAGATATTCCCGTTTCCAAAGACATCTTCGGAGAGGTCCACATATCCACTTGCAGATTCCACAAAAAGAGAGTTTCAACACTGCTCTATCCATAGGAGGGTTCAACTCTGTGAGTTGAATGCAATCATCACAGAGAAGTTTCTGAGAAGGCTTCTCTCCAGTTTTTATGTGACCATAATTCGTTTTCCACCACAGGCCTGAAAGCGCTCCAAATGTCCACTTGCAGACACTACGAAAAGCATGTTTCAGAACTACTCTATGAAAAGCAACGTGAAACTCTGGGAGTTGAACACAAACATCACAGAGAAGTTTCTGAGAATGCTTCTGTTTAGCTTTTCTGTGAAGATTCTCCCGTTTCCAACGAAATCTTCAAAGAGGTCGAAATATCCACTTGCAGATTCCACAGAAAGAGTGATTGGAAACTGCTGTTTGAAAAGGAACCTTCAACTCTGTGAGTTGAATGCAATCATCACAAAGAAGTTTCTGACAATGCTTCTATCTAGCTTTTACGGGAAGATAATTCCTTTTCCACCCCAGGCCTCAAAGCTCCCCAAATGTCCACTTGCACATTCTGGAAAAAGAGTGTTTCAAAGCTTCTCTCTCGAAAGGAAAGTTCAACTCTGTGAGTTGAATGCAAGCATCACAAAGAAGTTTCTGAGAATGCTACTGTCTAGCTTTTATATGAAGCTCTTTCCTTTACTACCATAGGCCTCAAAGCGGTCCATATCTCCACTTGCAGATTCTACACAAAGAGAGTTTCCAAACTGCTCTGTCAAAGGGAATGTTCAACTCTGTGACTTGAATGCAATCATCACAAAGTAGTTTCTGAGAATGCTTCTGTTTTAGTTCTGTGCGTTTTATCCCGTTTCCAACGAAATCCTCAGAGAGGCCCAAATATCCACTTGCAGATTCTACAAATAGTGTGTTTCGAAACTGCTCCATCCAAAGGAATGTTCAGCTCTGTGAGTTAAACTCAGTCGTCACCAAGAGTTTTCTGTGAATGCTTCTGTTTTAGTTCTGTGCGGTTTATCCCGTTTCCAACGAAATCCTCAGAGAGGACCAAATATCCACTTGCAGTTTCTACAAAAAGAGTGTTTCAAAGCTGCACTATCAAAGAAAGGTTCAGCACTGTGAGTTGAATGCAAACATCACGAAGAGGGCTCTGAGAGTTCTTCTGTTTAGTTCTGTGCGGTTTATCCCGTTTCCAACGAAATCCTCAGAGAGGACCAAATATCCACTTGCAGTTTCTACAAGAAGAGTGTTTCAAAGCTGAACTATCAAAGAAAGGTTCAGCACTGTGAGTTGAATGCAAACATCACGAAGAGGGTTCTGAGAATGCTTCTGTCTTCTTTCTATAGGAAGTTATTTCCTTTACTACGGTAGGCCTCAAAGAAGTGCAATTATCCCCTTGCAGTTTCTACAAAAAGAGTGTTTCAAACCTGAACTATCAAAGAAAGGTTCCACACTGTGAGTTGAATGCAGACATCACGAAGAAGGTTCTGAGAATGCTTCTGTTTAGTCAGCTGAAATTATCCCGTTTCCAACGAATTCCTCAGAGAGGTCCAAATATGCACTTGCAGATTCTGCAGAAAGTGTGTTTCTAAACTGCTACATCGCAAGGAATGTTCAGCTCTGTGAGTTCCACTCAATCATCCCAAAGAATTTTCTGAGAAAGCTTCTGTCTAGATGTCCTGTGAAGATATACCCGTTTCGAACGAAGGACACAGAGTGGTCCAAATATCCACTTGTAGATCCTGCAAAAAGAGTGTTTCAAACGTGAACTTTGAAAGGAAAGTTCAACTCTGGGATTTGAATGCAAACATCACAAAGAAGATTCTGAGACTGCTTCTGTATAGTTTTTATGTGAAGATGATTCCGTTTCCAACGAAATCTTCAAAGAGGTCTACATGTCCCCTTGCAGATGCCACAGAAAGAGAGTTTCAAAACTGCGCTCTCAAAAGGAGTGTTCAACTCCGTGAGTTGAATGCAGTCATCACAGAGAAGCTTCTGAGAATGCTTCTATCTAGTATTTAGGTGAAGATATTTCCTTTTCCACCACAAACCACAAAGCCCTCCAAACGTCCACTTGCAGATTCTAGAAAAAGAGTGTTTCATAGCTGCTCTTTCCAAAGGAAAGTTCAACTCTGGGAGTTGAATACAAACATCACCAAAAAGTTCCTGAGAATGCATCTGTCTAGTTTTTCTATGATGCTATTCCCTTTACTACCATAGGCCTCAAAGCGCTCCAAATCTCCACTTGCACATTCCACAACAAGAGTGTTTCCAAACTGCTCTATCAATAGGAATGTTCAACTCTGTGAGGTGAATGCAATCATCACAAAGCAGTTTCTGAGAATGCTTCCGTTTAGTTAGGTGCAGTTATCCCGTTTCCAACGAAATCCTCAGAGAGGTCCAAATATCCACTTGTAGATTCTACAAAAAGTGTGTCTCAAACCTGCTCCATCCAAAGGAATGGTCAGCTCTGTGATTTAAACTCAATCATCACAAAGTATTTTCTGAGAATGCTTCTGTCTAGATTTTATGCGAAGATATACCCGTTTCGAACGAAGGCCACAGAGTGGTCCAAATAGCCACTTGCAGATCCTACAAAAAGAGTGTTTCAAACCTGAACTATCAAAGGAAGGTTCAACTCTGGGATTTGAATGCAAACATCACCAAGAAGTTTCTGAGAATGCTTCTGTTTAGTTTTTATGTGAAGATATTCCCGTTTCCAAAGACATCTTCGGAGAGGTCCACATATCCACTTGCAGATTCCACAAAAAGAGAGTTTCAACACTGCTCTATCCATAGGAGGGTTCAACTCTGTGAGTTGAATGCAATCATCACAGAGAAGTTTCTGAGAAGGCTTCTCTCCAGTTTTTATGTGACCATAATTCGTTTTCCACCACAGGCCTGAAAGCGCTCCAAATGTCCACTTGCAGACACTACGAAAAGCATGTTTCAGAACTACTCTATGAAAAGCAACGTGAAACTCTGGGAGTTGAACACAAACATCACAGAGAAGTTTCTGAGAATGCTTCTGTTTTAGTTCTGTGCGTTTTATCCCGTTTCCAACGAAATCCTCAGAGAGGCCCAAATATCCACTTGCAGATTCCACAGAAAGAGTGATTGGAAACTGCTGTTTGAAAAGGAACCTTCAACTCTGTGAGTTGAATGCAATCATCACAAAGAAGTTTCTGACAATGCTTCTGTTTTAGTTCTGTGCGGTTTATCCCGTTTCCAACGAAATCCTCAGAGAGGACCAAACATCCACTTGCAGTTTCTACAAAAAGAGTGTTTCAAAGCTGCACTATCAAAGAAAGGTTCAGCACTGTGAGTTGAATGCAAACATCACGAAGAGGGCTCTGAGAATTCTTCTGTTTAGTTCTGTGCGGTTTATCCCGTTTCCAACGAAATCCTCAGAGAGGACCAAATATCCACTTGCAGTTTCTACAAGAAGAGTGTTTCAAAGCTGAACTATCAAAGAAAGGTTCAGCACTGTGAGTTGAATGCAAACATCACGAAGAGGGTTCTGAGAATGCTTCTGTCTTCTTTCTATAGGAAGTTATTTCCTTTACTACGGTAGGCCTCAAAGAAGTGCAATTATCCCCTTGCAGTTTCTACAAAAAGAGTGTTTCAAACCTGAACTATCAAAGAAAGGTTCCACACTGTGAGTTGAATGCAGACATCACGAAGAAGGTTCTGAGAATGCTTCTGTTTAGTCAGCTGAAATTATCCCGTTTCCAACGAATTCCTCAGAGAGGTCCAAATATGCACTTGCAGATTCTGCAGAAAGTGTGTTTCTAAACTGCTACATCGCAAGGAATGTTCAGCTCTGTGAGTTCCACTCAATCATCCCAAAGAATTTTCTGAGAAAGCTTCTGTCTAGATGTCATGTGAAGATATATCCGTTTCGAACGAAGGACACAGAGTGGTCCAAATATCCACTTGTAGATCCTGCAAAAAGAGTGTTTCAAACGTGAACTTTGAAAGGAAAGTTCAACTCTGGGATTTGAATGCTAACATCACAAAGAAGATTACTGAGACTGCTTTCTGTATAGTTTTGATGTGAAGATGATTCCGTTTCCAACGAAATCTTCAAAGAGGTCTACATGTCCCCTTGCAGATGCCACAGAAAGAGAGTTTCAAAACTGCGCTCTCAAAAGGAGTGTTCAACTCCGTGAGTTGAATGCAGTCATCACAGAGAAGCTTCTGAGAATGCTTCTATCTAGTATTTAGGTGAAGATATTTCCTTTTCCACCACAAACCACAAAGCCCTCCAAACGTCCACTTGCAGATTCTAGAAAAAGAGTGTTTCATAGCTGCTCTTTCCAAAGGAAAGTTCAACTCTGGGAGTTGAATACAAACATCACCAAAAAGTTCCTGAGAATGCATCTGTCTAGTTTTTCTATGAAGCTATTCCCTTTACTACCATAGGCCTCAAAGCGCTCCAAATCTCCACTTGCACATTCCACAACAAGAGTGTTTCCAAACTGCTCTATCAATAGGAATGGTCAACTCTGTGAGGTGAATGCAATCATCACAAAGCAGTTTCTGAGAATGCTTCCGTTTAGTTAGGTGCAGTTATCCCGTTTCCAACGAAATCCTCAGAGAGGTCCAAATATCCACTTGTAGATTCTACAAAAAGTGTGTCTCAAACCTGCTCCATCCAAAGGAATGGTCAGCTCTGTGATTTAAACTCAATCATCACAAAGTATTTTCTGAGAATGCTTCTGTCTAGATTTTATGCGAAGATGTACCCGTTTCGAACGAAGGCCACAGAGTGGTCCAAATATCCACTTGCAGATCCTACAAAAAGAGTGTTTCAAACCTGAACTAGCAAAGGAAGGTTCAACTCTGGGATTTGAATGCAAACATCACCAAGAAGTTTCTGAGAATGCTTCTGTTTAGTTTTTATGTGAAGATATTCCCGTTTCCAAAGACATCTTCGGAGAGGTCCACATATCCACTTGCAGATTCCACAAAAAGAGAGTTTCAACACTGCTCTATCCATAGGAGGGTTCAACTCTGTGAGTTGAATGCAATCATCACAGAGAAGTTTCTGAGAAGGCTTCTCTCCAGTTTTTATGTGACCATAATTCGTTTTCCACCACAGGCCTGAAAGCGCTCCAAATGTCCACTTGTAGACACTACGAAAAGCATGTTTCAGAACTACTCTATGAAAAGCAATGTGAAACTCTGGGAGTTGAACACAAACATCACAGAGAAGTTTCTGAGAATGCTTCTGTTTAGCTTTCCTGTGAAGATTCTCCCGTTTCCAACGAAATCTTCAAAATAGGTCCAAATATCCACTTGCAGATTCCACACAAAGAGTGATTGGAAACTGCTCTTTGAAAAGGAACCTTCAACTCTGTGAGTTGAATGCAATCATCACAAAGAAGTTTCTGACAATGCTTCTATCTAGCTTTTACGGGAAGATAATTCCTTTTCCACCACAGGCCTCAAAGCCCTCCAAATGTCCACTTGCAGATTCTGGAAAAAGAGTGTTTCAAAGCTTCTCTCTCGAAAGGAAAGTTCAACTCTGTGAGTTGAATGCAAGCATCACAAAGAAGTTTCTGAGAATGCTACTGTCTAGCTTTTATATGAAGCTATTTCCTTTACTACCATAGGCCTCAAAGCGGTCCATATCTCCACTTGCAGATTCTACACAAAGAGAGTTTCCAAACTGCTCTGTCAAAGGGAATGTTCAACTCTGTGACTTGAATGCAATCATCACAAAGTAGTTTCTGAGAATGCTTCTGTTTAGTTCTGTGCGGTTTATCCCGTTTCCAACGAAATCCTCAGAGAGGCCTAAATATCCACTTGCACATTCTACAAATAGTGTGTTTCGAAACTGCTCCATCCAAAGGAATGTTCAGCTCTGTGAGTTAAACTCAGTCGTCACCAAGAGTTTTCTGTGAATGCTTCTGTTTTAGTTCTGTGCGGGTTATCCCGTTTCCAACGAAATCCTCAGAGAGGTCCAAATATCTACTTGCAGTTTCTACAGAAAGACCGTTTCAAACCTGAACTATCAAAGAAAGGTTCAACACTGTGAGTTGAATGCAAACATCACGAAGAAGGTTCTGAGAATGCTTCTGTTTAGTTCTGTGCAGTTTATCCCGTTTCCAACGAATTCCTCAGAGAGGACCAAATATCCACTTGCAGTTTCTACAAAAAGAGTGTTTCAAAGCTGAACTATCAAAGAAAGGTTCAGCACTGTGAGTTGAATGCAAACATCACGAAGAGGGTTACTGAGAATGCTTCTGTCTTCTTTTTATAGGAAGTTATTTCCTTTACTACGGTACTCCTCAAAGAGTGCAATTATCCCCTTGCAGTTTCTACAAAAAGAGTGTTTCAAACCTGAACTATCAAAGAAAGGTTCCACACTGTGAGTTGAATGCAGACATCACGAAGAAGGTTCTGAGAATGCTTCTGTTTAGTCAGCTGAAATTATCCCGTTTCCAACGAATTCCTCACAGAGGTCCAAATATGCACTTGCAGATTCTGCAGAAAGTGTGTTTCTAAACTGCTACATCGCAAGGAATGCTCAGCTCTGTGAGTTCAACTCAATCATCCCAAAGAATTTTCTGAGAAAGCTTCTGTCTAGATGTCATGTGAAGATATACCCGTTTCGATCGAAGGACACAGAGTGGTCCAAATATCCACTTGTAGATCCTGCAAAAAGAGTGTTTCAAACGTGAACTTTGAAAGGAAAGTTCAACTCGGGGATTTGAATGCAAACATCACAAAGAAGATTCTGAGACTGCTTCTGTGTAGTTTTTATGTGAAGATGATTCCGTTTCCAACGAAATCTTCAAAGAGGTCTACATGTCCCCTTGCAGATGCCACAGAAAGAGAGTTTCAAAACTGCGCTCTCAAAAGGAGTGTTCAACTCCGTGAGTTGAATGCAGTCATCACAGAGAAGCTTCTGAGGATGCTTCTATCTAGTATTTAGGTGAAGATATTTCCTTTTCCACCACAAACCACAAAGCCCTCCAAACGTCCACTTGCAGATTCTAGAAAAACAGTGTTTCATAGCTGCTCTTTCCAAAGGAAAGTTCAACTCTGGGAGTTGAATACAAACATCACCAAAAAGTTCCTGAGAATGCATCTGTCTAGTTTTTCTATGAAGCTATTCCCTTTACTACCATAGGCCTCAAAGCGCTCCAAATCTCCACTTGCACATTCCACAACAAGAGTGTTTCCAAACTGCTCTATCAATAGGAATGTTCAACTCTGTGAGGTGAATGCAATCATCACAAAGCAGTTTCTGAGAATGCTTCCGTTTAGTTAGGTGCAGTTATCCCGTTTCCAACGAAATCCTCAGAGAGGTCCAAATATCCACTTGTAGATTCTACAAAAGGTGTGTCTCAAACCTGCTCCATCCAAAGGAATGTTCAGCTCTGTGAGTTAAACTCAATCATCACAAAGTATTTTCTGAGAATGCTTCTGTCTAGATTTTATGCGAAGATGTACCCGTTTCGAACGAAGGCCACAGAGTGGTCCAAATATCCACTTGCAGATCCTACAAAAAGAGTGTTTCAAACCTGAACTATCAAAGGAAGGTTCAACTCTGGGATTTGAATGCAAACATCACCAAGAAGTTTCTGAGAATGCTTCTGTTTAGTTTTTATGTGAAGATATTCCCGTTTCCAAAGACATCTTCGGAGAGGTCCACATATCCACTTGCAGATTCCACAAAAAGAGAGTTTCAACACTGCTCTATCCATAGGAGGGTTCAACTCTGTGAGTTGAATGCAATCATCACAGAGAAGTTTCTGAGAAGGCTTCTCTCCAGTTTTTATGTGACCATAATTCGTTTTCCACCACAGGCCTGAAAGCGCTCCAAATGTCCACTTGTAGACACTACGAAAAGCATGTTTCAGAACTACTCTATGAAAAGCAATGTGAAACTCTGGGAGTTGAACACAAACATCACAGAGAAGTTTCTGAGAATGCTTCTGTTTAGCTTTCCTGTGAAGATTCTCCCGTTTCCAACGAAATCTTCAAAATAGGTCCAAATATCCACTTGCAGATTCCACACAAAGAGTGATTGGAAACTGCTCTTTGAAAAGGAACCTTCAACTCTGTGAGTTGAATGCAATCATCACAAAGAAGTTTCTGACAATGCTTCTATCTAGCTTTTACGGGAAGATAATTCCTTTTCCACCACAGGCCTCAAAGCCCTCCAAATGTCCACTTGCAGATTCTGGAAAAAGAGTGTTTCAAAGCTTCTCTCTCGAAAGGAAAGTTCAACTCTGTGAGTTGAATGCAAGCATCACAAAGAAGTTTCTGAGAATGCTACTGTCTAGCTTTTATATGAAGCTATTTCCTTTACTACCATAGGCCTCAAAGCGGTCCATATCTCCACTTGCAGATTCTACACAAAGAGAGTTTCCAAACTGCTCTGTCAAAGGGAATGTTCAACTCTGTGACTTGAATGCAATCATCACAAAGTAGTTTCTGAGAATGCTTCTGTTTAGTTCTGTGCGGTTTATCCCGTTTCCAACGAAATCCTCAGAGAGGCCCAAATATCCACTTGCACATTCTACAAATAGTATGTTTCGAAACTGCTCCATCCAAAGGAATGTTCAGCTCTGTGAGTTAAACTCAGTCGTCACCAAGAGTTTTCTGTGAATGCTTCTGTTTTAGTTCTGTGCGGTTTATCCCGTTTCCAACGAAATCCTCAGAGAGGTCCAAATATCTACTTGCAGTTTCTACAGAAAGACCGTTTCCAACCTGAACTATCAAAGAAAGGTTCAACACTGTGAGTTGAATGCAAACATCACGAAGAAGGTTCTGAGAATGCTTCTGTTTAGTTCTGTGCGGTTTATCCCGTTTACAAAGAAATCCTCAGAGAGGACCAAATATCCACTTGCAGTTTCTACAAGAAGAGTGTTTCAAAGTTGAACTATCAAAGAAAGGTTCAGCACTGTGAGTTGAATGCAAACATCACGAAGAGGGTTCTGAGAATGCTTCTGTCTTCTTTCTATAGGAAGTTATTTCCTTTACTACGGTAGGCCTCAAAGAAGTGCAATTATCCCCTTGCAGTTTCTACAAAAAGAGTGTTTCAAACCTGAACTATCAAAGAAAGGTTCCACACTGTGAGTTGAATGCAGACATCACGAAGAAGGTTCTGAGAATGCTTCTGTTTAGTCAGCTGAAATTATCCCGTTTCCAACGAATTCCTCACAGAGGTCCAAATATGCACTTGCAGATTCTGCAGAAAGTGTGTTTCTAAACTGCTACATCGCAAGGAATGCTCAGCTCTGTGAGTTCAACTCAATCATCCCAAAAAATTTTCTGAGAAAGCTCTGTCTAGATGTCGTGTGAAGATATACCCGTTTCGAACGAAGGACACAGAGTGGTCCAAATATCCACTTGTAGATCCTGCAAAAAGAGTGTTTCAAACGTGAACTTTGAAAGGAAAGTTCAACTCTGGGATTTGAATGCAAACATCACAAAGAAGATTCTGAGACTGCTTTCTGTATAGTTTTTATGTGAAGATGATTCCGTTTCCAACGAAATCTTCAAAGAGGTCTACATGTCCCCTTGCAGATGCCACAGAAAGAGAGTTTCAAAACTGCGCTCTCAAAAGGAGTGTTCAACTCCGTGAGTTGAATGCAGTCATCACAGAGAAGCTTCTGAGAATGCTTCTATCTAGTATTTAGGTGAAGATATTTCCTTTTCCACCACAAACCACAAAGCCCTCCAAACGTCCACTTGCAGATTCTAGAAAAAGAGTGTTTCATAGCTGCTCTTTCCAAAGGAAAGTTCAACTCTGGGAGTTGAATACAAACATCACCAAAAAGTTCCTGAGAATGCATCTGTCTAGTTTTTCTATGAAGTTATTCCCTTTACTACCATAGGCCTCAAAGCGCTCCAAATCTCCACTTGCACATTCCACAACAGGAGTGTTTCCAAACTGCTCTATCAATAGGAATGTTCAACTCTGTCAGGTGAATGCAATCATCACAAAGCAGTTTCTGAGAATGCTTCCGTTTAGTTAGGTGCAGTTATCCCGTTTCCAACGGAATCCTCAGAGAGGTCCAAATATCCACTTGTAGATTCTACAAAAAGTGTGTCTCAAACCTGCTCCATTCAAAGGAATGTTCAGCTCTGTGAGTTAAACTCAATCATCGCAAAGTATTTTCTGAGAATGCTTCTGTCTAGATTTTATGCGAAGATATACCCGTTTCGAACGAAGGCCACAGAGTGGTCCAAATATCCACTTGCAGATCCTACAAAAAGAGTGTTTCAAACCTGAACTATCAAAGGAAGGTTCGACTCTGGGATTTGAATGCAAACATCACCAAGAAGTTTCTGAGAATGCTTCTGTTTAGTTTTTATGTGAAGATATTCCCGTTTCCAAAGACATCTTCGGAGAGGTCCACATATCCACTTGCAGATTCCACAAAAAGAGAGTTTCAACACTGCTCTATCCATAGGAGGGTTCAACTCTGTGAGTTGAATGCAATCATCACAGAGAAGTTTCTGAGAAGGCTTCTCTCCAGTTTTTATGTGACCATAATTCGTTTTCCACCACAGGCCTGAAAGCGCTCCAAATGTCCACTTGTAGACACTACGAAAAGCATGTTTCAGAACTACTCTATGAAAAGCAATGTGAAACTCTGGGAGTTGAACACAAACATCACAGAGAAGTTTCTGAGAATGCTTCTGTTTAGCTTTCCTGTGAAGATTCTCCCGTTTCCAACGAAATCTTCAAAATAGGTCCAAATATCCACTTGCAGATTCCACAGAAAGAGTGATTGGAAACTGCTCTTTGAAAAGGAACCTTCAACTCTGTGAGTTGAATGCAATCATCACAAAGAAGTTTCTGACAATGCTTCTATCTAGCTTTTACGGGAAGATAATTCCTTTTCCACCACAGGCCTCAAAGCCCTCCAAATGTCCACTTGCAGATTCTGGAAAAAGAGTGTTTCAAAGCTTCTCTCTCGAAAGGAAAGTTCAACTCTGTGAGTTGAATGCAAGCATCACAAAGAAGTTTCTGAGAATGCTACTGTCTAGCTTTTATATGAAGCTATTTCCTTTACTACCATAGTCCTCAAAGCATTCCATATCTCCACTTGCAGATTCTACACAAAGAGAGTTTCCAAACTGCTCTGTCAAAGGGAATGTTCAGCTCTGTGACTTGAATGCAATCATCACAAAGTAGTTTCTGAGAATGCTTCTGTTTTAGTTCTGTGCGGTTTATCCCGTTTCCATCGAAATCCTCAGAGAGGCCCAAATATCCACTTGCAGATTCTACAAATAGTGTGTTTCGAAACTGCTCCATCCAAAGGAATGTTCAGCTCTGTGAGTTAAACTCAGTCGTCACCAAGAGTTTTCTGTGAATGCTTCTGTTTAGTTCTGTGCGGTTTATCCCTTTTCCAACGAAATCCTCAGAGAGGACCAAGTATCCACTTGCAGTTTCTACAAAAAGAGTGTTTCAAAGCTGAACTATCAAAGAAAGGTTCAGCACTGTGAGTTGAATGCAAACATCACGAAGAGGGTTCTGAGAATGCTTCTGTCTTCTTTTTATAGGAAGTTATTTCCTTTACTATGGTAGGCCTCAAAGAAGTGCAATTATCCCCTTGCAGTTTCTACAAAAAGAGTGTTTCAAACCTGAACTATCAAAGAAAGGTTCCACACTGTGAGTTGAATGCAGACATCACGAAGAAGGTTCTGAGAATGCTTCTGTTTAGTCAGCTGAAATTATCCCGTTTCCAACGAATTCCTCAGAGAGGTCCAAATATGCACTTGCAGATTCTGCAGAAAGTGTGTTTCTAAACTGCTCCATCGCAAGGAATGTTCAGCTCTGTGAGTTCAACTCAATCATCCCAAAGAATTTTCTGAGAAAGCTTCTGTCTAGATGTCATGTGAAGATATACCCGTTTCGAACGAAGGACACAGAGTGGTCCAAATATCCACTTGTAGATCCTGCAAAAAGAGTGTTTCAAACGTGAACTTTGAAAGGAAAGTTCAACTCTGGGATTTGAATGCAAACATCACAAAGAAGATTCTGAGACTGCTTCTGTATAGTTTTTATGTGAAGATGATTCCGTTTCCAACGAAATCTTCAAAGTAGGTCTACATGTCCCCTTGCAGATGCCACAGAAAGAGAGTTTCAAAACTGCGCTCTCAAAAGGAGTGTTCAACTCCGTGAGTTGAATGCAGTCATCACAGAGAAGCTTCTGAGAATGCTTCTATCTAGTATTTAGGTGAAGATATTTCCTTTTCCACCACAAACCACAAAGCCCTCCAAACGTCCACTTGCAGATTCTAGAAAAAGAGTGTTTCATAGCTGCTCTTTCCAAAGGAAAGTTCAACTCTGGGAGTTGAATACAAACATCACCAAAAAGTTCCTGAGAATGCATTCTGTCTAGTTTTTCTATGAAGCTATTCCCTTTACTACCATAGACCTCAAAGCGCTCCAAATCTCCACTTGCACATTCCACAACAAGAGTGTTTCCAAACTGCTCTATCAATAGGAATGTTCAACTCTGTGAGGTGAATGCAATCATCACAAAGCAGTTTCTGAGAATGCTTCCGTTTAGTTAGGTGCAGTTATCCCGTTTCCAACGAAATCCTCAGAGAGGTCCAAATATCCACTTGTAGATTCTACAAAAAGTGTGTCTCAAACCTGCTCCATCCAAAGGAATGGTCAGCTCTGTGATTTAAACTCAATCATCACAAAGTATTTTCTGAGAATGCTTCTCTCCAGTTTTTATGTGACCATAATTCGTTTTCCACCACAGGCCTGAAAGCGCTCCAAATGTCCACTTGCAGACACTACGAAAAGCATGTTTCAGAACTACTCTATGAAAAGCAACGTGAAACTCTGGGAGTTGAACACAAACATCACAGAGAAGTTTCTGAGAATGCTTCTGTTTTAGTTCTGTGCGTTTTATCCCGTTTCCAACGAAATCCTCAGAGAGGCCCAAATATCCACTTGCAGATTCCACAGAAAGAGTGATTGGAAACTGCTGTTTGAAAAGGAACCTTCAACTCTGTGAGTTGAATGCAATCATCACAAAGAAGTTTCTGACAATGCTTCTGTTTTAGTTCTGTGCGGTTTATCCCGTTTCCAACGAAATCCTCAGAGAGGACCAAACATCCACTTGCAGTTTCTACAAAAAGAGTGTTTCAAAGCTGCACTATCAAAGAAAGGTTCAGCACTGTGAGTTGAATGCAAACATCACGAAGAGGGCTCTGAGAATTCTTCTGTTTAGTTCTGTGCGGTTTATCCCGTTTCCAACGAAATCCTCAGAGAGGACCAAATATCCACTTGCAGTTTCTACAAGAAGAGTGTTTCAAAGCTGAACTATCAAAGAAAGGTTCAGCACTGTGAGTTGAATGCAAACATCACGAAGAGGGTTCTGAGAATGCTTCTGTCTTCTTTCTATAGGAAGTTATTTCCTTTACTACGGTAGGCCTCAAAGAAGTGCAATTATCCCCTTGCAGTTTCTACAAAAAGAGTGTTTCAAACCTGAACTATCAAAGAAAGGTTCCACACTGTGAGTTGAATGCAGACATCACGAAGAAGGTTCTGAGAATGCTTCTGTTTAGTCAGCTGAAATTATCCCGTTTCCAACGAATTCCTCAGAGAGGTCCAAATATGCACTTGCAGATTCTGCAGAAAGTGTGTTTCTAAACTGCTCCATCGCAAGGAATGTTCAGCTCTGTGAGTTCCACTCAATCATCCCAAAGAATTTTCTGAGAAAGCTTCTGTCTAGATGTCGTGTGAAGATATACCCGTTTCGAACGAAGGACACAGAGTGGTCCAAATATCCACTTGTAGATCCTGCAAAAAGAGTGTTTCAAACGTGAACTTTGAAAGGAAAGTTCAACTCTGGGATTTGAATGCAAACATCACAAAGAAGATTCTGAGACTGCTTCTGTATAGTTTTTATGTGAAGATGATTCCGTTTCCAACGAAATCTTCAAAGAGGTCTACATGTCCCCTTGCAGATGCCACAGAAAGAGAGTTTCAAAACTGCGCTCTCAAAAGGAGTGTTCAACTCCGTGAGTTGAATGCAGTCATCACAGAGAAGCGTCTGAGAATGCTTCTATCTAGTATTTAGGTGAAGATATTTCCTTTTCCACCACAAACCACAAAGCCCTCCAAACGTCCACTTGCAGATTCTAGAAAAAGAGTGTTTCATAGCTGCTCTTTCCAAAGGAAAGTTCAACTCTGGGAGTTGAATACAAACATCACCAAAAAGTTCCTGAGAATGCATCTGTCTAGTTTTTCTATGAAGCTATTCCCTTTACTACCATAGGCCTCAAAGCGCTCCAAATCTCCACTTGCACATTCCACAACAAGAGTGTTTCCAAACTGCTCTATCAATAGGAATGTTCAACTCTGTGAGGTGAATGCAATCATCACAAAGCAGTTTCTGAGAATGCTTCCGTTTAGTTAGGTGCAGTTATCCCGTTTCCAACGAAATCCTCAGAGAGGTCCAAATATCCACTTGTAGATTCTACAAAAAGTGTGTCTCAAACCTGCTCCATCCAAAGGAATGGTCAGCTCTGTGATTTAAACTCAATCATCACAAAGTATTTTCTGAGAATGCTTCTGTCTAGATTTTATGCGAAGATATACCCGTTTCGAACGAAGGCCACAGAGTGGTCCAAATAGCCACTTGCAGATCCTACAAAAAGAGTGTTTCAAACCTGAACTATCAAAGGAAGGTTCAACTCTGGGATTTGAATGCAAACATCACCAAGAAGTTTCTGAGAATGCTTCTGTTTAGTTTTTATGTGAAGATATTCCCGTTTCCAAAGACATCTTCGGAGAGGTCCACATATCCACTTGCAGATTCCACAAAAAGAGAGTTTCAACACTGCTCTATCCATAGGAGGGTTCAACTCTGTGAGTTGAATGCAATCATCACAGAGAAGTTTCTGAGAAGGCTTCTCTCCAGTTTTTATGTGACCATAATTCGTTTTCCACCACAGGCCTGAAAGCGCTCCAAATGTCCACTTGCAGACACTACGAAAAGCATGTTTCAGAACTACTCTATGAAAAGCAACGTGAAACTCTGGGAGTTGAACACAAACATCACAGAGAAGTTTCTGAGAATGCTTCTGTTTTAGTTCTGTGCGTTTTATCCCGTTTCCAACGAAATCCTCAGAGAGGCCCAAATATCCACTTGCAGATTCCACAGAAAGAGTGATTGGAAACTGCTGTTTGAAAAGGAACCTTCAACTCTGTGAGTTGAATGCAATCATCACAAAGAAGTTTCTGACAATGCTTCTGTTTAGTTCTGTGCGGTTTATCCCGTTTCCAACGAAATCCTCAGAGAGGACCAAACATCCACTTGCAGTTTCTACAAGAAGAGTGTTTCAAAGCTGCACTATCAAAGAAAGGTTCAGCACTGTGAGTTGAATGCAAACATCACGAAGAGGGCTCTGAGAATTCTTCTGTTTAGTTCTGTGCGGTTTATCCCGTTTCCAACGAAATCCTCAGAGAGGACCAAATATCCACTTGCAGTTTCTACAAGAAGAGTGTTTCAAAGCTGAACTATCAAAGAAAGGTTCAGCACTGTGAGTTGAATGCAAACATCACGAAGAGGGTTCTGAGAATGCTTCTGTCTTCTTTCTATAGGAAGTTATTTCCTTTACTACGGTAGGCCTCAAAGAAGTGCAATTATCCCCTTGCAGTTTCTACAAAAAGAGTGTTTCAAACCTGAACTATCAAAGAAAGGTTCCACACTGTGAGTTGAATGCAGACATCACGAAGAAGGTTCTGAGAATGCTTCTGTTTAGTCAGCTGAAATTATCCCGTTTCCAACGAATTCCTCAGAGAGGTCCAAATATGCACTTGCAGATTCTGCAGAAAGTGTGTTTCTAAACTGCTACATCGCAAGGAATGTTCAGCTCTGTGAGTTCCACTCAATCATCCCAAAGAATTTTCTGAGAAAGCTTCTGTCTAGATGTCGTGTGAAGATATACCCGTTTCGAACGAAGGACACAGAGTGGTCCAAATATCCACTTGTAGATCCTGCAAAAAGAGTGTTTCAAACGTGAACTTTGAAAGGAAAGTTCAACTCTGGGATTTGAATGCAAACATCACAAAGAAGATTCTGAGACTGCTTCTGTATAGTTTTTATGTGAAGATGATTCCGTTTCCAACGAAATCTTCAAAGAGGTCTACATGTCCCCTTGCAGATGCCACAGAAAGAGAGTTTCAAAACTGCGCTCTCAAAAGGAGTGTTCAACTCCGTGAGTTGAATGCAGTCATCACAGAGAAGCTTCTGAGAATGCTTCTATCTAGTATTTAGGTGAAGATATTTCCTTTTCCACCACAAACCACAAAGCCCTCCAAACGTCCACTTGCAGATTCTAGAAAAAGAGTGTTTCATAGCTGCTCTTTCCAAAGGAAAGTTCAACTCTGGGAGTTGAATACAAACATCACCAAAAGGTTCCTGAGAATGCATCTGTCTAGTTTTTCTATGAAGCTATTCCCTTTACTACCACAGGCCTCAAAGCGCTCCAAATCTCCACTTGCACATTCCGCAACAAGAGTGTTTCCAAACTGCTCTATCAATAGGAATGTTCAACTCTGTGAGGTGAATGCAATCATCACAAAGCAGTTTCTGAGAATGCTTCCGTTTAGTTAGGTGCAGTTATCCCGTTTCCAACGAAATCCTCAGAGAGGTCCAAATATCCACTTGTAGATTCTACAAAAAGTGTGTCTCAAACCTGCTCCATCCAAAGGAATGGTCAGCTCTGTGATTTAAACTCAATCATCACAAAGTATTTTCTGAGAATGCTTCTGTCTAGATTTTATGCGAAGATATACCCGTTTCGAACGAAGGCCACAGAGTGGTCCAAATAGCCACTTGCAGATCCTACAGAAAGAGTGTTTCAAACCTGAACTATCAAAGGAAGGTTCAACTCTGGGATTTGAATGCAAACATCACCAAGAAGTTTCTGAGAATGCTCTGTTTAGTTTTTATGTGAAGATATTCCCGTTTCCAAAGACATCTTCGGAGAGGTCCACATATCCACTTGCAGATTCCACAAAAAGAGAGTTTCAACACTGCTCTATCCATAGGAGGGTTCAACTCTGTGAGTTGAATGCAATCATCACAGAGAAGTTTCTGAGAAGGCTTTCTCTCCAGTTTTTATGTGACCATAATTCGTTTTCCACCACAGGCCTGAAAGCGCTCCAAATGTCCACTTGCAGACACTACGAAAAGCATGTTTCAGAACTACTCTATGAAAAGCAACGTGAAACTCTGGGAGTTGAACACAAACATCACAGAGAAGTTTCTGAGAATGCTTCTGTTTTAGTTCTGTGCGTTTTATCCCGTTTCCAACGAAATCCTCAGAGAGGCCCAAATATCCACTTGCAGATTCCACAGAAAGAGTGATTGGAAACTGCTGTTTGAAAAGGAACCTTCAACTCTGTGAGTTGAATGCAATCATCACAAAGAAGTTTCTGACAATGCTTCTGTTTTAGTTCTGTGCGGTTTATCCCGTTTCCAACGAAATCCTCAGAGAGGACCAAACATCCACTTGCAGTTTCTACAAAAAGAGTGTTTCAAAGCTGCACTATCAAAGAAAGGTTCAGCACTGTGAGTTGAATGCAAACATCACGAAGAGGGCTCTGAGAATTCTTCTGTTTAGTTCTGTGCGGTTTATCCCGTTTCCAACGAAATCCTCAGAGAGGACCAAATATCCACTTGCAGTTTCTACAAGAAGAGTGTTTCAAAGCTGAACTATCAAAGAAAGGTTCAGCACTGTGAGTTGAATGCAAACATCACGAAGAGGGTTCTGAGAATGCTTCTGTCTTCTTTCTATAGGAAGTTATTTCCTTTACGACGGTAGGCCTCAAAGAAGTGCAATTATCCCCTTGCAGTTTCTACAAAAAGAGTGTTTCAAACCTGAACTATCAAAGAAAGGTTCCACACTGTGAGTTGAATGCAGACATCACGAAGAAGGTTCTGAGAATGTTTCTGTTTAGTCAGCTGAAATTATCCCGTTTCCAACGAATTCCTCACAGAGGTCCAAATATGCACTTGCAGATTCTGCAGAAAGTGTGTTTCTAAACTGCTACATCGCAAGGAATGCTCAGCTCTGTGAGTTCAACTCAATCATCCCGAGAAGAATTTTCTGAGAAAGCTTCTGTCTAGATGTCATGTGAAGATATACCCGTTTCGAACGAAGGACACAGAGTGGTCCAAATATCCACTTGTAGATCCTGCAAAAAGAGTGTTTCAAACGTGAACTTTGAAAGGAAAGTTCAACTCGGGGATTTGAATGCAAACATCACAAAGAAGATTCTGAGACTGCTTCTGTATAGTTTTTATGTGAAGATGATTCCGTTTCCAACGAAATCTTCAAAGAGGTCTACATGTCCCCTTGCAGATGCCACAGAAAGAGAGTTTCAAAACTGCGCTCTCAAAAGGAGTGTTCAACTCCGTGAGTTGAATGCAGTCATCACAGAGAAGCTTCTGAGGATGCTTCTATCTAGTATTTAGGTGAAGATATTTCCTTTTCCACCACAAACCACAAAGCCCTCCAAACGTCCACTTGCAGATTCTAGAAAAAGAGTGTTTCATAGCTGCTCTTTCCAAAGGAAAGTTCAACTCTGGGAGTTGAATACAAACATCACCAAAAAGTTCCTGAGAATGCATCTGTCTAGTTTTTCTATGAAGCTATTCCCTTTACTACCATAGGCCTCAAAGCGCTCCAAATCTCCACTTGCACATTCCACAACAAGAGTGTTTCCAAACTGCTCTATCAATAGGAATGTTCAACTCTGTGAGGTGAATGCAATCATCACAAAGCAGTTTCTGAGAATGCTTCCGTTTAGTTAGGTGCAGTTATCCCGTTTCCAACGAAATCCTCAGAGAGGTCCAAATATCCACTTGTAGATTCTACAAAAGGTGTGTCTCAAACCTGCTCCATCCAAAGGAATGTTCAGCTCTGTGAGTTAAACTCAATCATCACAAAGTATTTTCTGAGAATGCTTCTGTCTAGATTTTATGCGAAGATATACCCGTTTCGAACGAAGGCCACAGAGTGGTCCAAATATCCACTTGCAGATCCTACAAAAAGAGTGTTTCAAACCTGAACTATCAAAGGAAGGTTCAACTCTGGGATTTGAATGCAAACATCACCAAGAAGTTTCTGAGAATGCTTCTGTTTAGTTTTTATGTGAAGATATTCCCGTTTCCAAAGACATCTTCGGAGAGGTCCACATATCCACTTGCAGATTCCACAAAAAGAGAGTTTCAACACTGCTCTATCCATAGGAGGGTTCAACTCTGTGAGTTGAATGCAATCATCACAGAGAAGTTTCTGAGAAGGCTTCTCTCCAGTTTTTATGTGACCATAATTCGTTTTCCAACACAGGCCTGAAAGCGCTCCAAATGTCCACTTGTAGACACTACGAAAAGCATGTTTCAGAACTACTCTATGAAAAGCAATGTGAAACTCTGGGAGTTGAACACAAACATCACAGAGAAGTTTCTGAGAATGCTTCTGTTTAGCTTTCCTGTGAAGATTCTCCCGTTTCCAACGAAATCTTCAAAATAGGTCCAAATATCCACTTGCAGATTCCACAGAAAGAGTGATTGGAAACTGCTCTTTGAAAAGGAACCTTCAACTCTGTGAGTTGAATGCAATCATCACAAAGAAGTTTCTGACAATGCTTCTATCTAGCTTTTACGGGAAGATAATTCCTTTTCCACCACAGGCCTCAAAGCCCTCCAAATGTCCACTTGCAGATTCTGGAAAAAGAGTGTTTCAAAGCTTCTCTCTCGAAAGGAAAGTTCAACTCTGTGAGTTGAATGCAAGCATCACAAAGAAGTTTCTGAGAATGCTACTGTCTAGCTTTTATATGAAGCTATTTCCTTTACTACCATAGGCCTCAAAGCGGTCCATATCTCCACTTGCAGATTCTACACAAAGAGAGTTTCCAAACTGCTCTGTCAAAGGGAATGTTCAACTCTGTGACTTGAATGCAATCATCACAAAGTAGTTTCTGAGAATGCTTCTGTTTAGTTCTGTGCGGTTTATCCCGTTTCCAACGAAATCCTCAGAGAGGCCTAAATATCCACTTGCACATTCTACAAATAGTGTGTTTCGAAACTGCTCCATCCAAAGGAATGTTCAGCTCTGTGAGTTAAACTCAGTCGTCACCAAGAGTTTTCTGTGAATGCTTCTGTTTTAGTTCTGTGCGGGTTATCCCGTTTCCAACGAAATCCTCAGAGAGGTCCAAATATCTACTTGCAGTTTCTACAGAAAGACCGTTTCAAACCTGAACTATCAAAGAAAGGTTCAACACTGTGAGTTGAATGCAAACATCACGAAGAAGGTTCTGAGAATGCTTCTGTTTAGTTCTGTGCGGTTTATCCCGTTACCAACGAAATCCTCAGACAGGACCAAATATCCACTTGCAGTTTCTACAAAAAGAGTGTTTCAAAGCTGAACTATCAAAGAAAGATTCAGCACCGTGAGTTGAATGCAAACATCACGAAGAGGGTTCTGAGAATGCTTCTGTCTTCTTTCTATAGGAAGTTATTTCCTTTACTACGGTAGGCCTCAAAGAAGTGCAATTATCCCCTTGCAGTTTCTACAAAAAGAGTGTTTCAAACCTGAACTATCAAAGAAAGGTTCCACACTGTGAGTTGAATGCAGACACCACGAAGAAGGTTCTGAGAATGCTTCTGTTTAGTCAGCTGAAATTATCCCGTTTCCAACGAATTCCTCAGAGAGGTCCAAATATGCACTTGCAGATTCTGCAGAAAGTGTGTTTCTAAACTGCTACATCGCAAGGAATGTTCAGCTCTGTGAGTTCCACTCAATCATCCCAAAGAATTTTCTGAGAAAGCTTCTGTCTAGATGTCGTGTGAAGATATACCCGTTTCGAACGAAGGACACAGAGTGGTCCAAATATCCACTTGTAGATCCTGCAAAAAGAGTGTTTCAAACGTGAACTTTGAAAGGAAAGTTCAACTCTGGGATTTGAATGCAAACATCACAAAGAAGATTCTGAGACTGCTTCTGTATAGTTTTTATGTGAAGATGATTCCGTTTCCAACGAAATCTTCAAAGAGGTCTACATGTCCCCTTGCAGATGCCACAGAAAGAGAGTTTCAAAACTGCGCTCTCAAAAGGAGTGTTCAACTCCGTGAGTTGAATGCAGTCATCACAGAGAAGCTTCTGAGAATGCTTCTATCTAGTATTTAGGTGAAGATATTTCCTTTTCCACCACAAACCACAAAGCCCTCCAAACGTCCACTTGCAGATTCTAGAAAAAGAGTGTTTCATAGCTGCTCTTTCCAAAGGAAAGTTCAACTCTGGGAGTTGAATACAAACATCACCAAAAGGTTCCTGAGAATGCATCTGTCTAGTTTTTCTATGAAGCTATTCCCTTTACTACCATAGGCCTCAAAGCGCTCCAAATCTCCACTTGCACATTCCACAACAAGAGTGTTTCCAAACTGCTCTATCAATAGGAATGTTCAACTCTGTGAGGTGAATGCAATCATCACAAAGCAGTTTCTGAGAATGCTTCCGTTTAGTTAGGTGCAGTTATCCCGTTTCCAACGAAATCCTCAGAGAGGTCCAAATATCCACTTGTAGATTCTACAAAAAGTGTGTCTCAAACCTGCTCCATCCAAAGGAATGGTCAGCTCTGTGATTTAAACTCAATCATCACAAAGTATTTTCTGAGAATGCTTCTGTCTAGATTTTATGCGAAGATATACCCGTTTCGAACGAAGGCCACAGAGTGGTCCAAATAGCCACTTGCAGATCCTACAGAAAGAGTGTTTCAAACCTGAACTATCAAAGGAAGGTTCAACTCTGGGATTTGAATGCAAACATCACCAAGAAGTTTCTGAGAATGCTTCTGTTTAGTTTTTATGTGAAGATATTCCCGTTTCCAAAGACATCTTCGGAGAGGTCCACATATCCACTTGCAGATTCCACAAAAAGAGAGTTTCAACACTGCTCTATCCATAGGAGGGTTCAACTCTGTGAGTTGAATGCAATCATCACAGAGAAGTTTCTGAGAAGGCTTCTCTCCAGTTTTTATGTGACCATAATTCGTTTTCCACCACAGGCCTGAAAGCGCTCCAAATGTCCACTTGCAGACACTACGAAAAGCATGTTTCAGAACTACTCTATGAAAAGCAACGTGAAACTCTGGGAGTTGAACACAAACATCACAGAGAAGTTTCTGAGAATGCTTCTGTTTTAGTTCTGTGCGTTTTATCCCGTTTCCAACGAAATCCTCAGAGAGGCCCAAATATCCACTTGCAGATTCCACAGAAAGAGTGATTGGAAACTGCTGTTTGAAAAGGAACCTTCAACTCTGTGAGTTGAATGCAATCATCACAAAGAAGTTTCTGACAATGCTTCTGTTTTAGTTCTGTGCGGTTTATCCCGTTTCCAACGAAATCCTCAGAGAGGACCAAACATCCACTTGCAGTTTCTACAAAAAGAGTGTTTCAAAGCTGCACTATCAAAGAAAGGTTCAGCACTGTGAGTTGAATGCAAACATCACGAAGAGGGCTCTGAGAATTCTTCTGTTTAGTTCTGTGCGGTTTATCCCGTTTCCAACGAAATCCTCAGAGAGGACCAAATATCCACTTGCAGTTTCTACAAGAAGAGTGTTTCAAAGCTGAACTATCAAAGAAAGGTTCAGCACTGTGAGTTGAATGCAAACATCACGAAGAGGGTTCTGAGAATGCTTCTGTCTTCTTTCTATAGGAAGTTATTTCCTTTACTACGGTAGGCCTCAAAGAAGTGCAATTATCCCCTTGCAGTTTCTACAAAAAGAGTGTTTCAAACCTGAACTATCAAAGAAAGGTTCCACACTGTGAGTTGAATGCAGACATCACGAAGAAGGTTCTGAGAATGCTTCTGTTTAGTCAGCTGAAATTATCCCGTTTCCAACGAATTCCTCAGAGAGGTCCAAATATGCACTTGCAGATTCTGCAGAAAGTGTGTTTCTAAACTGCTACATCGCAAGGAATGTTCAGCTCTGTGAGTTCCACTCAATCATCCCAAAGAATTTTCTGAGAAAGCTTCTGTCTAGATGTCATGTGAAGATATACCCGTTTCGAACGAAGGACACAGAGTGGTCCAAATATCCACTTGTAGATCCTGCAAAAAGAGTGTTTCAAACGTGAACTTTGAAAGGAAAGTTCAACTCTGGGATTTGAATGCAAACATCACAAAGAAGATTCTGAGACTGCTTCTGTATAGTTTTTATGTGAAGATGATTCCGTTTCCAACGAAATCTTCAAAGAGGTCTACATGTCCCCTTGCAGATGCCACAGAAAGAGAGTTTCAAAACTGCGCTCTCAAAAGGAGTGTTCAACTCCGTGAGTTGAATGCAGTCATCACAGAGAAGCTTCTGAGAATGCTTCTGTCTAGTATTTAGGTGAAGATATTTCCTTTTCCACCACAAACCACAAAGCCCTCCAAACGTCCACTTGCAGATTCTAGAAAAAGAGTGTTTCATAGCTGCTCTTTCCAAAGGAAAGTTCAACTCTGGGAGTTGAATACAAACATCACCAAAAAGTTCCTGAGAATGCATCTGTCTAGTTTTTCTATGAAGCTATTCCCTTTACTACCACAGGCCTCAAAGCGCTCCAAATCTCCACTTGCACATTCCACAACAAGAGTGTTTCCAAACTGCTCTATCAATAGGAATGTTCAACTCTGTGAGGTGAATGCAATCATCACAAAGCAGTTTCTGAGAATGCTTCCGTTTAGTTAGGTGCAGTTATCCCGTTTCCAACGAAATCCTCAGAGAGGTCCAAATATCCACTTGTAGATTCTACAAAAAGTGTGTCTCAAACCTGCTCCATCCAAAGGAATGGTCAGCTCTGTGATTTAAACTCAATCATCACAAAGTATTTTCTGAGAATGCTTCTGTCTAGATTTTATGCGAAGATATACCCGTTTCGAACGAAGGCCACAGAGTGGTCCAAATAGCCAATTGCAGATCCTACAAAAAGAGTGTTTCAAACCTGAACTATCAAAGGAAGGTTCAACTCTGGGATTTGAATGCAAACATCACCAAGAAGTTTCTGAGAATGCTTCTGTTTAGTTTTTATGTGAAGATATTCCCGTTTCCAAAGACATCTTCGGAGAGGTCCACATATCCACTTGCAGATTCCACAAAAAGAGAGTTTCAACACTGCTCTATCCATAGGAGGGTTCAACTCTGTGAGTTGAATGCAATCATCACAGAGAAGTTTCTGAGAAGGCTTCTCTCCAGTTTTTATGTGACCATAATTCGTTTTCCACCACAGGCCTGAAAGCGCTCCAAATGTCCACTTGCAGACACTACGAAAAGCATGTTTCAGAACTACTCTATGAAAAGCAACGTGAAACTCTGGGAGTTGAACACAAACATCACAGAGAAGTTTCTGAGAATGCTTCTGTTTTAGTTCTGTGCGTTTTATCCCGTTTCCAACGAAATCCTCAGAGAGGCCCAAATATCCACTTGCAGATTCCACAGAAAGAGTGATTGGAAACTGCTGTTTGAAAAGGAACCTTCAACTCTGTGAGTTGAATGCAATCATCACAAAGAAGTTTCTGACAATGCTTCTGTTTTAGTTCTGTGCGGTTTATCCCGTTTCCAACGAAATCCTCAGAGAGGACCAAACATCCACTTGCAGTTTCTACAAAAAGAGTGTTTCAAAGCTGCACTATCAAAGAAAGGTTCAGCACTGTGAGTTGAATGCAAACATCACGAAGAGGGCTCTGAGAATGCTTCTGTTTAGTTCTGTGCGGTTTATCCCGTTTCCAACGAAATCCTCAGAGAGGACCAAATATCCACTTGCAGTTTCTACAAGAAGAGTGTTTCAAAGCTGAACTATCAAAGAAAGGTTCAGCACTGTGAGTTGAATGCAAACATCACGAAGAGGGTTCTGAGAATGCTTCTGTCTTCTTTCTATAGGAAGTTATTTCCTTTACTACGGTAGGCCTCAAAGAAGTGCAATTATCCCCTTGCAGTTTCTACAAAAAGAGTGTTTCAAACCTGAACTATCAAAGAAAGGTTCCACACTGTGAGTTGAATGCAGACATCACGAAGAAGGTTCTGAGAATGCTTCTGTTTAGTCAGCTGAAATTATCCCGTTTCCAACGAATTCCTCAGAGAGGTCCAAATATGCACTTGCAGATTCTGCAGAAAGTGTGTTTCTAAACTGCTACATCGCAAGGAATGTTCAGCTCTGTGAGTTCCACTCAATCATCCCAAAGAATTTTCTGAGAAAGCTTCTGTCTAGATGTCATGTGAAGATATACCCGTTTCGAACGAAGGACACAGAGTGGTCCAAATATCCACTTGTAGAACCTGCAAAAAGAGTGTTTCAAACGTGAACTTTGAAAGGAAAGTTCAACTCTGGGATTTGAATGCAAACATCACAAAGAAGATTCTGAGACTGCTTCTGTATAGTTTTTATGTGAAGATGATTCCGTTTCCTACGAAATCTTCAAAGAGGTCTACATGTCCCCTTGCAGATGCCACAGAAAGAGAGTTTCAAAACTGCGCTCTCAAAAGGAGTGTTCAACTCCGTGAGTTGAATGCAGTCATCACAGAGAAGCTTCTGAGAATGCTTCTATCTAGTATTTAGGTGAAGATATTTCCTTTTCCACCACAAACCACAAAGCCCTCCAAACGTCCACTTGCAGATTCTAGAAAAAGAGTGTGTCATAGCTGCTCTTTCCAAAGGAAAGTTCAACTCTGGGAGTTGAATACAAACATCACCAAAAAGTTCCTGAGAATGCATCTGTCTAGTTTTTCTATGAAGCTATTCCCTTTACTACCATAGGCCTCAAAGCGCTCCAAATCTCCACTTGCACATTCCACAACAAGAGTGTTTCCAAACTGCTCTATCAATAGGAATGTTCAACTCTGTGAGGTGAATGCAATCATCACAAAGCAGTTTCTGAGAATGCTTCCGTTTAGTTAGGTGCAGTTATCGCGTTTCCAACGAAATCCTCAGAGAGGTCCAAATATCCACTTGTAGATTCTACAAAAAGTGTGTCTCAAACCTGCTCCATCCAAAGGAATGTTCAGCTCTGTGAGTTAAACTCAATCATCACAAAGTATTTTCTGAGAATGCTTCTGTCTAGATTTTATGCGAAGATATACCCGTTTCGAACGAAGGCCACAGAGTGGTCCAAATATCCACTTGCAGATCCTACAAAAAGAGTGTTTCAAACCTGAACTATCAAAGGAAGGTTCAACTCTGGGATTTGAATGCAAACATCACCAAGAAGTTTCTGAGAATGCTTCTGTTTAGTTTTTATGTGAAGATATTCCCGTTTCCAAAGACATCTTCGGAGAGGTCCACATATCCACTTGCAGATTCCACAAAAAGAGAGTTTCAACACTGCTCTATCCATAGGAGGGTTCAACTCTGTGAGTTGAATGCAATCATCACAGAGAAGTTTCTGAGAAGGCTTCTCTCCAGTTTTTATGTGACCATAATTCGTTTTCCACCACAGGCCTGAAAGCGCTCCAAATGTCCACTTGTAGACACTACGAAAAGCATGTTTCAGAACTACTCTATGAAAAGCAATGTGAAACTCTGGGAGTTGAACACAAACATCACAGAGAAGTTTCTGAGAATGCTTCTGTTTAGCTTTCCTGTGAAGATTCTCCCGTTTCCAACGAAATCTTCAAAATAGGTCCGAATATCCACTTGCAGATTCCACACAAAGAGTGATTGGAAACTGCTCTTTGAAAAGGAACCTTCAACTCTGTGAGTTGAATGCAATCATCACAAAGAAGTTTCTGACAATGCTTCTATCTAGCTTTTACGGGAAGTTAATTCCTTTTCCACCACAGGCTTCAAAGCCCTCCAAATGTCCACTTGCAGATTCTGGAAAAAGAGTGTTTCAAAGCTTCTCTCTCGAAAGGAAAGTTCAACTCTGTGAGTTGAATGCAAGCATCACAAAGAAGTTTCTGAGAATGCTACTGTCTAGCTTTTATATGAAGCTATTTCCTTTACTACCATAGGCCTCAAAGCGGTCCATATCTCCACTTGCAGATTCTACACAAAGAGAGTTTCCAAACTGCTCTGTCAAAGGGAATGTTCAACTACTGTGACTTGAATGCAATCATCACAAAGTAGTTTCTGAGAATGCTTCTGTTTAGTTCTGTGCGGTTTATCCCGTTTCCAACGAAATCCTCAGAGAGGCCCAAATATCCACTTGCACATTCTACAAATAGTGTGTTTCGAAACTGCTCCATCCAAAGGAATGTTCAGCTCTGTGAGTTAAACTCAGTCGTCACCAAGAGTTTTCTGTGAATGCTTCTGTTTTAGTTCTGTGCGGGTTATCCCGTTTCCAACGAAATCCTCAGAGAGGTCCAAATATCTACTTGCAGTTTCTACAGAAAGACCGTTTCAAACCTGAACTATCAAAGAAAGGTTCAACACTGTGAGTTGAATGCAAACATCACGAAGAAGGTTCTGAGAATGCTTCTGTTTAGTTCTGTGCGGTTTATCCCGTTTCCAACGATATCCTCAGAGAGGACCAAATATCCACTTGCAGTTTCTACAAGAAGAGTGTTTCAAAGCTGAACTATCAAAGAAAGGTTCAGCACTGTGAGTTGAATGCAAACATCACGAAGAGGGTTCTGAGAATGCTTCTGTCTTCTTTCTATAGGAAGTTATTTCCTTTACTACGGTAGGCCTCAAAGAAGTGCAATTATCCCCTTGCAGTTTCTACAAAAAGAGTGTTTCAAACCTGAACTATCAAAGAAAGGTTCCACACTGTGAGTTGAATGCAGACATCACGAAGAAGGTTCTGAGAATGCTTCTGTTTAGTCAGCTGAAATTATCCCGTTTCCAACGAATTCCTCAGAGAGGTCCAAATATGCACTTGCAGATTCTGCAGAAAGTGTGTTTCTAAACTGCTACATCGCAAGGAATGTTCAGCTCTGTGAGTTCCACTCAATCATCCCAAAGAATTTTCTGAGAAAGCTTCTGTCTAGATGTCGTGTGAAGATATACCCGTTTCGAACGAAGGACACAGAGTGGTCCAAATATCCACTTGTAGATCCTGCAAAAAGAGTGTTTCAAACGTGAACTTTGAAAGGAAAGTTCAACTCTGGGATTTGAATGCAAACATCACAAAGAAGATTCTGAGACTGCTTCTGTATAGTTTTTATGTGAAGATGATTCCGTTTCCAACGAAATCTTCAAAGAGGTCTACATGTCCCCTTGCAGATGCCACAGAAAGAGAGTTTCAAAACTGCGCTCTCAAAAGGAGTGTTCAACTCCGTGAGTTGAATGCAGTCATCACAGAGAAGCTTCTGAGAATGCTTCTATCTAGTATTTAGGTGAAGATATTTCCTTTTCCACCACAAACCACAAAGCCCTCCAAACGTCCACTTGCAGATTCTAGAAAAAGAGTGTTTCATAGCTGCTCTTTCCAAAGGAAAGTTCAACTCTGGGAGTTGAATACAAACATCACCAAAAAGTTCCTGAGAATGCATCTGTCTAGTTTTTCTATGAAGCTATTCCCTTTACTACCATAGGCCTCAAAGCGCTCCAAATCTCCACTTGCACATTCCACAACAAGAGTGTTTCCAAACTGCTCTATCAATAGGAATGTTCAACTCTGTGAGGTGAATGCAATCATCACAAAGCAGTTTCTGAGAATGCTTCCGTTTAGTTAGGTGCAGTTATCCCGTTTCCAACGAAATCCTCAGAGAGGTCCAAATATCCACTTGTAGATTCTACAAAAAGTGTGTCTCAAACCTGCTCCATCCAAAGGAATGGTCAGCTCTGTGATTTAAACTCAATCATCACAAAGTATTTTCTGAGAATGCTTCTCTCCAGTTTTTATGTGACCATAATTCGTTTTCCACCACAGGCCTGAAAGCGCTCCAAATGTCCACTTGCAGACACTACGAAAAGCATGTTTCAGAACTACTCTATGAAAAGCAACGTGAAACTCTGGGAGTTGAACACAAACATCACAGAGAAGTTTCTGAGAATGCTTCTGTTTTAGTTCTGTGCGTTTTATCCCGTTTCCAACGAAATCCTCAGAGAGGCCCAAATATCCACTTGCAGATTCCACAGAAAGAGTGATTGGAAACTGCTGTTTGAAAAGGAACCTTCAACTCTGTGAGTTGAATGCAATCATCACAAAGAAGTTTCTGACAATGCTTCTGTTTTAGTTCTGTGCGGTTTATCCCGTTTCCAACGAAATCCTCAGAGAGGACCAAACATCCACTTGCAGTTTCTACAAAAAGAGTGTTTCAAAGCTGCACTATCAAAGAAAGGTTCAGCACTGTGAGTTGAATGCAAACATCACGAAGAGGGCTCTGAGAATTCTTCTGTTTAGTTCTGTGCGGTTTATCCCGTTTCCAACGAAATCCTCAGAGAGGACCAAATATCCACTTGCAGTTTCTACAAGAAGAGTGTTTCAAAGCTGAACTATCAAAGAAAGGTTCAGCACTGTGAGTTGAATGCAAACATCACGAAGAGGGTTCTGAGAATGCTTCTGTCTTCTTTCTATAGGAAGTTATTTCCTTTACTACGGTAGGCCTCAAAGAAGTGCAATTATCCCCTTGCAGTTTCTACAAAAAGAGTGTTTCAAACCTGAACTATCAAAGAAAGTTTCCACACTGTGAGTTGAATGCAGACATCACGAAGAAGGTTCTGAGAATGCTTCTGTTTAGTCAGCTGAAATTATCCCGTTTCCAACGAATTCCTCAGAGAGGTCCAAATATGCACTTGCAGATTCTGCAGAAAGTGTGTTTCTAAACTGCTACATCGCAAGGAATGTTCAGCTCTGTGAGTTCCACTCAATCATCCCAAAGAATTTTCTGAGAAAGCTTCTGTCTAGATGTCGTGTGAAGATATACCCGTTTCGAACGAAGGACACAGAGTGGTCCAAATATCCACTTGTAGATCCTGCAAAAAGAGTGTTTCAAACGTGAACTTTGAAAGGAAAGTTCAACTCTGGGATTTGAATGCAAACATCACAAAGAAGATTCTGAGACTGCTTCTGTATAGTTTTTATGTGAAGATGATTCCGTTTCCAACGAAATCTTCAAAGAGGTCTACATGTCCCCTTGCAGATGCCACAGAAAGAGAGTTTCAAAACTGCGCTCTCAAAAGGAGTGTTCAACTCCGTGAGTTGAATGCAGTCATCACAGAGAAGCTTCTGAGAATGCTTCTATCTAGTATTTAGGTGAAGATATTTCCTTTTCCACCACAAACCACAAAGCCCTCCAAACGTCCACTTGCAGATTCTAGAAAAAGAGTGTTTCATAGCTGCTCTTTCCAAAGGAAAGTTCAACTCTGGGAGTTGAATACAAACATCACCAAAAAGTTCCTGAGAATGCATCTGTCTAGTTTTTCTATGAAGCTATTCCCTTTACTACCATAGGCCTCAAAGCGCTCCAAATCTCCACTTGCACATTCCACAACAAGAGTGTTTCCAAACTGCTCTATCAATAGGAATGTTCAACTCTGTGAGGTGAATGCAATCATCACAAAGCAGTTTCTGAGAATGCTTCCGTTTAGTTAGGTGCAGTTATCCCGTTTCCAACGAAATCCTCAGAGAGGTCCAAATATCCACTTGTAGATTCTACAAAAAGTGTGTCTCAAACCTGCTCCATCCAAAGGAATGTTCAGCTCTGTGAGTTCAACTCAATCATCACAAAGTATTTTCTGAGAATGCTTCTGTCTAGATTTTATGCGAAGATATACCCATTTCGAACGAAGGCCACAGAGTGGTCCAAATATCCACTTGCAGATCCTACAAAAAGAGTGTTTCAAACCTGAACTATCAAAGGAAGGTTCAACTCTGGGATTTGAATGCAAACATCACCAAGAAGTTTGCTGAGAATGCTTCTGTTTAGTTTTTATGTGAAGATATTCCCGTTTCCAAAGACATCTTCGGAGAGGTCCACATATCCACTTGCAGATTCCACAAAAAGAGAGTTTCAACACTGCTCTATCCATAGGAGGGTTCAACTCTGTGAGTTGAATGCAATCATCACAGAGAAGTTTCTGAGAAGGCTTCTCTCCAGTTTTTATGTGACCATAATTCGTTTTCCACCACAGGCCTGAAAGCGCTCCAAATGTCCACTTGTAGACACTACGAAAAGCATGTTTCAGAACTACTCTATGAAAAGCAATGTGAAACTCTGGGAGTTGAACACAAACATCACAGAGAAGTTTCTGAGAATGCTTCTGTTTAGCTTTCCTGTGAAGATTCTCCCGTTTCCAACGAAATCTTCAAAATAGGTCCAAATATCCACTTGCAGATTCCACAGAAAGAGTGATTGGAAACTGCTCTTTGAAAAGGAACCTTCAACTCTGTGAGTTGAATGCAATCATCACAAAGAAGTTTCTGACAATGCTTCTATCTAGCTTTTACGGGAAGATAATTCCTTTTCCACCACAGGCCTCAAAGCCCTCCAAATGTCCACTTGCAGATTCTGGAAAAAGAGTGTTTCAAAGCTTCTCTCTCGAAAGGAAAGTTCAACTCTGTGAGTTGAATGCAAGCATCACAAAGAAGTTTCTGAGAATGCTACTGTCTAGCTTTTATATGAAGCTATTTCCTTTACTACCATAGGCCTCAAAGCGGTCCATATCTCCACTTGCAGATTCTACACAAAGAGAGTTTCCAAACTGCTCTGTCAAAGGGAATGTTCAACTCTGTGACTTGAATGCAATCATCACAAAGTAGTTTCTGAGAATGCTTCTGTTTAGTTCTGTGCGGTTTATCCCGTTTCCAACGAAATCCTCAGAGAGGCCTAAATATCCACTTGCACATTCTACAAATAGTGTGTTTCGAAACTGCTCCATCCAAAGGAATGTTCAGCTCTGTGAGTTAAACTCAGTCGTCACCAAGAGTTTTCTGTGAATGCTTCTGTTTTAGTTCTGTGCGGGTTATCCCGTTTCCAACGAAATCCTCAGAGAGGTCCAAATATCTACTTGCAGTTTCTACAGAAAGACCGTTTCAAACCTGAACTATCAAAGAAAGGTTCAACACTGTGAGTTGAATGCAAACATCACGAAGAAGGTTCTGAGAATGCTTCTGTTTAGTTCTGTGCAGTTTATCCCGTTTCCAACGAAATCCTCAGAGAGGACCAAATATCCACTTGCAGTTTCTACAAAAAGAGTGTTTCAAAGCTGAACTATCAAAGAAAGGTTCAGCACTGTGAGTTGAATGCAAACATCACGAAGAGGGTTACTGAGAATGCTTCTGTCTTCTTTTTATAGGAAGTTATTTCCTTTACTACGGTACTCCTCAAAGAGTGCAATTATCCCCTTGCAGTTTCTACAAAAAGAGTGTTTCAAACCTGAACTATCAAAGAAAGGTTCCACACTGTGAGTTGAATGCAGACATCACGAAGAAGGTTCTGAGAATGCTTCTGTTTAGTCAGCTGAAATTATCCCGTTTCCAACGAATTCCTCACAGAGGTCCAAATATGCACTTGCAGATTCTGCAGAAAGTGTGTTTCTAAACTGCTACATCGCAAGGAATGCTCAGCTCTGTGAGTTCAACTCAATCATCCCAAAGAATTTTCTGAGAAAGCTTCTGTCTAGATGTCATGTGAAGATATACCCGTTTCGAACGAAGGACACAGAGTGGTCCAAATATCCACTTGTAGATCCTGCAAAAAGAGTGTTTCAAACGTGAACTTTGAAAGGAAAGTTCAACTCGGGGATTTGAATGCAAACATCACAAAGAAGATTCTGAGACTGCTTCTGTGTAGTTTTTATGTGAAGATGATTCCGTTTCCAACGAAATCTTCAAAGACGTCTACATGTCCCCTTGCAGATGCCACAGAAAGAGAGTTTCAAAACTGCGCTCTCAAAAGGAGTGTTCAACTCCGTGAGTTGAATGCAGTCATCACAGAGAAGCTTCTGAGGATGCTTCTATCTAGTATTTAGGTGAAGATATTTCCTTTTCCACCACAAACCACAAAGCCCTCCAAACGTCCACTTGCAGATTCTAGAAAAAGAGTGTTTCATAGCTGCTCTTTCCAAAGGAAAGTTCAACTCTGGGAGTTGAATACAAACATCACCAAAAAGTTCCTGAGAATGCATCTGTCTAGTTTTTCTATGAAGCTATTCCCTTTACTACCATAGGCCTCAAAGCGCTCCAAATCTCCACTTGCACATTCCACAACAAGAGTGTTTCCAAACTGCTCTATCAATAGGAATGTTCAACTCTGTGAGGTGAATGCAATCATCACAAAGCAGTTTCTGAGAATGCTTCCGTTTAGTTAGGTGCAGTTATCCCGTTTCCAACGAAATCCTCAGAGAGGTCCAAATATCCACTTGTAGATTCTACAAAAAGTGTGTCTCAAACCTGCTCCATCCAAAGGAATGGTCAGCTCTGTGATTTAAACTCAATCATCACAAAGTATTTTCTGAGAATGCTTCTGTCTAGATTTTATGCGAAGATATACCCGTTTCGAACGAAGGCCACAGAGTGGTCCAAATAGCCACTTGCAGATCCTACAGAAAGAGTGTTTCAAACCTGAACTATCAAAGGAAGGTTCAACTCTGGGATTTGAATGCAAACATCACCAAGAAGTTTCTGAGAATGCTTCTGTTTAGTTTTTATGTGAAGATATTCCCGTTTCCAAAGACATCTTCGGAGAGGTCCACATATCCACTTGCAGATTCCACAAAAAGAGAGTTTCAACACTGCTCTATCCATAGGAGGGTTCAACTCTGTGAGTTGAATGCAATCATCACAGAGAAGTTTCTGAGAAGGCTTCTCTCCAGTTTTTATGTGACCATAATTCGTTTTCCACCACAGGCCTGAAAGCGCTCCAAATGTCCACTTGCAGACACTACGAAAAGCATGTTTCAGAACTACTCTATGAAAAGCAACGTGAAACTCTGGGAGTTGAACACAAACATCACAGAGAAGTTTCTGAGAATGCTTCTGTTTTAGTTCTGTGCGTTTTATCCCGTTTCCAACGAAATCCTCAGAGAGGCCCAAATATCCACTTGCAGATTCCACAGAAAGAGTGATTGGAAACTGCTGTTTGAAAAGGAACCTTCAACTCTGTGAGTTGAATGCAATCATCACAAAGAAGTTTCTGACAATGCTTCTGTTTTAGTTCTGTGCGGTTTATCCCGTTTCCAACGAAATCCTCAGAGAGGACCAAACATCCACTTGCAGTTTCTACAAAAAGAGTGTTTCAAAGCTGCACTATCAAAGAAAGGTTCAGCACTGTGAGTTGAATGCAAACATCACGAAGAGGGCTCTGAGAATTCTTCTGTTTAGTTCTGTGCGGTTTATCCCGTTTCCAACGAAATCCTCAGAGAGGACCAAATATCCACTTGCAGTTTCTACAAGAAGAGTGTTTCAAAGCTGAACTATCAAAGAAAGGTTCAGCACTGTGAGTTGAATGCAAACATCACGAAGAGGGTTCTGAGAATGCTTCTGTCTTCTTTTTATAGGAAGTTATTTCCTTTACTACGGTAGGCCTCAAAGAAGTGCAATTATCCCCTTGCAGTTTCTACAAAAAGAGTGTTTCAAACCTGAACTATCAAAGAAAGGTTCCACACTGTGAGTTGAATGCAGACATCACGAAGAAGGTTCTGAGAATGCTTCTGTTTAGTCAGCTGAAATTATCCCGTTTCCAACGAATTCCTCAGAGAGGTCCTAATATGCACTTGCAGATTCTGCAGAAAGTGTGTTTCTAAACTGCTACATCGCAAGGAATGTTCAGCTCTGTGAGTTCAACTCAATCATCCCAAAGAATTTTCTGAGAAAGCTTCTGTCTAGATGTCATGTGAAGATATACCCGTTTCAAACGAAGGACACATAGTGGTCCAAATATCCACTTGTAGATCCTGCAAAAAGAGTGTTTCAAAAGTGAACTTTGAAAGGAAAGTTCAACTCTGGGATTTGAATGCAAACATCACCAAGAAAATTCTGAGACTGCTTCTGTATAGTTTTTATGTGAAGATTATTCCGTTTCCAACGAAATCTTCAAAGAGGTCTACATGTCCCCTTGCAGATGCCACAGAAAGAGAGTTTCAAAACTGCGCTCTCAAAAGGAGTGTTCAACTCCGTGAGTTGAATGCAGTCATCACAGAGAAGCTTCTGAGAATGCTTCTGTCTAGTATTTAGGTGAAGATATTTCCTTTTCCACCACAAACCACAAAGCCCTCCAAACGTCCACTTGCAGATTCTAGAAAAAGAGTGTTTCATAGCTGCTCTTTCCAAAGGAAAGTTCAACTCTGGGAGTTGAATACAAACATCACCAAAAGGTTCCTGAGAATGCATCTGTCTAGTTTTTCTATGAAGCTATTCCCTTTACTACCATAGGCCTCAAAGCGCTCCAAATCTCCACTTGCACATTCCACAACAAGAGTGTTTCCAAACTGCTCTATCAATAGGAATGTTCAACTCTGTGAGGTGAATGCAATCATCACAAAGCAGTTTCTGAGAATGCTTCCGTTTAGTTAGGTGCAGTTATCCCGTTTCCAACGAAATCCTCAGAGAGGTCCAAATATCCACTTGTAGATTCTACAAAAAGTGTGTCTCAAACATGCTCCATCCAAAGGAATGGTCAGCTCTGTGATTTAAACTCAATCATCACAAAGTATTTTCTGAGAATGCTTCTGTCTAGATTTTATGCGAAGATATACCCGTTTCGAACGAAGGCCACAGAGTGGTCCAAATAGCCACTTGCAGATCCTACAGAAAGAGTGTTTCAAACCTGAACTATCAAAGGAAGGTTCAACTCTGGGATTTGAATGCAAACATCACCAAGAAGTTTCTGAGAATGCTTCTGTTTAGTTTTTATGTGAAGATATTCCCGTTTCCAAAGACATCTTCGGAGAGGTCCACATATCCACTTGCAGATTCCACAAAAAGAGAGTTTCAACACTGCTCTATCCATAGGAGGGTTCAACTCTGTGAGTTGAATGCAATCATCACAGAGAAGTTTCTGAGAAGGCTTCTCTCCAGTTTTTATGTGACCATAATTCGTTTTCCACCACAGGCCGGAAAGCGCTCCAAATGACCACTTGCAGACACTACGAAAAGCATGTTTCAGAACTACTCTATGAGAAGCAATGTGAAACTCTGGGAGTTGAACACAAACATCACAGAGAAGTTTCTGAGAATGCTTCTGTTTAGCTTTTCTGTGAAGATTCTCCCGTTTCCAACGAAATCTTCAAAGAGGTCCAAATATCCACTTGCAGATTCCACAGAAAGAGTGTTTGGAAACTGCTGTTTGTAAAGGAACCTTCATCTCTGTGAGTTGAATGCAATCATCACAAAGAAGTTTCTGACAATGCTTCTATCTAGCTTTTACGGGAAGATAATTCCTTTTCCACCACAGGCCTCAAAGCCCTCCAAATGTCCACTTGCAGATTCTGGAAAAAGAGTGTTTCAAAGCTTCTCTCTCGAAAGGAAAGTTCAACTCTGTGAGTTGAATGCAAGCATCACAAAGAAGTTTGCTGAGAATGCTACTGTCTAGCTTTTATATGAAGCTATTTCCTTTACTACCATAGGCCTCAAAGCGGTCCATATCTCCACTTGCAGATTCTACACAAAGAGAGTTTCCAAACTGCTCTGTCAAAGGGAATGTTCAACTCTGTGACTTGAATGCAATCATCACAAAGTAGTTTCTGAGAATGCTTCTGTTTAGTTCTGTGCGGTTTATCCCGTTTCCAACGAAATCCTCAGAGAGGCCCAAATATCCACTTGCACATTCTACAAATAGTGTGTTTCGAAACTGCTCCATCCAAAGGAATGTTCAGCTCTGTGAGTTAAACTCAGTCGTCACCAAGAGTTTTCTGTGAATGCTTCTGTTTTAGTTCTGTGCGGGTTATCCCGTTTCCAACGAAATCCTCAGAGAGGTCCAAATATCTACTTGCAGTTTCTACAGAAAGACCGTTTCAAACCTGAACTATCAAAGAAAGGTTCAACACTGTGAGTTGAATGCAAACATCACGAAGAAGGTTCTGAGAATGCTTCTGTTTAGTTCTGTGCGGTTTATCCCGTTTCCAACGAAATCCTCAGAGAGGACCAAATATCCACTTGCAGTTTCTACAAGAAGAGTGTTTCAAAGCTGAACTATCAAAGAAAGGTTCAGCACTGTGTGTTGAATGCAAACATCACGAAGAGGGTTCTGAGAATGCTTCTGTCTTCTTTCTATAGGAAGTTATTTCCTTTACTACGGTAGGCCTCAAAGAAGTGCAATTATCCCCTTGCAGTTTCTACAAAAAGAGTGTTTCAAACCTGAACTATCAAAGAAAGGTTCCACACTGTGAGTTGAATGCAGACATCACGAAGAAGGTTCTGAGAATGCTTCTGTTTAGTCAGCTGAAATTATCCCGTTTCCAACGAATTCCTCGGAGAGGTCCAAATATGCACTTGCAGATTCTGCAGAAAGTGTGTTTCTAAACTGCTACATCGCAAGGAATGTTCAGCTCTGTGAGTTCCACTCAATCATCCCAAAGAATTTTCTGAGAAAGCTTCTGTCTAGATGTCATGTGAAGATATACCCGTTTCGAACGAAGGACACAGAGTGGTCCAAATATCCACTTGTAGATCCTGCAAAAAGAGTGTTTCAAACGTGAACTTTGAAAGGAAAGTTCAACTCTGGGATTTGAATGCAAACATCACAAAGAAGATTCTGAGACTGCTTCTGTATAGTTTTTATGTGAAGATGATTCCGTTTCCAACGAAATCTTCAAAGAGGTCTACATGTCCCCTTGCAGATGCCACAGAAAGAGAGTTTCAAAACTGCGCTCTCAAAAGGAGTGTTCAACTCCGTGAGTTGAATGCAGTCATCACAGAGAAGCTTCTGAGAATGCTTCTATCTAGTATTTAGGTGAAGATATTTCCTTTTCCACCACAAACCACAAAGCCCTCCAAACGTCCACTTGCAGATTCTAGAAAAAGAGTGTTTCATAGCTGCTCTTTCCAAAGGAAAGTTCAACTCTGGGAGTTGAATACAAACATCACCAAAAAGTTCCTGAGAATGCATCTGTCTAGTTTTTCTATGAAGCTATTCCCTTTACTACCATAGGCCTCAAAGCGCTCCAAATCTCCACTTGCACATTCCACAACAAGAGTGTTTCCAAACTGCTCTATCAATAGGAATGTTCAACTCTGTGAGGTGAATGCAATCATCACAAAGCAGTTTCTGAGAATGCTTCCGTTTAGTTAGGTGCAGTTATCCCGTTTCCAACGAAATCCTCAGAGAGGTCCAAATATCCACTTGTAGATTCTACAAAAAGTGTGTCTCAAACCTGCTCCATCCAAAGGAATGGTCAGCTCTGTGATTTAAACTCAATCATCACAAAGTATTTTCTGAGAATGCTTCTGTCTAGATTTTATGCGAAGATATACCCGTTTCGAACGAAGGCCACAGAGTGGTCCAAATAGCCACTTGCAGATCCTACAGAAAGAGTGTTTCAAACCTGAACTATCAAAGGAAGGTTCAACTCTGGGATTTGAATGCAAACATCACCAAGAAGTTTCTGAGAATGCTTCTGTTTAGTTTTTATGTGAAGATATTCCCGTTTCCAAAGACATCTTCGGAGAGGTCCACATATCCACTTGCAGATTCCACAAAAAGAGAGTTTCAACACTGCTCTATGCATAGGACGGTTCAACTCTGTGAGTTGAATGCAATCATCACAGAGAAGTTTCTGAGAAGGCTTCTCTGCAGTTTTTATGTGACCATAATTCGTTTTCCACCACAGGCCTGAAAGCGCTCCAAATGTCCACTTGCAGACACTACGAAAAGCATGTTTCAGAACTACTCTATGAAAAGCAACGTGAAACTCTGGGAGTTGAACACAAACATCACAGAGAAGTTTCTGAGAATGCTTCTGTTTTAGTTCTGTGCGTTTTATCCCGTTTCCAACGAAATCCTCAGAGAGGCCCAAATATCCACTTGCAGATTCCACAGAAAGAGTGATTGGAAACTGCTGTTTGAAAAGGAACCTTCAACTCTGTGAGTTGAATGCAATCATCACAAAGAAGTTTCTGACAATGCTTCTGTTTTAGTTCTGTGCGGTTTATCCCGTTTCCAACGAAATCCTCAGAGAGGACCAAACATCCACTTGCAGTTTCTACAAAAAGAGTGTTTCAAAGCTGCACTATCAAAGAAAGGTTCAGCACTGTGAGTTGAATGCAAACATCACGAAGAGGGCTCTGAGAATTCTTCTGTTTAGTTCTGTGCGGTTTATCCCGTTTCCAACGAAATCCTCAGAGAGGACCAAATATCCACTTGCAGTTTCTACAAGAAGAGTGTTTCAAAGCTGAACTATCAAAGAAAGGTTCAGCACTGTGAGTTGAATGCAAACATCACGAAGAGGGTTCTGAGAATGCTTCTGTCTTCTTTCTATAGGAAGTTATTTCCTTTACTACGGTAGGCCTCAAAGAAGTGCAATTATCCCCTTGCAGTTTCTACAAAAAGAGTGTTTCAAACCTGAACTATCAAAGAAAGGTTCCACACTGTGAGTTGAATGCAGACATCACGAAGAAGGTTCTGAGAATGCTTCTGTTTAGTCAGCTGAAATTATCCCGTTTCCAACGAATTCCTCAGAGAGGTCCAAATATGCACTTGCAGATTCTGCAGAAAGTGTGTTTCTAAACTGCTACATCGCAAGGAATGTTCAGCTCTGTGAGTTCCACTCAATCATCCCAAAGAATTTTCTGAGAAAGCTTCTGTCTAGATGTCGTGTGAAGATATACCCGTTTCGAACGAAGGACACAGAGTGGTCCAAATATCCACTTGTAGATCCTGCAAAAAGAGTGTTTCAAACGTGAACTTTGAAAGGAAAGTTCAACTCTGGGATTTGAATGCAAACATCACAAAGAAGATTCTGAGACTGCTTCTGTATAGTTTTTATGTGAAGATGATTCCGTTTCCAACGAAATCTTCAAAGAGGTCTACATGTCCCCTTGCAGATGCCACAGAAAGAGAGTTTCAAAACTGCGCTCTCAAAAGGAGTGTTCAACTCCGTGAGTTGAATGCAGTCATCACAGAGAAGCTTCTGAGAATGCTTCTATCTAGTATTTAGGTGAAGATATTTCCTTTTCCACCACAAACCACAAAGCCCTCCAAACGTCCACTTGCAGATTCTAGAAAAAGAGTGTTTCATAGCTGCTCTTTCCAAAGGAAAGTTCAACTCTGGGAGTTGAATACAAACATCACCAAAAAGTTCCTGAGAATGCATCTGTCTAGTTTTTCTATGAAGCTATTCCCTTTACTACCATAGACCTCAAAGCGCTCCAAATCTCCACTTGCACATTCCACAACAAGAGTGTTTCCAAACTGCTCTATCAATAGGAATGTTCAACTCTGTGAGGTGAATGCAATCATCACAAAGCAGTTTCTGAGAATGCTTCCGTTTAGTTAGGTGCAGTTATCCCGTTTCCAACGAAATCCTCAGAGAGGTCCAAATATCCACTTGTAGATTCTACAAAAAGTGTGTCTCAAACCTGCTCCATCCAAAGGAATGGTCAGCTCTGTGATTTAAACTCAATCATCACAAAGTATTTTCTGAGAATGCTTCTGTCTAGATTTTATGCGAAGATATACCCGTTTCGAATGAAGGCCACAGAGTGGTCCAAATAGCCACTTGCAGATCCTACAAAAAGAGTGTTTCAAACCTGAACTATCAAAGGAAGGTTCAACTCTGGGATTTGAATGCAAACATCACCAAGAAGTTTCTGAGAATGCTTCTGTTTAGTTTTTATGTGAAGATATTCCCGTTTCCAAAGACATCTTCGGAGAGGTCCACATATCCACTTGCAGATTCCACAAAAAGAGAGTTTCAACACTGCTCTATCCATAGGAGGGTTCAACTCTGTGAGTTGAATGCAATCATCACAGAGAAGTTTCTGAGAAGGCTTCTCTCCAGTTTTTATGTGACCATAATTCGTTTTCCACCACAGGCCTGAAAGCGCTCCAAATGTCCACTTGCAGACACTACGAAAAGCATGTTTCAGAACTACTCTATGAAAAGCAACGTGAAACTCTGGGAGTTGAACACAAACATCACAGAGAAGTTTCTGAGAATGCTTCTGTTTAGCTTTTCTGTGAAGATTCTCCCGTTTCCAACGAAATCTTCAAAGAGGTCGAAATATCCACTTGCAGATTCCACAGAAAGAGTGATTGGAAACTGCTGTTTGAAAAGGAACCTTCAACTCTGTGAGTTGAATGCAATCATCACAAAGAAGTTTCTGACAATGCTTCTATCTAGCTTTTACGGGAAGATAATTCCTTTTCCACCACAGGCCTCAAAGCTCCCCAAATGTCCACTTGCACATTCTGGAAAAAGAGTGTTTCAAAGCTTCTCTCTCGAAAGGAAAGTTCAACTCTGTGAGTTGAATGCAAGCATCACAAAGAAGTTTCTGAGAATGCTACTGTCTAGCTTTTATATGAAGCTATTTCCTTTACTACCATAGGCCTCAAAGCGGTCCATATCTCCACTTGCAGATTCTACACAAAGAGAGTTTCCAAACTGCTCTGTCAAAGGGAATGTTCAACTCTGTGACTTGAATGCAATCATCACAAAGTAGTTTCTGAGAATGCTTCTGTTTTAGTTCTGTGCGTTTTATCCCGTTTCCAACGAAATCCTCAGAGAGGCCCAAATATCCACTTGCAGATTCTACAAATAGTGTGTTTCGAAACTGCTCCATCCAAAGGAATGTTCAGCTCTGTGAGTTAAACTCAGTCGTCACCAAGAGTTTTCTGTGAATGCTTCTGTTTTAGTTCTGTGCGGTTTATCCCGTTTCCAACGAAATCCTCAGAGAGGACCAAATATCCACTTGCAGTTTCTACAAAAAGAGTGTTTCAAAGCTGCACTATCAAAGAAAGGTTCAGCACTGTGAGTTGAATGCAAACATCACGAAGAGGGCTCTGAGAATTCTTCTGTTTAGTTCTGTGCGGTTTATCCCGTTTCCAACGAAATCCTCAGAGAGGACCAAATATCCACTTGCAGTTTCTACAAGAAGAGTGTTTCAAAGCTGAACTATCAAAGAAAGGTTCAGCACTGTGAGTTGAATGCAAACATCACGAAGAGGGTTCTGAGAATGCTTCTGTCTTCTTTCTATAGGAAGTTATTTCCTTTACTACGGTAGGCCTCAAAGAAGTGCAATTATCCCCTTGCAGTTTCTACAAAAAGAGTGTTTCAAACCTGAACTATCAAAGAAAGGTTCCACACTGTGAGTTGAATGCAGACATCACGAAGAAGTTCTGAGAATGCTTCTGTTTAGTCAGCTGAAATTATCCCGTTTCCAACGAATTCCTCAGAGAGGTCCAAATATGCACTTGCAGATTCTGCAGAAAGTGTGTTTCTAAACTGCTACATCGCAAGGAATGTTCAGCTCTGTGAGTTCCACTCAATCATCCCAAAGAATTTTCTGAGAAAGCTTCTGTCTAGATGTCGTGTGAAGATATACCCGTTTCGAACGAAGGACACAGAGTGGTCCAAATATCCACTTGTAGATCCTGCAAAAAGAGTGTTTCAAACGTGAACTTTGAAAGGAAAGTTCAACTCTGGGATTTGAATGCAAACATCACAAAGAAGATTCTGAGACTGCTTCTGTATAGTTTTTATGTGAAGATGATTCCGTTTCCAACGAAATCTTCAAAGAGGTCTACATGTCCCCTTGCAGATGCCACAGAAAGAGAGTTTCAAAACTGCGCTCTCAAAAGGAGTGTTCAACTCCGTGAGTTGAATGCAGTCATCACAGAGAAGCTTCTGAGAATGCTTCTATCTAGTATTTAGGTGAAGATATTTCCTTTTCCACCACAAACCACAAAGCCCTCCAAACGTCCACTTGCAGATTCTAGAAAAAGAGTGTTTCATAGCTGCTCTTTCCAAAGGAAAGTTCAACTCTGGGAGTTGAATACAAACATCACCAAAAAGTTCCTGAGAATGCATCTGTCTAGTTTTTCTATGAAGCTATTCCCTTTACTACCACAGGCCTCAAAGCGCTCCAAATCTCCACTTGCACATTCCACAACAAGAGTGTTTCCAAACTGCTCTATCAATAGGAATGTTCAACTCCTGTGAGGTGAATGCAATCATCACAAAGCAGTTTCTGAGAATGCTTTCCGTTTAGTTAGGTGCAGTTATCCCGTTTCCAACGAAATCCTCAGAAAGATCCAAATATCCACTTGTAGATTCTACAAAAAGTGTGTCTCAAACCTGCTCCATCCAAAGGAATGTTCAGCTCTGTGAGTTAAACTCAATCATCACAAAGTATTTTCTGAGAATGCTTCTGTCTAGATTTTATGCGAAGATATACCCGTTTCGAACGAAGGCCACAGAGTGGTCCAAATAGCCACTTGCAGATCCTACAGAAAGAGTGTTTCAAACCTGAACTATCAAAGGAAGGTTCAACTCTGGGATTTGAATGCAAACATCACCAAGAAGTTTCTGAGAATGCTTCTGTTTAGTTTTTATGTGAAGATATTCCCGTTTCCAAAGACATCTTCGGAGAGGTCCACATATCCACTTGCAGATTCCACAAAAAGAGAGTTTCAACACTGCTCTATCCATAGGAGGGTTCAACTCTGTGAGTTGAATGCAATCATCACAGAGAAGTTTCTGAGAAGGCTTCTCTCCAGTTTTTATGTGACCATAATTCGTTTTCCACCACCGGCCTGAAAGCGCTCCAAATGTCCACTTGCAGACACTACGAAAAGCATGTTTCAGAACTACTCTATGAAAAGCAACGTGAAACTCTGGGAGTTGAACACAAACATCACAGAGAAGTTTCTGAGAATGCTTCTGTTTTAGTTCTGTGCGTTTTATCCCGTTTCCAACGAAATCCTCAGAGAGGCCCAAATATCCACTTGCAGATTCCACAGAAAGAGTGATTGGAAACTGCTGTTTGAAAAGGAACCTTCAACTCTGTGAGTTGAATGCAATCATCACAAAGAAGTTTCTGACAATGCTTCTATCTAGCTTTTATGGGAAGTTAATTCCTTTTCCACCACAGGCCTCAAAGCCCTCCAAATGTCCACTTGCAGATTCTGGAAAAACAGTGTTTCAAAGCTTCTCTCTCGAAAGGAAAGTTCAACTCTGTGAGTTGAATGCAAGCATCACAAAGAAGTTTCTGAGAATGCTACTGTCTAGCTTTTATATGAAGCTATTTCCTTTACTACCATAGGCCTCAAAGCGGTCCATATCTCCACTTGCAGATTCTACACAAAGAGAGTTTCCAAACTGCTCTGTCAAAGGGAATGTTCAACTCTGTGACTTGAATGCAATCATCACAAAGTAGTTTCTGAGAATGCTTCTGTTTTAGTTCTGTGCGGTTTATCCCGTTTCCAACGAAATCCTCAGAGAGGCCCACATATCCACTTGCACATTCTACAAATAGTGTGTTTTGAAACTGCTCCATCCAAAGGAATGTTCAGCTCTGTGAGTTAAACTCAGTCGTCACCAGGAGTTTTCTGTGAATGCTTCTGTTTAGTTCTGTGCGTTTTATCCCTTTTCCAACGAAATCCTCAGAGAGGACCAAATATCCATTTGCAGTTTCTACAAAAAGAGTGTTTCAAAGCTGAACTATCAAAGAAAGGTTCAGCACTGTGAGTTGAATGCAAACATCACGAAGAGGGTTCTGAGAATGCTTCTGTCTTCTTTCTATAGGAAGTTATTTCCTTTACGACGGTAGGCCTCAAAGAAGTGCAATTATCCCCTTGCAGTTTCTACAAAAAGAATGTTTCAAACCTGAACTATCAAAGAAAGGTTCCACACTGTGAGTTGAATGCAGACATCACGAAGAAGGTTCTGAGAATGCTTCTGTTTAGTCAGCTGAAATTATCCCGTTTCCAACGAATTCCTCAGAGAGGTTCAAATATGCACTTGCAGATTCTGCAGAAAGTGTGTTTCTAAACTGCTACATCGCAAGGAATGTTCAGCTCTGTGAGTTCCACTCAATCATCCCAAAGAATTTTCTGAGAAAGCTTCTGTCTAGATGTCTTGTGAAGATATACCCGTTTCGAACGAAGGACACAGAGTGGTCCAAATATCCACTTGTAGATCCTGCAAAAAGAGTGTTTCAAACGTGAACTTTGAAAGGAAAGTTCAACTCTGGGATTTGAATGCAAACATCACAAAGAAGATTCTGAGACTGCTTCTGTATAGTTTTTATGTGAAGATGATTCCGTTTCCAACGAAATCTTCAAAGAGGTCTACATGTCCCCTTGCAGATGCCACAGAAAGAGAGTTTCAAAACTGCGCTCTCAAAAGGAGTGTTCAACTCCGTGAGTTGAATGCAGTCATCACAGAGAAGCTTCTGAGGATGCTTCTATCTAGTATTTAGGTGAAGATATTTCCTTTTCCACCACAAACCACAAAGCCCTCCAAACGTCCACTTGCAGATTTTAGAAAAAGAGTGTTTCATAGCTGCTCTTTCCAAAGGAAAGTTCAACTCTGGGAGTTGAATACAAACATCACCAAAAAGTTCCTGAGAATGCATCTGTCTAGTTTTTCTATGAAGCTATTCCCTTTACTACCATAGGCCTCAAAGCGCTCCAAATCTCCACTTGCACATTCCACAAGAAGAGTGTTTCCAAACTGCTCTATCAATAGGAATGTTCAACTCTGTGAGGTGAATGCAATCATCACAAAGCAGTTTCTGAGAATGCTTCCGTTTAGTTAGGTGCAGTTATCCCGTTTCCAACGAAATCCTCAGAGAGGTCCAAATATCCACTTGTAGATTCTACAAAAAGTGTGTCTCAAACCTGCTCCATCCAAAGGAATGTTCAGCTCTGTGAGTTCAACTCAGTCATCAAAAAGTATTTTCTGAGAATGCTTCTGTCTAGATTTTATGCGAAGATGTACCCGTTTCGAACGAAGGCCACAGAGTGGTCCAAATATCCACTTGCAGATCCTACAAAAAGAGTGTTTCAAACCTGAACTCTCAAAGGAAGGTTCAACTCTGGGATTTGAATGCAAACATCACGAAGAAGTTTCTGAGAATGCTTCTGTTTAGTTTTTATGTGAAGATATGCCCGTTTCCAAAGACATCTTCGGAGAGGTCCACATATCCACTTGCAGATTCCACAAAAAGAGAGTTTCAACAATGCTCTATCCATAGGAGGGTTCAAATCTGTGAGTTGAATGCAATCATCACAGAGAAGTTTCTGAGAAGGCTTCTCTCCAGTTTTTATGGGACCATAATTCGTTTTCCACCACAGGCCTGAAAGCACTCCAAATGTCCACTTGCAGACACTACGAAAAGCATGTTTCAGAACTACTCTATGAAAAGCAATGTGAAACTCTGGGAGTTGAACACAAACATCACAGAGAAGTTTCTGAGAATGCTTCTGTTTAGCTTTTCTGTGAAGATTCTCCCGTTTCCAACGAAATCTTCAAAGAGGTCCAAATATCCACTTGCAGATTCCACAGAAAGAGTGTTTGGAAACTGCTGTTTGTAAAGAAACCTTCATCTCTGTGAGTTGAATGCAATCATCACAAAGAAGTTTCTGACAATGCTTCTATCTAGCTTTTACGGGAAGTTAATTCCTTTTCCACCACAGGCCTCAAAGCCCTCCAAATGTCCACTTGCAGATTCTGGAAAAAGAGTGTTTCAAAGCTTCTCTCTCGAAAGGAAAGTTCAACTCTGTGAGTTGAATGCAAGCATCACAAAGAAGTTTCTGAGAATGCTACTGTCTAGCTTTCATATGAAGCTATTACCTTTACTACCATAGGCCTCAAAGCGGTCCATATCTCCACTTGCAGATTCTACACAAAGAGAGTTTCCAAACTGCTCTGTCAAAGGGAATGTTCAACTCTGTGACTTGAATGCAATCGTCACAAAGTAGTTTCTGAGAATGCTTCTGTTTAGTTCTGTGCGGTTTATCCCGTTTCCAACGAAATCCTCAGAGAGGCCCAAATATCCACTTGCACATTCTACAAATAGTGTGTTTCGAAACTGCTCCATCCAAAGGAATGTTCAGCTCTGTGAGTTAAACTCAGTCGTCACCAAGAGTTTTCTGTGAATGCTTCTGTTTTAGTTCTGTGCGGTTTATCCCGTTTCCAACGAAATCCTCAGAGAGGTCCAAATATCTACTTGCAGTTTCTACAGAAAGACCGTTTCAAACCTGAACTATCAAAGAAAGGTTCAACACTGTGAGTTGAATGCAAACATCACGAAGAAGTTCTGAGAATGCTTCTGTTTAGTTCTGTGCGGTTTATCCCGTTTCCAACGAAATCCTCAGAGAGGACCAAATATCCACTTGCAGTTTCTACAAGAAGAGTGTTTCAAAGCTGAACTATCAAAGAAAGGTTCAGCACTGTGAGTTGAATGCAAACATCACGAAGAGGGTTCTGAGAATGCTTCTGTCTTCTTTCTATAGGAAGTTATTTCCTTTACTACGGTAGGCCTCAAAGAAGTGCAATTATCCCCTTGCAGTTTCTACAAAAAGAGTGTTTCAAACCTGAACTATCAAAGAAAGGTTCCACACTGTGAGTTGAATGCAGACATCACGAAGAAGGTTCTGAGAATGCTTCTGTTTAGTCAGCTGAATTATCCCGTTTCCAACGAATTCCTCAGAGAGGTCCAAATATGCACTTGCAGATTCTGCAGAAAGTGTGTTTCTAAACTGCTACATCGCAAGGAATGTTCAGCTCTGTGAGTTCCACTCAATCATCCCAAAGAATTTTCTGAGAAAGCTTCTGTCTAGATGTCATGTGAAGATATACCCGTCTCAAACGAAGGACACAGAGTGGTCCAAATATCCACTTGTAGATCCTGCAAAAAGAGTGTTTCAAACGTGAACTTTGAAAGGAAAGTTCAACTCTGGGATTTGAATGCAAACAACACAAAGAAGATTCTGAGACTGCTTCTGTATAGTTTTTATGTGAAGATGATTCCGTTTCCAACGAAATCTTCAAAGAGGTCTACATGTCCCCTTGCAGATGCCACAGAAAGAGAGTTTCAAAACTGCGCTCTCAAAAGGAGTGTTCAACTCCGTGAGTTGAATGCAGTCATCACAGAGAAGCTTCTGAGAATGCTTCTATCTAGTATTTAGGTGAAGATATTTCCTTTTCCACCACAAACCACAAAGCCCTCCAAACGTCCACTTGCAGATTCTAGAAAAAGAGTGTTTCATAGCTGCTCTTTCCAAAGGAAAGTTCAACTCTGGGAGTTGAATACAAACATCACCAAAAAGTTCCTGAGAATGCATCTGTCTAGTTTTTCTATGAAGCTATTCCCTTTACTACCACAGGCCTCAAAGCGCTCCAAATCTCCACTTGCACATTCCGCAACAAGAGTGTTTCCAAACTGCTCTATCAATAGGAATGTTCAACTCTGTGAGGTGAATGCAATCATCACAAAGCAGTTTCTGAGAATGCTTCCGTTTAGTTAGGTGCAGTTATCCCGTTTCCAACGAAATCCTCAGAGAGGTCCAAATATCCACTTGTAGATTCTACAAAAAGTGTGTCTCAAACCTGCTCCATCCAAAGGAATGGTCAGCTCTGTGATTTAAACTCAATCATCACAAAGTATTTTCTGAGAATGCTTCTGTCTAGATTTTATGCGAAGATATACCCGTTTCGAACGAAGGCCACAGAGTGGTCCAAATAGCCACTTGCAGATCCTACAAAAAGAGTGTTTCAAACCTGAACTATCAAAGGAAGGTTCAAGTCTGGGATTTGAATGCAAACATCACCAAGAAGTTTCTGAGAATGCTTCTGTTTAGTTTTTATGTGAAGATATTCCCGTTTCCAAAGACATCTTCGGAGAGGTCCACATATCCACTTGCAGATTCCACAAAAAGAGAGTTTCAACACTGCTCTATCCATAGGAGGGTTCAACTCTGTGAGTTGAATGCAATCATCACAGAGAAGATTCTGAGAAGGCTTCTCTCCAGTTTTTATGGGACCATAATTCGTTTTCCACCACAGGCCTGAAAGCGCTCCAAATGTCCACTTGCAGATACTACGAAAAGCATGTTTCAGAACTACTCTATGAAAAGCAATGTGAAACTCTGGGAGTTGAACACAAACATCACAGAGAAGTTTCTGAGAATGCTTCTGTTTAGCTTTTCTGTGAAGATTCTCCCGTTTCCAACGAAATCTTCAAAGAGGTCCAAATATCCACTTGCAGATTCCACAGAAAGAGTGTTTGGAAACTGCTGTTTGTAAAGGAACCTTCATTCTCTGTGAGTTGAATGCAATCATCACAAAGAAGTTTCTGACAATGCTTCTATCTAGCTTTTACGGGAAGATAATTCCTTTTCCACTACAGGCCTCAAAGCCCTCCAAATGTCCTCTTGCAGATTCTGGAAAAAGAGTGTTTCAAAGCTTCTCTCTCGAAAGGAAAGTTCAACTCTGTGAGTTAAATGCAAGCATCACAAAGAAGTTTCTGAGAATGCTACTGTCTAGCTTTTATATGAAGCTATTTCCTTTACTACCATAGTCCTCAAAGCATTCCATATCTCCACTTGCAGATTCTACACAAAGAGAGTTTCCAAACTTCTCTGTCAAAGGGAATGTTCAGCTCTGTGACTTGAATGCAATCATCACAAAGTAGTTTCTGAGAATGCTTCTGTTTTAGTTCTTTGCGGTTTATCCCGTTTCGAACGAAATCCTCAGAGAGGCCCACATATCCACTTGCAGATTCTACAAATAGTGTGTTTCGAAACTGCTCCATCCAAAGGAATGTTCAGCTCTGTGAGTTAAACTCAGTCGTCACCAAGAGTTTTCTGTGAATGCTTCTGTTTTAGTTCTGTGCTGTTTATCCCGTTTCCAACGAAATCCTCAGAGAGGTCCAAATATCTACTTGCAGTTTCTACAGAAAGACCGTTTCAAACCTGAACTATGAAAGAAAGGTTCAACACTGTGAGTTGAATGCAAACATCACGAAGAAGGTTCTGAGAATGCTTCTGTTTAGTTCTGTGCGGTTTATCCCGTTTCCAACGAAATCCTCAGAGAGGACCAAATATCCACTTGCAGTTTCTACAAGAAGAGTGTTTCAAAGCTGAACTATCAAAGAAAGGTTCAGCACTGTGAGTTGAATGCAAACATCACGAAGAGGGTTCTGAGAATGCTTCTGTCTTCTTTCTATAGGAAGTTATTTCCTTTACTACGGTAGGCCTCAAAGAAGTGCAATTATCCCCTTGCAGTTTCTACAAAAAGAGTGTTTCAAACCTGAACTATCAAAGAAAGGTTCCACACTGTGAGTTGAATGCAGACATCACGAAGAAGGTTCTGAGAATGCTTCTGTTTAGTCAGCTGAAATTATCCCGTTTCCAACGAATTCCTCAGAGAGGTCCAAATATGCACTTGCAGATTCTGCAGAAAGTGTGTTTCTAAACTGCTACATCGCAAGGAATGTTCAGCTCTGTGAGTTCCACTCAATCATCCCAAAGAATTTTCTGAGAAAGCTTCTGTCTAGATGTCGTGTGAAGATATACCCGTTTCGAACGAAGGACACAGAGTGGTCCAAATATCCACTTGTAGATCCTGCAAAAAGAGTGTTTCAAACGTGAACTTTGAAAGGAAAGTTCAACTCTGGGATTTGAATGCAAACATCACAAAGAAGATTCTGAGACTGCTTCTGTATAGTTTTTATGTGAAGATGATTCCGTTTCCAACGAAATCTTCAAAGAGGTCTACATGTCCCCTTGCAGATGCCACAGAAAGAGAGTTTCAAAAGTGCGCTCTCAAAAGGAGTGTTCAACTCCGTGAGTTGAATGCAGTCATCACAGAGAAGCTTCTGAGAATGCTTCTATCTAGTATTTAGGTGAAGATATTTCCTTTTCCACCACAAACCACAAAGCCCTCCAAACGTCCACTTGCAGATTCTAGAAAAAGAGTGTTTCATAGCTGCTCTTTCCAAAGGAAAGTTCAACTCTGGGAGTTGAATACAAACATCACCAAAAAGTTCCTGAGAATGCATCTGTCTAGTTTTTCTATGAAGCTATTCCCTTTACTACCATAGGCCTCAAAGCGCTCCAAATCTCCACTTGCACATTCCACAACAAGAGTGTTTCCAAACTGCTCTATCAATAGGAATGTTCAACTCTGTGAGGTGAATGCAATCATCACAAAGCAGTTTCTGAGAATGCTTCCGTTTAGTTAGGTGCAGTTATCCCGTTTCCAACGAAATCCTCAGAGAGGTCCAAATATCCACTTGTAGATTCTACAAAAAGTGTGTCTCAAACCTGCTCCATCCAAAGGAATGGTCAGCTCTGTGATTTAAACTCAATCATCACAAAGTATTTTCTGAGAATGCTTCTGTCTAGATTTTATGCGAAGATATACCCGTTTCGAACGAAGGCCACAGAGTGGTCCAAATAGCCACTTGCAGATCCTACAAAAAGAGTGTTTCAAACCTGAACTATCAAAGGAAGGTTCAACTCTGGGATTTGAATGCAAACATCACCAAGAAGTTTCTGAGAATGCTTCTGTTTAGTTTTTATGTGAAGATATTCCCGTTTCCAAAGACATCTTCGGAGAGGTCCACATATCCACTTGCAGATTCCACAAAAAGAGAGTTTCAACACTGCTCTGTCCATAGGAGGGTTCAACTCTGTGAGTTGAATGCAATCATCACAGAAAAGTTTCTGAGAAGGCTTCTCTCCAGTTTTTATGTGACCATAATTCGTTTTCCACCACAGGCCTGAAAGCGCTCCAAATGTCCACTTGTAGACACTACGAAAAGCATGTTTCAGAACTACTGTATGAAAAGCAACGTGAAACTCTGGGAGTTGAACACAAACATCACAGAGAAGTTTCTGAGAATGCTTCTGTTTAGCTTTTCTGTGAAGATTCTCCCGTTTCCAACGAAATCTTCAAAGAGGTCGAAATATCCACTTGCAGATTCCACAGAAAGAGTGATTGGAAACTGCTGTTTGAAAAGGAACCTTCAACTCTGTGAGTTGAATGCAATCATCACAAAGAAGTTTCTGACAATGCTTCTATCTAGCTTTTACGGGAAGATAATTCCTTTTCCACCCCAGGCCTCAAAGCTCCCCAAATGTCCACTTGCACATTCTGGAAAAAGAGTGTTTCAAAGCTTCTCTCTCGAAAGGAAAGTTCAACTCTGTGAGTTGAATGCAAGCATCACAAAGAAGTTTCTGAGAATGCTACTGTCTAGCTTTTATATGAAGCTATTTCCTTTACTACCATAGGCCTCAAAGCGGTCCATATCTCCACTTGCAGATTCTACACAAAGAGAGTTTCCAAACTGCTCTGTCAAAGGGAATGTTCAACTCTGTGACTTGAATGCAATCATCACAAAGTAGTTTCTGAGAATGCTTCTGTTTTAGTTCTGTGCGTTTTATCCCGTTTCCAACGAAATCCTCAGAGAGGCCCAAATATCCACTTGCAGATTCTACAAATAGTGTGTTTCGAAACTGCTCCATCCAAAGGAATGTTCAGCTCTGTGAGTTAAACTCAGTCGTCACCAAGAGTTTTCTGTGAATGTTTCTGTTTTAGTTCTGTGCGGTTTATCCCGTTTCCAACGAAATCCTCAGAGAGGACCAAATATCCACTTGCAGTTTCTACAAAAAGAGTGTTTCAAAGCTGCACTATCAAAGAAAGGTTCAGCACTGTGAGTTGAATGCAAACATCACGAAGAGGGCTCTGAGAGTTCTTCTGTTTAGTTCTGTGCGGTTTATCCCGTTTCCAACGAAATCCTCAGAGAGGACCAAATATCCACTTGCAGTTTCTACAAGAAGAGTGTTTCAAAGCTGAACTATCAAAGAAAGGTTCAGCACTGTGAGTTGAATGCAAACATCACGAAGAGGGTTCTGAGAATGCTTCTGTCTTCTTTCTATAGGAAGTTATTTCCTTTACTACGGGTAGGCCTCAAAGAAGTGCAATTATCCCCTTGCAGTTTCTACAAAAAGAGTGTTTCAAACCTGAACTATCAAAGAAAGGTTCCACACTGTGAGTTGAATGCAGACATCACGAAGAAGGTTCTGAGAATGCTTCTGTTTAGTCAGCTGAAATTATCCCGTTTCCAACGAATTCCTCAGAGAGGTCCAAATATGCACTTGCAGATTCTGCAGAAAGTGTGTTTCTAAACTGCTACATCGCAAGGAATGTTCAGCTCTGTGAGTTCCACTCAATCATCCCAAAGAATTTTCTGAGAAAGCTTCTGTCTAGATGTCATGTGAAGATATACCCGTTTCGAACGAAGGACACAGAGTGGTCCAAATATCCACTTGTAGATCCTGCAAAAAGAGTGTTTCAAACGTGAACTTTGAAAGGAAAGTTCAACTCTGGGATTTGAATGCAAACATCACAAAGAAGATTCTGAGACTGCTTCTGTATAGTTTTTATGTGAAGATGATTCCGTTTCCAACGAAATCTTCAAAGAGGTCCACATGTCCCCTTGCGGATGCCACAGAAAGAGAGTTTCAAAACTGCGCTCCCAAAAGGAGTGTTCAACTCCGTGAGTTGAATGCAGTCATCACAGAGAAGCTTCTGAGAATGCTTCTATCTAGTATTTAGGTGAAGATATTTCCTTTTCCACCACAAACCACAAAGCCCTCCAAACGTCCACTTGCAGATTCTAGAAAAAGAGTGTTTCATAGCTGCTCTTTCCAAAGGAAAGTTCAACTCTGGGAGTTGAATACAAACATCACCAAAAAGTTCCTGAGAATGCATCTGTCTAGTTTTTCTATGAAGCTATTCCCTTTACTACCATAGGCCTCAAAGCGCTCCAAATCTCCACTTGCACATTCCACAACAAGAGTGTTTCCAAACTGCTCTATCAATAGGAATGTTCAACTCTGTGAGGTGAATGCAATCATCACAAAGCAGTTTCTGAGAATGCTTCCGTTTAGTTAGGTGCAGTTATCCCGTTTCCAACGAAATCCTCAGAGAGGTCCAAATATCCACTTGTAGATTCTACAAAAAGTGTGTCTCAAACCTGCTCCATCCAAAGGAATGGTCAGCTCTGTGATTTAAACTCAATCATCACAAAGTATTTTCTGAGAATGCTTCTGTCTAGATTTTATGCGAAGATATACCCGTTTCGAACGAAGGCCACAGAGTGGTCCAAATAGCCACTTGCAGATCCTACAGAAAGAGTGTTTCAAACCTGAACTATCAAAGGAAGGTTCAACTCTGGGATTTGAATGCAAACATCACCAAGAAGTTTCTGAGAATGCTTCTGTTTAGTTTTTATGTGAAGATATTCCCGTTTCCAAAGACATCTTCGGAGAGGTCCACATATCCACTTGCAGATTCCACAAAAAGAGAGTTTCAACACTGCTCTATCCATAGGAGGGTTCAACTCTGTGAGTTGAATGCAATCATCACAGAGAAGTTTCTGAGAAGGCTTCTCTCCAGTTTTTATGTGACCATAATTCGTTTTCCACCACAGGCCTGAAAGCGCTCCAAATGTCCACTTGCAGACACTACGAAAAGCATGTTTCAGAACTACTCTATGAAAAGCAACGTGAAACTCTGGGAGTTGAACACAAACATCACAGAGAAGTTTCTGAGAATGCTTCTGTTTTAGTTCTGTGCGTTTTATCCCGTTTCCAACGAAATCCTCAGAGAGGCCCAAATATCCACTTGCAGATTCCACAGAAAGAGTGATTGGAAACTGCTGTTTGAAAAGGAACCTTCAACTCTGTGAGTTGAATGCAATCATCACAAAGAAGTTTCTGACAATGCTTCTGTTTTAGTTCTGTGCGGTTTATCCCGTTTCCAACGAAATCCTCAGAGAGGACCAAACATCCACTTGCAGTTTCTACAAAAAGAGTGTTTCAAAGCTGCACTATCAAAGAAAGGTTCAGCACTGTGAGTTGAATGCAAACATCACGAAGAGGGCTCTGAGAATTCTTCTGTTTAGTTCTGTGCGGTTTATCCCGTTTCCAACGAAATCCTCAGAGAGGACCAAATATCCACTTGCAGTTTCTACAAGAAGAGTGTTTCAAAGCTGAACTATCAAAGAAAGGTTCAGCACTGTGAGTTGAATGCAAACATCACGAAGAGGGTTCTGAGAATGCTTCTGTCTTCTTTCTATAGGAAGTTATTTCCTTTACTACGGTAGGCCTCAAAGAAGTGCAATTATCCCCTTGCAGTTTCTACAAAAAGAGTGTTTCAAACCTGAACTATCAAAGAAAGGTTCCACACTGTGAGTTGAATGCAGACATCACGAAGAAGGTTCTGAGAATGCTTCTGTTTAGTCAGCTGAAATTATCCCGTTTCCAACGAATTCCTCAGAGAGGTCCAAATATGCACTTGCAGATTCTGCAGAAAGTGTGTTTCTAAACTGCTACATCGCAAGGAATGTTCAGCTCTGTGAGTTCCACTCAATCATCCCAAAGAATTTTCTGAGAAAGCTTCTGTCTAGATGTCGTGTGAAGATATACCCGTTTCGAACGAAGGACACAGAGTGGTCCAAATATCCACTTGTAGATCCTGCAAAAAGAGTGTTTCAAACGTGAACTTTGAAAGGAAAGTTCAACTCTGGGATTTGAATGCAAACATCACAAAGAAGATTCTGAGACTGCTTCTGTATAGTTTTTATGTGAAGATGATTCCGTTTCCAACGAAATCTTCAAAGAGGTCTACATGTCCCCTTGCAGATGCCACAGAAAGAGAGTTTCAAAACTGCGCTCTCAAAAGGAGTGTTCAACTCCGTGAGTTGAATGCAGTCATCACAGAGAAGCTTCTGAGAATGCTTCTATCTAGTATTTAGGTGACGATATTTCCTTTTCCACCACAAACCACAAAGCCCTCCAAACGTCCACTTCCAGATTCTAGAAAAAGAGTGTTTCATAGCTGCTCTTTCCAAAGGAAAGTTCAACACTGGGAGTTGAATACAAACATCACCAAAAAGTTCCTGAGAATGCATCTGTCTAGTTTTTCTATGAAGCTATTCCCTTTACTACCATAGGCCTCAAAGCGCTCCAAATCTCCACTTGCACATTCCACAACAAGAGTGTTTCCAAACTGCTCTATCAATAGGAATGTTCAACTCTGTGAGGTGAATGCAATCATCACAAAGCAGTTTCTGAGAATGCTTCCGTTTAGTTAGGTGCAGTTATCGCGTTTCCAACGAAATCCTCAGAGAGGTCCAAATATCCACTTGTAGATTCTACAAAAAGTGTGTCTCAAACCTGCTCCATCCAAAGGAATGTTCAGCTCTGTGAGTTAAACTCAATCATCACAAAGTATTTTCTGAGAATGCTTCTGTCTAGATTTTATGTGAAGATGTACCCGTTTCGAACGAAGGCCACAGAGTGGTCCAAATATCCACTTGCAGATCCTACAAAAAGAGTGTTTCAAACCTGAACTATCACAGGAAGGTTCAACTCTGGGATTTGAATGCAAACATCACCAAGAAGTTTCTGAGAATGCTTCTGTTTAGTTTTTATGTGAAGATATTCCCGTTTCCAAAGACATCTTCGGAGAGCTCCACATATCCACTTGCAGATTCCACAAAAAGAGAGTTTCAACAATGCTCTATCCATAGGAGGGTTCAAATCTGTGAGTTGAATGCAATCATCACAGAGAAGTTTCTGAGAAGGCTTCTCTCCAGTTTTTATGGGACCATAATTCGTTTTCCACCACAGGCCTGAAAGCGCTCCAAATGTCCACTTGCAGACACTACGAAAAGCATGTTTCAGAACTACTCTATGAAAAGCAATGTGAAACTCTGGGAGTTGAACACAAACATCACAGAGAAGTTTCTGAGAATGCTTCTGTTTAGCTTTTCTGTGAAGATTCTCCCGTTTCCAACGAAATCTTCAAAGAGGTCCAAATATCCACTTGCAGATTCCACAGAAAGAGTGTTTGGAAACTGCTGTTTGTAAAGGAACCTTCATCTCTGTGAGTTGAATGCAATCATCACAAAGAAGTTTCTGACAATGCTTCTATCTAGCTTTTACGGGAAGTTAATTCCTTTTCCACCACAGGCCTCAAAGCCCTCCAAATGTCCACTTGCAGATTCTGGAAAAAGAGTGTTTCAAAGCTTCTCTCTCGAAAGGAAAGTTCAACTCTGTGAGTTGAATGCAAGCATCACAAAGAAGTTTCTGAGAATGCTACTGTCTAGCTTTCATATGAAGCTATTTCCTTTACTACCATAGGCCTCAAAGCGGTCCATATCTCCACTTGCAGATTCTACACAAAGAGAGTTTCCAAACTGCTCTGTCAAAGGGAATGTTCAACTCTGTGACTTGAATGCAATCATCACAAAGTAGTTTCTGAGAATGCTTCTGTTTAGTTCTGTGCGGTTTATCCCGTTTCCAACGAAATCCTCAGAGAGGCCCAAATATCCACTTGCACATTCTACAAATAGTGTGTTTCGAAACTGCTCCATCCAAAGGAATGTTCAGCTCTGTGAGTTAAACTCAGTCGTCACCAAGAGTTTTCTGTGAATGCTTCTGTTTTAGTTCTGTGCGGGTTATCCCGTTTCCAACGAAATCCTCAGAGAGGTCCAAATATCTACTTGCAGTTTCTACAGAAAGACCGTTTCAAACCTGAACTATCAAAGAAAGGTTCAACACTGTGAGTTGAATGCAAACATCACGAAGAAGGTTCTGAGAATGCTTCTGTTTAGTTCTGTGCAGTTTATCCCGTTTCCAACGAAATCCTCAGAGAGGACCAAATATCCACTTGCAGTTTCTACAAAAAGAGTGTTTCAAAGCTGAACTATCAAAGAAAGGTTCAGCACTGTGAGTTGAATGCAAACATCACGAAGAGGGTTCTGAGAATGCTTCTGTCTTCTTTTTATAGGAAGTTATTTCCTTTACTACGGTAGGCCTCAAAGAAGTGCAATTATCCCCTTGCAGTCTCTACAAAAAGAGTGTTTCAAACCTGAACTATCAAAGAAAGGTTCCACACTGTGAGTTGAATGCAGACATCACGAAGAAGGTTCTGAGAATGCTTCTGTTTAGTCAGCTGAAATTATCCCGTTTGCAACGAATTCCTCAGAGAGGTCCAAATATGCACTTGCAGATTCTGCAGAAAGTGTGTTTCTAAACTGCTCCATCGCAAGGAATGTTCAGCTCTGTGAGTTCAACTCAATCATCCCAAAGAATTTTCTGAGAAAGCTTCTGTCTAGATGTCATGTGAAGATATACCCGTTTCGAACGAAGGACACAGAGTGGTCCAAATATCCACTTGTAGATCCTGCAAAAAGAGTGTTTCAAACGTGAACTTTGAAAGGAAAGTTCAACTCTGGGATTTGAATGCAAACATCACAAAGAAGATTCTGAGACTGCTTCTGTATAGTTTTGATGTGAGGATGATTCCGTTTCCAACGAAATCTTCAAAGAGGTCTACATGTCCCCTTGCAGATGCCACAGAAAGAGAGTTTCAAAACTGCGCTCTCAAAAGGAGTGTTCAACTCCGTGAGTTGAATGCAGTCATCACAGAGAAGCTTCTGAGAATGCTTCTATCTACTATTTAGGTGAAGATATTTCCTTTTCCACCAAAAACCACAAAGCCCTCCAATCGTCCACTTGCAGATTCTAGAAAAAGAGTGTTTCATAGCTGCTCTTTCCAAAGGAAAGTTCAACTCTGGGAGTTGAATACAAACATCACCAAAAAGTTCCTGAGAATGCATCTGTCTAGTTTTTCTATGAAGCTATTCCCTTTACTACCATAGGCCTCAAAGCGCTCCAAATCTCCACTTGCACATTCCACAACAAGAGTGTTTCCAAACTGCTCTATCAATGGGAATGGTCAACTCTGTGAGGTGAATGCAATCATCACAAAGCAGTTTCTGAGAATGCTTCCGTTTAGTTAGGTGCAGTTATCCCGTTTCCAACGAAATCCTCAGAGAGGTCCAAATATCCACTTGTAGATTCTACAAAAAGTGTGTCTCAAACCTGCTCCATCCAAAGGAATGGTCAGCTCTGTGATTTAAACTCAATCATCACAAAGTATTTTCTGAGAATGCTTCTGTCTAGATTTTATGCGAAGATATACCCGTTTCGAACGAAGGCCACAGAGTGGTCCAAATAGCCACTTGCAGATCCTACAGAAAGAGTGTTTCAAACCTGAACTATCAAAGGAAGGTTCAACTCTGGGATTTGAATGCAAACATCACCAAGAAGTTTCTGAGAATGCTTCTGTTTAGTTTTTATGTGAAGATATTCCCGTTTCCAAAGACATCTTCGGAGAGGTCCACATATCCGCTTGCAGATTCCACAAAAAGAGAGTTTCAACACTGCTCTATCCATAGGAGGGTTCAACTCTGTGAGTTGAATGCAATCATCACAGAGAAGTTTCTGAGAAGGCTTATCTCTTCAGTTTTTATGTGACCATAATTCGTTTTCCACCACAGGCCTGAAAGCGCTCCAAATGTCCACTTGCAGACACTACGAAAAGCATGTTTCAGAACTACTCTATGAGAAGCAATGTGAAACTCTTGGAGTTGAACACAAACATCACAGAGAAGTTTCTGAGAATGCTTCTGTTTAGCTTTTCTGTGAAGATTCTCCCGTTTCCAACGAAATCTTCAAAGAGGTCCAAATATCCACTTGCAGATTCCACAGAAAGAGTGATTGGAAACTGCTCTTTGAAAAGGAACCTTCAACTCTGTGACTTGAATGCAATCATCACAAAGAAGTTTCTGACAATGCTTTCTATCTAGCTTTTACGGGAAGATAATTCCTTTTCCACCACAGGCCTCAAAGCCCTCCAAATGTCCACTTGCAGATTCTGGAAAAAGAGTGTTTCAAAGCTTCTCTCTCGAAAGGAAAGTTCAACTCTGTGAGTTGAATGCAAGCATCACAAAGAAGTTTCTGAGAATGCTACTGTCTAGCTTTTATATGAAGCTATTTCCTTTACTACCATAGGCCTCAAAGCGGTCCATATCTCCACTTGCAGATTCTACACAAAGAGAGTTTCCAAACTGCTCTGTCAAAGGGAATGTTCAACTCTGTGACTTGAATGCAATCATCACAAAGTAGTTTCTGAGAATGCTTCTGTTTAGTTCTGTGCGGTTTATCCCGTTTCCAACGAAATCCTCAGAGAGGCCTAAATATCCACTTGCACATTCTACAAATAGTGTGTTTCGAAACTGCTCCATCCAAAGGAATGTTCAGCTCTGTGAGTTAAACTCAGTCGTCACCAAGAGTTTTCTGTGAATGCTTCTGTTTTAGTTCTGTGCGGTTTATCCCGTTTCCAACGAAATCCTCAGAGAGGCCCAAATATCCACTTGCACATTCTACAAAGAGTGTGTTTCGAAACTGCTCCATCCAAAGGAATGTTCAGCTCTGTGATTTAAACTCAGTCGTCACCAAGAGTTTTCTGTGAATGCTTCTGTTTAGTTCTGTGCGGTTTATCCCGTTTCCAACGAAATCCTCAGAGAGGACCAAATATCCACTTGCAGTTTCTACAAAAAGAGTGTTTCAAAGCTGAACTATCAAAGAAAGGTTCAGCACTGTGAGTTGAATGCAAACATCACGAAGAGGGTTCTGAGAATGCTTCTGTCTTCTTTTTATAGGAAGTTATTTCCTTTACTACGGTAGGCCTCAAAGAAGTGCAATTATCCCCTTACAGTTTCTACAAAAAGAGTGTTTCAAACCTGAACTATCAAAGAAAGGTTCCACACTGTGAGTTGAATGCAGACATCACGAAGAAGGTTCTGAGAATGCTTCTGTTTAGTCAGCTGAAATTATCCCGTTTCCAACGAATTCCTCAGAGAGGTCCAAATATGCACTTGCAGATTCTGCAGAAAGTGTGTTTCTAAACTGCTACATCGCAAGGAATGTTCAGCTCTGTGAGTTCAACTCAATCATCGCAAAGAATTTTCTGAGAAAGCTTCTGTCTAGATGTCGTGTGAAGTTATACCCGTTTCGAACGAAGGACACAGAGTGGTCCAAATATCCACTTGTAGATCCTGCAAAAAGAGTGTTTCAAACGTGAACTTTGAAAGGAAAGTTCAACTCTGGGATTTGAATGCAAACATCACAAAGAAGATTCTGAGACTGCTTCTGTATAGTTTTTATGTGAAGATGATTCCGTTTCCAACGAAATCTTCAAAGAGGTCTACATGTCCCCTTGCAGATGCCACAGAAAGAGAGTTTCAAAACTGCGCTCTCAAAAGGAGTGTTCAACTCCGTGAGTTGAATGCAGTCATCACAGAGAAGCTTCTGAGAATGCTTCTATCTAGTATTTAGGTGAAGATATTTCCTTTTCCACCACAAACCACAAAGCCCTCCAAACGTCCACTTGCAGATTCTAGAAAAAGAGTGTTTCATAGCTGCTCTTTCCAAAGGAAAGTTCAACTCTGGGAGTTGAATACAAACATCACCAAAAAGTTCCTGAGAATGCATCTGTCTAGTTTTTCTATGAAGCTATTCCCTTTACTACCATAGGCCTCAAAGCGCTCCAAATCTCCACTTGCACATTCCACAACAAGAGTGTTTCCAAACTGCTCTATCAATAGGAATGTTCAACTCTGTGAGGTGAATGCAATCATCACAAAGCAGTTTCTGAGAATGCTTCCGTTTAGTTAGGTGCAGTTATCGCGTTTCCAACGAAATCCTCAGAGAGGTCCAAATATCCACTTGTAGATTCTACAAAAAGTGTGTCTCAAACCTGCTCCATCCAAAGGAATGTTCAGCTCTGTGAGTTAAACTCAATCATCACAAAGTATTTTCTGAGAATGCTTCTGTCTAGATTTTATGTGAAGATGTACCCGTTTCGAACGAAGGCCACAGAGTGGTCCAAATATCCACTTGCAGATCCTACAAAAAGAGTGATTCAAACCTGAACTATCACAGGAAGGTTCAACTCTGGGATTTGAATGCAAACATCACAAAGAAGTTTCTGAGAATGCTTCTGTTTAGTTTTTATGTGAAGACATTCCCGTTTCCAAAGACATCTTCGGAGAGGTCCACATATCCACTTGCAGATTCCACAAAAAGAGAGTTTCAACAATGCTCTATCCATAGGAGGGTTCAAATCTGTGAGTTGAATGCAATCATCACAGAGAAGTTTCTGAGAAGGCTTCTCTCCAGTTTTTATGGGACCATAATTGGTTTTCCACCACAGGCCTGAAAGCGCTCCAAATGTCCACTTGCAGACACTACGAAAAGCATGTTTCAGAACTACTCTATGAAAAGCAATGTGAAACTCTGGGAGTTGAACACAAACATCACAGAGAAGTTTCTGAGAATGCTTCTGTTTAGCTTTTCTGTGAAGATTCTCCCGTTTCCAACGAAATCTTCAAAGAGGTCCAAATATCCACTTGCAGATTCCACAGAAAGAGTGTTTGGAAACTGCTGTTTGTAAAGGAACCTTCATCTCTGTGAGTTGAATGCAATCGTCACAAAGAAGTTTCTGACAATGCTTCTATCTAGCTTTTACGGGAAGTTAATTCCTTTTCCACCACAGGCCTCAAAGCCCTCCAAATGTCCACTTGCAGATTCTGGAAAAAGAGTGTTTCAAAGCTTCTCTCTCGAAAGGAAAGTTCAACTCTGTGAGTTGAATGCAAGCATCACAAAGAAGTTTCTGAGAATGCTACTGTCTAGCTTTTATATGAAGCTATTTCCTTTACTACCATAGGCCTCAAAGCGGTCCATATCTCCACTTGCAGATTATACACAAAGAGAGTTTCCAAACTGCTCTGTCGAAGGGAATGTTCAACTCTGTGACTTGAATGCAATCATCACAAAGTAGTTTCTGAGAATGCTTCTGTTTAGTTCAGTGCGGTTTATCCCGTTTGCAACGAAATCCTCAGAGAGGCCCAAATATCCACTTGCAGATTCTACAAATAGTGTGTTTCGAAACTGCTCCATTCAAAGGAATCTTCAGCTCTGTGAGTTAAACTCAGTCGTCACCAAGAGTTTTCTGTGAATGCTTCTGTTTTAGTTCTGTGCGGGTTATCCCGTTTCCAACGAAATCCTCAGAGAGGTCCAAATATCTACTTGCAGTTTCTACAGAAAGACCGTTTCAAACCTGAACTATCAAAGAAAGCTTCAACACTGTGAGTTGAATGCAAACATCACGAAGAAGGTTCTGAGAATGCTTCTGTTTAGTTCTGTGCAGTTTATCCCGTTTCCAACGAAATCCTCAGAGAGGACCAAATATCCACTTGCAGTTTCTACAAAAAGAGTGTTTCAAAGCTGAACTATCAAAGAAAGGTTCAGCACTGTGAGTTGAATGCAAACATCACGAAGAGGGTTCTGAGAATGCTTCTGTCTTCTTTTTATAGGAAGTTATTTCCTTTACTACGGTACTCCTCAAAGGAGTGCAATTATCCCCTTGCAGTTTCTACAAAAAGAGTGTTTCAAACCTGAACTATCAAAGAAAGGTTCCACACTGTGAGTTGAATGCAGACATCACGAAGAAGGTTCTGAGAATGCTTCGGTTTAGTCAGCTGAAATTATCCCGTTTCCAACGAATTCCTCAGAGAGGTCCAAATATACACTTGCAGATTCTGCAGAAAGTGTGTTTCTAAACTGCTACATCGCAGGGAATGTTCAGCTCTGTGAGTTCAACTCAATCATCCCAAAGAATTTTCTGAGAAAGCTTCTGTCTAGATGTCGTGTGAAGATATACCCGTTTCGAACGAAGGACACAGAGTGGTCCAAATATCCACTTGTAGATCCTGCAAAAAGAGTGTTTCAAACGTGAACTTTGAAAGGAAAGTTCAAGTCTGGGATTTGAATGCAAACATCACAAAGAAGATTCTGAGACTGCTTCTGTATAGTTTTTATGTGAAGATGATTCCGTTTCCAACGAAATCTTCAAAGAGGTCTACATGTCCCCTTGCAGATGCCACAGAAAGAGAGTTTCAAAACTGCGCTCTCAAAAGGAGTGTTCAACTCCGTGAGTTGAATGCAGTCATCACAGAGAAGCTTCTGAGAATGCTTCTATCTAGTATTTAGGTGAAGATATTTCCTTTTCCACCACAAACCACAAAGCCCTCCAAACGTCCACTTGCAGATTCTAGAAAAAGAGTGTTTCATAGCTGCTCTTTCCAAAGGAAAGTTCAACTCTGGGAGTTGAATACAAACATCACCAAAAAGTTCCTGAGAATGCATCTGTCTAGTTTTTCTATGAAGCTATTCCCTTTACTACCATAGGCCTCAAAGCGCTCCAAATCTCCACTTGCACATTCCACAACAAGAGTGTTTCCAAACTGCTCTATCAATAGGAATGTTCAACTCTGTGAGGTGAATGCAATCATCACAAAGCAGTTTCTGAGAATGCTTCCGTTTAGTTAGGTGCAGTTATCCCGTTTCCAACGAAATCCTCAGAGAGGTCCAAATATCCACTTGTAGATTCTACAAAAAGTGTGTCTCAAACCTGCTCCATCCAAAGGAATGGTCAGCTCTGTGATTTAAACTCAATCATCACAAAGTATTTTCTGAGAATGCTTCTGTCTAGATTTTATGCGAAGATATACCCGTTTCGAACGAAGGCCACAGAGTGGTCCAAATAGCCACTTGCAGATCCTACAGAAAGAGTGTTTCAAACCTGAACTATCAAAGGAAGGTTCAACTCTGGGATTTGAATGCAAACATCACCAAGAAGTTTCTGAGAATGCTTCTGTTTAGTTTTTATGTGAAGATATTCCCGTTTCCAAAGACATCTTCGGAGAGGTCCACATATCCACTTGCAGATTCCACAAAAAGAGAGTTTCAACACTGCTCTATCCATAGGAGGGTTCAACTCTGTGAGTTGAATGCAATCATCACAGAGAAGTTTCTGAGAAGGCTTCTCTCCATTTTTATGTGACCATAATTCGTTTTCCACCACAGGCCTGAAAGCGCTCCAAATGTCCACTTGCAGACACTACGAAAAGCATGTTTCAGAACTACTCTATGAAAAGCAACGTGAAACTCTGGGAGTTGAACACAAACATCACAGAGAAGTTTCTGAGAATGCTTCTGTTTAGCTTTTCTGTGAAGATTATCCCGTTTCCAACGAAATCTTCAAAATAGTTCCAAATATCCACTTGCAGATTCCACAGAAAGAGTGATTGGAAACTGCTGTTTGAAAAGGAACCTTCAACTCTGTGAGTTGAATGCAATCATCACAAAGAAGTTTCTGACAATGCTTCCATCTAGCTTTTACGGGAAGATAATTCCTTTTCCACCACAGGCCTCAAAGCCCTGCAAATCTCCACTTGCACATTCTGGAGAAAGAGTGTTTCAAAGCTTCTCTCTCGAAAGGAAAGTTCAACTCTGTGAGTTGAATGCAAGCATCACAAAGAAGTTTCTGAGAATGCTACTGTCTAGCTTTTATATGAAGCTATTTCCTTTACTACCATAGGCCTCAAAGCGGTCCATATCTCCACTTGCAGATTCTACACAAAGAGAGTTTCCACACTGCTCTGTCAAAGGGAATGTTCAACTCTGTGACTTGAATGCAATCATCACAAAGTAGTTTCTGAGAATGCTTCTGTTTAGTTCTGTGCGGTTTATCCCGTTTCCAACGAAATCCTCAGAGAGGCCCAAATATCCACTTGCACATTCTACAAATAGTGTGTTTCGAAACTGCTCCATCCAAAGGAATGTTCAGCTCTGTGAGTTAAACTCAGTCGTCACCAAGAGTTTTCTGTGAATGCTTCTGTTTTAGTTCTGTGCGGTTTATCCCGTTTCCAACGAAATCCTCAGAGAGGTCCAAATATCTACTTGCAGTTTCTACAGAAAGACCGTTTCAAACCTGAACTATCAAAGAAAGGTTCAACACTGTGAGTTGAATGCAAACATCACGAAGAAAGTTCTGAGAATGCTTCTGTTTTTGTTCTGTGCGGTTTATTCCGTTTCCAACGAAATCCTCAGAGAGGACCAAATATCCACTTGCAGTTTCTACAAAAAGAGTGTTTTAAAGCTGCACTATCAAAGAAAGGTTCAGCACTGTGAGTTGAATGCAAACATCACGAAGAGGGCTCTGAGAAATCTTCTGTTTAGTTCTGTGCGGTTTATCCCGTTTCCAACGAAATCCTCAGAGAGGACCAAATATCCACTTGCAGTTTCTACAAGAAGAGTGTTTCAAAGCTGAACTATCAAAGAAAGGTTCAGCACTGTGAGTTGAATGCAAACATCACGAAGAGGGTTCTGAGAAATCTTCTGTCTTCTTTCTATAGGAAGTTATTTCCTTTACTACGGTAGGCCTCAAAGAAGTGCAATTATCCCCTTGCAGTTTCTACAAAAAGAGTGTTTCAAACCTGAACTATCAAAGAAAGGTTCCACACTGTGAGTTGAATGCAGACATCACGAAGAAGGTTCTGAGAATGCTTCTGTTTAGTCAGCTGAAATTATCCCGTTTCCAACGAATTCCTCAGAGAGGTCCAAATATGCACTTGCAGATTCTGCAGAAAGTGTGTTTCTAAACTGCTACATCGCAAGGAATGTTCAGCTCTGTGAGTTCCACTCAATCATCCCAAAGAATTTTCTGAGAAAGCTTCTGTCTAGATGTCGTGTGAAGATATACCCGTTTCGAACGAAGGACACAGAGTGGTCCAAATATCCACTTGTAGATCCTGCAAAAAGAGTGTTTCAAACGTGAACTTTGAAAGGAAAGTTCAACTCTGGGATTTGAATGCAAACATCACAAAGAAGATTCTGAGACTGCTTCTGTATAGTTTTTATGTGAAGATGATTCCGTTTCCAACGAAATCTTCAAAGAGGTCTACATGTCCCCTTGCAGATGCCACAGAAAGAGAGTTTCAAAACTGCGCTCTCAAAAGGAGTGTTCAACTCCGTGAGTTGAATGCAGTCATCACAGAGAAGCTTCTGAGAATGCTTCTATCTAGTATTTAGGTGAAGATATTTCCTTTTCCACCACAAACCACAAAGCCCTCCAAACGTCCACTTGCAGATTCTAGAAAAAGAGTGTTTCATAGCTGCTCTTTCCAAAGGAAAGTTCAACTCTGGGAGTTGAATACAAACATCACCAAAAAGTTCCTGAGAATGCATCTGTCTAGTTTTTCTATGAAGCTATTCCCTTTACTACCATAGACCTCAAAGCGCTCCAAATCTCCACTTGCACATTCCACAACAAGAGTGTTTCCAAACTGCTCTATCAATAGGAATGTTCAACTCTGTGAGGTGAATGCAATCATCACAAAGCAGTTTCTGAGAATGCTTCCGTTTAGTTAGGTGCAGTTATCCCGTTTCCAACGAAATCCTCAGAGAGGTCCAAATATCCACTTGTAGATTCTACAAAAAGTGTGTCTCAAACCTGCTCCATCCAAAGGAATGTTCAGCTCTGTGAGTTAAACTCAATCATCACAAAGTATTTTCTGAGAATGCTTCTGTCTAGATTTTATGCGAAGATGTACCCGTTTCGAACGAAGGCCACAGAGTGGTCCAAATATCCACTTGCAGATCCTACAAAAAGAGTGTTTCAAACCTGAACTATCAAAGGAAGGTTCAACTCTGGGATTTGAATGCAAACATCACCAAGAAGTTTCTGAGAATGCTTCTGTTTAGTTTTTATGTGAAGATATTCCCGTTTCCAAAGACAACTTCGGAGAGGTCCACATATCCACTTGCAGATTCCACAAAAAGAGAGTTTCAACACTTCTCTATCCATAGGAGGGTTCAACTCTGTGAGTTGAATGCAATCATCACAGAGAAGTTTCTGAGAAGGCTTCTCTCCAGTTTTTATGTGACCATAATTCGTTTTCCACCACAGGCCTGAAAGCGCTCCAAATGTCCACTTGCAGACACTACGAAAAGCACGTTTCAGAACTACTCTATGAAAAGCAATGTGAAACTCTGGGAGTTGAACACAAACATCACAGAGAAGTTTCTGAGAATGCTTCTGTTTAGCTTTTCTGTGAAGATTCTCCCGTTTCCAACGAAATCTTCAAAGAGGTCGAAATATCCACTTGCAGATTCCACAGAAAGAGTGATTGGAAACTGCTGTTTGAAAAGGAACCTTCAACTCGGTGAGTTGAATGCAATCATCACAAAGAAGTTTCTGACAATGCTTCTATCTAGCTTTTACGGGAAGATAATTCCTTTTCCACCACAGGCCTCAAAGCCCTCCAAATGTCCACTTGCAGATTCTGGAAAAAGAGTGTTTCAAAGCTTCTCTCTCGAAAGGAAAGTTCAACTCTGTGAGTTGAATGCAAGCATCACAAAGAAGTTTCTGAGAATGCTACTGTCTAGCTTTTATATGAAGCTATTTCCTTTACTACCATAGGCCTCAAAGCGGTCCATATCTCCACTTGCAGATTCTACACAAAGAGAGTTTCCAAACTGCTCTGTCAAAGGGAATGTTCAACTCTGTGACTTGAATGCAATCATCACAAAGTAGTTTCTGAGAATGCTTCTGTTTAGTTCTGTGCGGTTTATCCCGTTTCCAACGAAATCCTCAGAGAGGCCTAAATATCCACTTGCACATTCTACAAATAGTGTGTTTCGAAACTGCTCCATCCAAAGGAATGTTCAGCTCTGTGAGTTAAACTCAGTCGTCACCAAGAGTTTTCTGTGAATGCTTCTGTTTTAGTTCTGTGCGGGTTATCCCGTTTCCAACGAAATCCTCAGAGAGGTCCAAATATCTACTTGCAGTTTCTACAGAAAGACCGTTTCAAACCTGAACTATCAAAGAAAGGTTCAACACTGTGAGTTGAATGCAAACATCACGAAGAAGGTTCTGAGAATGCTTCTGTTTAGTTCTGTGCAGTTTATCCCGTTTCCAACGAAATGCTCAGAGAGGACCAAATATCCACTTGCAGTTTCTACAAAAAGAGTGTTTCAAAGCTGAACTATCAAAGAAAGGTTCAGCACTGTGAGTTGAATGCAAACATCACGAAGAGGGTTCTGAGAATGCTTCTGTCTTCTTTTTATAGGAAGTTATTTCCTTTACTACGGTACTCCTCAAAGAGTGCAATTATCCCCTTGCAGTTTCTACAAAAAGAGTGTTTCAAACCTGAACTATCAAAGAAAGGTTCCACACTGTGAGTTGAATGCAGACATCACGAAGAAGGTTCTGAGAATGCTTCTGTTTAGTCAGCTGAAATTATCCCGTTTCCAACGAATTCCTCACAGAGGTCCAAATATGCACTTGCAGATTCTGCAGAAAGTGTGTTTCTAAACTGCTACATCGCAAGGAATGCTCAGCTCTGTGAGTTCAACTCAATCATCCCAAAGAATTTTCTGAGAAAGCTTCTGTCTAGATGTCATGTGAAGATATACCCGTTTCGATCGAAGGACACAGAGTGGTCCAAATATCCACTTGTAGATCCTGCAAAAAGAGTGTTTCAAACGTGAACTTTGAAAGGAAAGTTCAACTCGGGGATTTGAATGCAAACATCACAAAGAAGATTCTGAGACTGCTTCTGTGTAGTTTTTATGTGAAGATGATTCCGTTTCCAACGAAATCTTCAAAGAGGTCTACATGTCCCCTTGCAGATGCCACAGAAAGAGAGTTTCAAAACTGCGCTCTCAAAAGGAGTGTTCAACTCCGTGAGTTGAATGCAGTCATCACAGAGAAGCTTCTGAGGATGCTTCTATCTAGTATTTAGGTGAAGATATTTCCTTTTCCACCACAAACCACAAAGCCCTCCAAACGTCCACTTGCAGATTCTAGAAAAACAGTGTTTCATAGCTGCTCTTTCCAAAGGAAAGTTCAACTCTGGGAGTTGAATACAAACATCACCAAAAAGTTCCTGAGAATGCATCTGTCTAGTTTTTCTATGAAGCTATTCCCTTTACTACCATAGGCCTCAAAGCGCTCCAAATCTCCACTTGCACATTCCACAACAAGAGTGTTTCCAAACTGCTCTATCAATAGGAATGTTCAACTCTGTGAGGTGAATGCAATCATCACAAAGCAGTTTCTGAGAATGCTTCCGTTTAGTTAGGTGCAGTTATCCCGTTTCCAACGAAATCCTCAGAGAGGTCCAAATATCCACTTGTAGATTCTACAAAAAGTGTGTCTCAAACCTGCTCCATCCAAAGGAATGTTCAGCTCTGTGATTAAAACTCAATCATCACAAAGTATTTTCTGAGAATGCTTCTGTCTAGATTTTATGCGAAGATATACCCGTTTCGAACGAAGGCCACAGAGTGGTCCAAATAGCCACTTGCAGATCCTACAAAAAGAGTGTTTCAAACCTGAACTATCAAAGGAAGGTTCAACTCTGGGATTTGAATGCAAACATCACCAAGAAGTTTCTGAGAATGCTTCTGTTTAGTTTTTATGTGAAGATATTCCCGTTTCCAAAGACATCTTCGGAGAGGTCCACATATCCACTTGCAGATTCCACAAAAAGAGAGTTTCAACACTGCTCTATCCATAGGAGGGTTCAACTCTGTGAGTTGAATGCAATCATCACAGAGAAGTTTCTGAGAAGGCTTCTCTCCAGTTTTTATGTGACCATAATTCGTTTTCCACCACAGGCCTGAAAGCGCTCCAAATGTCCACTTGCAGACACTACGAAAAGCATGTTTCAGAACTACTCTATGAAAAGCAACGTGAAACTCTGGGAGTTGAACACAAACATCACAGAGAAGTTTCTGAGAATGCTTCTGTTTTAGTTCTGTGCGTTTTATCCCGTTTCCAACGAAATCCTCAGAGAGGCCCAAATATCCACTTGCAGATTCCACAGAAAGAGTGATTGGAAACTGCTGTTTGAAAAGGAACCTTCAACTCTGTGAGTTGAATGCAATCATCACAAAGAAGTTTCTGACAATGCTTCTGTTTTAGTTCTGTGCGGTTTATCCCGTTTCCAACGAAATCCTCAGAGAGGACCAAACATCCACTTGCAGTTTCTACAAAAAGAGTGTTTCAAAGCTGCACTATCAAAGAAAGGTTCAGCACTGTGAGTTGAATGCAAACATCACGAAGAGGGCTCTGAGAATTCTTCTGTTTAGTTCTGTGCGGTTTATCCCGTTTCCAACGAAATCCTCAGAGAGGACCAAATATCCACTTGCAGTTTCTACAAGAAGAGTGTTTCAAAGCTGAACTATCAAAGAAAGGTTCAGCACTGTGAGTTGAATGCAAACATCACGAAGAGGGTTCTGAGAATGCTTCTGTCTTCTTTCTATAGGAAGTTATTTCCTTTACTACGGTAGGCCTCAAAGAAGTGCAATTATCCCCTTGCAGTTTCTACAAAAAGAGTGTTTCAAACCTGAACTATCAAAGAAAGGTTCCACACTGTGAGTTGAATGCAGACATCACGAAGAAGGTTCTGAGAATGCTTCTGTTTAGTCAGCTGAAATTATCCCGTTTCCAACGAATTCCTCAGAGAGGTCCAAATATGCACTTGCAGATTCTGCAGAAAGTGTGTTTCTAAACTGCTACATCGCAAGGAATGTTCAGCTCTGTGAGTTCCACTCAATCATCCCAAAGAATTTTCTGAGAAAGCTTCTGTCTAGATGTCGTGTGAAGATATACCCGTTTCGAACGAAGGACACAGAGTGGTCCAAATATCCACTTGTAGATCCTGCAAAAAGAGTGTTTCAAACGTGAACTTTGAAAGGAAAGTTCAACTCTGGGATTTGAATGCAAACATCACAAAGAAGATTCTGAGACTGCTTCTGTATAGTTTTTATGTGAAGATGATTCCGTTTCCAACGAAATCTTCAAAGAGGTCTACATGTCCCCTTGCAGATGCCACAGAAAGAGAGTTTCAAAACTGCGCTCTCAAAAGGAGTGTTCAACTCCGTGAGTTGAATGCAGTCATCACAGAGAAGCTTCTGAGAATGCTTCTATCTAGTATTTAGGTGAAGATATTTCCTTTTCCACCACAAACCACAAAGCCCTCCAAACGTCCACTTGCAGATTCTAGAAAAAGAGTGTTTCATAGCTGCTCTTTCCAAAGGAAAGTTCAACTCTGGGAGTTGAATACAAACATCACCAAAAAGTTCCTGAGAATGCATCTGTCTAGTTTTTCTATGAAGCTATTCCCTTTACTACCATAGGCCTCAAAGCGCTCCAAATCTCCACTTGCACATTCCACAACAAGAGTGTTTCCAAACTGCTCTATCAATAGGAATGTTCAACTCTGTGAGGTGAATGCAATCATCACAAAGCAGTTTCTGAGAATGCTTCCGTTTAGTTAGGTGCAGTTATCCCGTTTCCAACGAAATCCTCAGAGAGGTCCAAATATCCACTTGTAGATTCTACAAAAAGTGTGTCTCAAACCTGCTCCATCCAAAGGAATGGTCAGCTCTGTGATTTAAACTCAATCATCACAAAGTATTTTCTGAGAATGCTTCTGTCTAGATTTTATGCGAAGATATACCCGTTTCGAACGAAGGCCACAGAGTGGTCCAAATAGCCACTTGCAGATCCTACAGAAAGAGTGTTTCAAACCTGAACTATCAAAGGAAGGTTCAACTCTGGGATTTGAATGCAAACATCACCAAGAAGTTTCTGAGAATGCTTCTGTTTAGTTTTTATGTGAAGATATTCCCGTTTCCAAAGACATCTTCGGAGAGGTCCACATATCCACTTGCAGATTCCACAAAAAGAGAGTTTCAACACTGCTCTATCCATAGGAGGGTTCAACTCTGTGAGTTGAATGCAATCATCACAGAGAAGTTTCTGAGAAGGCTTCTCTCCAGTTTTTATGTGACCATAATTCGTTTTCCACCACAGGCCTGAAAGCGCTCCAAATGTCCACTTGCAGACACTACGAAAAGCATGTTTCAGAACTACTCTATGAAAAGCAACGTGAAACTCTGGGAGTTGAACACAAACATCACAGAGAAGTTTCTGAGAATGCTTCTGTTTTAGTTCTGTGCGTTTTATCCCGTTTCCAACGAAATCCTCAGAGAGGCCCAAATATCCACTTGCAGATTCCACAGAAAGAGTGATTGGAAACTGCTGTTTGAAAAGGAACCTTCAACTCTGTGAGTTGAATGCAATCATCACAAAGAAGTTTCTGACAATGCTTCTGTTTTAGTTCTGTGCGGTTTATCCCGTTTCCAACGAAATCCTCAGAGAGGACCAAACATCCACTTGCAGTTTCTACAAAAAGAGTGTTTCAAAGCTGCACTATCAAAGAAAGGTTCAGCACTGTGAGTTGAATGCAAACATCACGAAGAGGGCTCTGAGAATTCTTCTGTTTAGTTCTGTGCGGTTTATCCCGTTTCCAACGAAATCCTCAGAGAGGACCAAATATCCACTTGCAGTTTCTACAAGAAGAGTGTTTCAAAGCTGAACTATCAAAGAAAGGTTCAGCACTGTGAGTTGAATGCAAACATCACGAAGAGGGTTCTGAGAATGCTTCTGTCTTCTTTCTATAGGAAGTTATTTCCTTTACTACGGTAGGCCTCAAAGAAGTGCAATTATCCCCTTGCAGTTTCTACAAAAAGAGTGTTTCAAACCTGAACTATCAAAGAAAGGTTCCACACTGTGAGTTGAATGCAGACATCACGAAGAAGGTTCTGAGAATGCTTCTGTTTAGTCAGCTGAAATTATCCCGTTTCCAACGAATTCCTCAGAGAGGTCCAAATATGCACTTGCAGATTCTGCAGAAAGTGTGTTTCTAAACTGCTACATCGCAAGGAATGTTCAGCTCTGTGAGTTCCACTCAATCATCCCAAAGAATTTTCTGAGAAAGCTTCTGTCTAGATGTCGTGTGAAGATATACCCGTTTCGAACGAAGGACACAGAGTGGTCCAAATATCCACTTGTAGATCCTGCAAAAAGAGTGTTTCAAACGTGAACTTTGAAAGGAAAGTTCAACTCTGGGATTTGAATGCAAACATCACAAAGAAGATTCTGAGACTGCTTCTGTATAGTTTTTATGTGAAGATGATTCCGTTTCCAACGAAATCTTCAAAGAGGTCTACATGTCCCCTTGCAGATGCCACAGAAAGAGAGTTTCAAAACTGCGCTCTCAAAAGGAGTGTTCAACTCCGTGAGTTGAATGCAGTCATCACAGAGAAGCTTCTGAGAATGCTTCTATCTAGTATTTAGGTGAAGATATTTCCTTTTCCACCACAAACCACAAAGCCCTCCAAACGTCCACTTGCAGATTCTAGAAAAAGAGTGTTTCATAGCTGCTCTTTCCAAAGGAAAGTTCAACTCTGGGAGTTGAATACAAACATCACCAAAAAGTTCCTGAGAATGCATCTGTCTAGTTTTTCTATGAAGCTATTCCCTTTACTACCATAGGCCTCAAAGCGCTCCAAATCTCCACTTGCACATTCCACAACAAGAGTGTTTCCAAACTGCTCTATCAATAGGAATGTTCAACTCTGTGAGGTGAATGCAATCATCACAAAGCAGTTTCTGAGAATGCTTCCGTTTAGTTAGGTGCAGTTATCCCGTTTCCAACGAAATCCTCAGAGAGGTCCAAATATCCACTTGTAGATTCTACAAAAAGTGTGTCTCAAACCTGCTCCATCCAAAGGAATGGTCAGCTCTGTGATTTAAACTCAATCATCACAAAGTATTTTCTGAGAATGCTTCTGTCTAGATTTTATGCGAAGATATACCCGTTTCGAACGAAGGCCACAGAGTGGTCCAAATAGCCACTTGCAGATCCTACAGAAAGAGTGTTTCAAACCTGAACTATCAAAGGAAGGTTCAACTCTGGGATTTGAATGCAAACATCACCAAGAAGTTTCTGAGAATGCTTCTGTTTAGTTTTTATGTGAAGATATTCCCGTTTCCAAAGACATCTTCGGAGAGGTCCACATATCCACTTGCAGGTTCCACAAAAAGAGAGTTTCAACACTGCTCTATCCATAGGAGGGTTCAACTCTGTGAGTTGAATGCAATCATCACAGAGAAGTTTCTGAGAAGGCTTCTCTCCAGTTTTTATGTGACCATAATTCGTTTTCCACCACAGGCCTGAAAGCGCTCCAAATGTCCACTTGCAGACACTACGAAAAGCATGTTTCAGAACTACTCTATGAAAAGCAACGTGAAACTCTGGGAGTTGAACACAAACATCACAGAGAAGTTTCTGAGAATGCTTCTGTTTTAGTTCTGTGCGTTTTATCCCGTTTCCAACGAAATCCTCAGAGAGGCCCAAATATCCACTTGCAGATTCCACAGAAAGAGTGATTGGAAACTGCTGTTTGAAAAGGAACCTTCAACTCTGTGAGTTGAATGCAATCATCACAAAGAAGTTTCTGACAATGCTTCTGTTTTAGTTCTGTGCGGTTTATCCCGTTTCCAACGAAATCCTCAGAGAGGACCAAACATCCACTTGCAGTTTCTACAAAAAGAGTGTTTCAAAGCTGCACTATCAAAGAAAGGTTCAGCACTGTGAGTTGAATGCAAACATCACGAAGAGGGCTCTGAGAATTCTTCTGTTTAGTTCTGTGCGGTTTATCCCGTTTCCAACGAAATCCTCAGAGAGGACCAAATATCCACTTGCAGTTTCTACAAGAAGAGTGTTTCAAAGCTGAACTATCAAAGAAAGGTTCAGCACTGTGAGTTGAATGCAAACATCACGAAGAGGGTTCTGAGAATGCTTCTGTCTTCTTTCTATAGGAAGTTATTTCCTTTACTACGGTAGGCCTCAAAGAAGTGCAATTATCCCCTTGCAGTTTCTACAAAAAGAGTGTTTCAAACCTGAACTATCAAAGAAAGGTTCCACACTGTGAGTTGAATGCAGACATCACGAAGAAGGTTCTGAGAATGCTTCTGTTTAGTCAGCTGAAATTATCCCGTTGCCAACGAATTCCTCAGAGAGGTCCAAATATGCACTTGCAGATTCTGCAGAAAGTGTGTTTCTAAACTGCTACATCGCAAGGAATGTTCAGCTCTGTGAGTTCAACTCAATCATCCCAAAGAATTTTCTGAGAAAGCTTCTGTCTAGATGTCGTGTGAAGATATACCCGTTTCGAACGAAGGACACAGAGTGGTCCAAATATCCACTTGTAGATCCTGCAAAAAGAGTGTTTCAAACGTGAACTTTGAAAGGAAAGTTCAACTCTGGGATTTGAATGCAAACATCACAAAGAAGATTCTGAGATTGCTTCTGTATAGTTTTTATGTGAAGATGATTCCGTTTCCAACGAAATCTTCAAAGAGGTCCACATGTCCCCTTGCGGATGCCACAGAAAGAGAGTTTCAAAACTGCGCTCTCAAAAGGAGTGTTCAACTCCGTGAGTTGAATGCAGTCATCACAGAGAAGCTTCTGAGAATGCTTCTATCTAGTATTTAGGTGAAGATATTTCCTTTTCCACCACAAACCACAAAGCCCTCCAAACGTCCACTTGCAGATTCTAGAAAAAGAGTGTTTCATAGCTGCTCTTTCCAAAGGAAAGTTCAACTCTGGGAGTTGAATACAAACATCACCAAAAAGTTCCTGAGAATGCATCTGTCTAGTTTTTCTATGAAGCTATTCCCTTTACTACCATAGACCTCAAAGCGCTCCAAATCTCCACTTGCACATTCCACAACAAGAGTGTTTCCAAACTGCTCTATCAATAGGAATGTTCAACTCTGTGAGGTGAATGCAATCATCACAAAGCAGTTTCTGAGAATGCTTCCGTTTAGTTAGGTGCAGTTATCCCGTTTCCAACGAAATCCTCAGAGAGGTCCAAATATCCACTTGTAGATTCTACAAAAAGTGTGTCTCAAACCTGCTCCATCCAAAGGAATGGTCAGCTCTGTGATTTAAACTCAATCATCACAAAGTATTTTCTGAGAATGCTTCTGTCTAGATTTTATGCGAAGATATACCCGTTTCGAACGAAGGCCACAGAGTGGTCCAAATAGCCACTTGCAGATCCTACAAAAAGAGTGTTTCAAACCTGAACTATCAAAGGAAGGTTCAACTCTGGGATTTGAATGCAAACATCACCAAGAAGTTTCTGAGAATGCTTCCGTTTAGTTTTTATGTGAAGATATTCCCGTTTCCAAAGACATCTTCGGAGAGGTCCACATATCCACTTGCAGATTCCACAAAAAGAGAGTTTCAACACTGCTCTATCCATGGGAGGGTTCAACTCTGTGAGTTGAATGCAATCATCACAGAGAAGTTTCTGAGAAGGCTTCTCTCCAGTTTTTATGTGACCATAATTCGTTTTCCACCACAGGCCTGAAAGCGCTCCAAATGTCCACTTGCAGACACTACGAAAAGCATGTTTCCGAACTACTCTATGAGAAGCAATGTGAAACTCTGGGAGTTGAACACAAACATCACAGAGAAGTTTCTGAGAATGCCTCTGTTTAGCTTTTCTGTGAAGATTCTCCCGTTTCCAACGAAATGTTCAAAGAGGTCCAAATATCCACTTGCAGATTCCACAGAAAGAGTGATTGGAAACTGCTCTTTGAAAAGGAACCTTCAACTCTGTGACTTGAATGCAATCATCACAAAGAAGTTTCTGACAATGCTTCTATCTAGCTTTTACGGGAAGATAATTCCTTTTCCACCACAGGCCTCAAAGCCCTCCAAATGTCCACTTGCAGATTCTGGAAAAAGAGTGTTTCAAAGCTTCTCTCTCGAAAGGAAAGTTCAACTCTGTGAGTTGAATGCAAGCATCACAAAGAAGTTTCTGAGAATGCTACTGTCTAGCTTTTATATGAAGCTATTTCCTTTACTACCAATAGTCCTCAAAGCATTCCATACCTCCACTTGCAGATTCTACACAAAGAGAGTTTCCAAACTGCTCTGTCAAAGGGAATGTTCAGCTCTGTGACTTGAATGCAATCATCACAAAGTAGTTTCTGAGAATGCTTCTGTTTTAGTTCTGTGCGGTTTATCCCATTTCCATCGAAATCCTCAGAGAGGCCCAAATATCCACTTGCAGATTCTACAAATAGTGTGTTTCGAAACTGCTCCATCCAAAGGAATGTTCAGCTCTGTGAGTAAAACTCAGTCGTCACCAAGAGTTTTCTGTGAATGCTTCTGTTTAGTTCTGTGCGGTTTATCCCTTTTCCAACGAAATCCTCAGAGAGGACCAAGTATCCACTTGCAGTTTCTACAAAAAGAGTGTTTCAAAGCTGAACTATCAAAGAAAGTTTCAGCACTGTGAGTTGAATGCAAACATCACGAAGAGGGTTCTGAGAATGCTTCTGTCTTCTTTCTATAGGAAGTTATTTCCTTTACTACGGTAGGCCTCAAAGAAGTGCAATTATCCCCTTGCAGTTTCTACAAAAAGAGTGTTTCAAACCTGAACTATCAAAGAAAGGTTCCACACTGTGAGTTGAATGCAGACATCACGAAGAAGTTCTGAGAATGCTTCTGTTTAGTCAGCTGAAATTATCCCGTTTCCAACGAATTCCTCAGAGAGGTCCAAATATGCACTTGCAGATTCTGCAGAAAGTGTGTTTCTAAACTGCTACATCGCAAGGAATGTTCAGCTCTGTGAGTTCCACTCAATCATCCCAAAGAATTTTCTGAGAAAGCTTCTGTCTAGATGTCGTGTGAAGATATACCCGTTTCGAACGAAGGACACAGAGTGGTCCAAATATCCACTTGTAGATCCTGCAAAAAGAGTGTTTCAAACGTGAACTTTGAAAGGAAAGTTCAACTCTGGGATTTGAATGCAAACATCACAAAGAAGATTCTGAGACTGCTTCTGTATAGTTTTTATGTGAAGATGATTCCGTTTCCAACGAAATCTTCAAAGAGGTCTACATGTCCCCTTGCAGATGCCACAGAAAGAGAGTTTCAAAACTGCGCTCTCAAAAGGAGTGTTCAACTCCGTGAGTTGAATGCAGTCATCACAGAGAAGCTTCTGAGAATGCTTCTGTCTAGTATTTAGGTGAAGATATTTCCTTTTCCACCACAAACCACAAAGCCCTCCAAACGTCCACTTGCAGATTCTAGAAAAAGAGTGTTTCATAGCTGCTCTTTCCAAAGGAAAGTTCAACTCTGGGAGTTGAATACAAACATCACCAAAAAGTTCCTGAGAATGCATCTGTCTAGTTTTTCTATGAAGCTATTCCCTTTACTACCATAGGCCTCAAAGCGCTCCAAATCTCCACTTGCACATTCCACAACAAGAGTGTTTCCAAACTGCTCTATCAATAGGAATGTTCAACTCTGTGAGGTGAATGCAATCATCACAAAGCAGTTTCTGAGAATGCTTCCGTTTAGTTAGGTGCAGTTATCCCGTTTCCAACGAAATCCTCAGAGAGGTCCAAATATCCACTTGTAGATTCTACAAAAAGTGTGTCTCAAACCTGCTCCATCCAAAGGAATGGTCAGCTCTGTGATTTAAACTCAATCATCACAAAGTATTTTCTGAGAATGCTTCTGTCTAGATTTTATGCGAAGATATACCCGTTTCGAACGAAGGCCACAGAGTGGTCCAAATAGCCACTTGCAGATCCTACAGAAAGAGTGTTTCAAACCTGAACTATCAAAGGAAGGTTCAACTCTGGGATTTGAATGCAAACATCACCAAGAAGTTTCTGAGAATGCTTCTGTTTAGTTTTTATGTGAAGATATTCCCGTTTCCAAAGACATCTTCGGAGAGGTCCACATATCCACTTGCAGATTCCACAAAAAGAGAGTTTCAACACTGCTCTATCCATAGGAGGGTTCAACTCTGTGAGTTGAATGCAATCATCACAGAGAAGTTTCTGAGAAGGCTTCTCTCCAGTTTTTATGTGACCATAATTCGTTTTCCACCACAGGCCTGAAAGCGCTCCAAATGTCCACTTGCAGACACTACGAAAAGCATGTTTCAGAACTACTCTATGAAAAGCAACGTGAAACTCTGGGAGTTGAACACAAACATCACAGAGAAGTTTCTGAGAATGCTTCTGTTTTAGTTCTGTGCGTTTTATCCCGTTTCCAACGAAATCCTCAGAGAGGCCCAAATATCCACTTGCAGATTCCACAGAAAGAGTGATTGGAAACTGCTGTTTGAAAAGGAACCTTCAACTCTGTGAGTTGAATGCAATCATCACAAAGAAGTTTCTGACAATGCTTCTGTTTTAGTTCTGTGCGGTTTATCCCGTTTCCAACGAAATCCTCAGAGAGGACCAAACATCCACTTGCAGTTTCTACAAAAAGAGTGTTTCAAAGCTGCACTATCAAAGAAAGGTTCAGCACTGTGAGTTGAATGCAAACATCACGAAGAGGGCTCTGAGAATTCTTCTGTTTAGTTCTGTGCGGTTTATCCCGTTTCCAACGAAATCCTCAGAGAGGACCAAATATCCACTTGCAGTTTCTACAAGAAGAGTGTTTCAAAGCTGAACTATCAAAGAAAGGTTCAGCACTGTGAGTTGAATGCAAACATCACGAAGAGGGTTCTGAGAATGCTTCTGTCTTCTTTCTATAGGAAGTTATTTCCTTTACTACGGTAGGCCTCAAAGAAGTGCAATTATCCCCTTGCAGTTTCTACAAAAAGAGTGTTTCAAACCTGAACTATCAAAGAAAGGTTCCACACTGTGAGTTGAATGCAGACATCACGAAGAAGGTTCTGAGAATGCTTCTGTTTAGTCAGCTGAAATTATCCCGTTTCCAACGAATTCCTCAGAGAGGTCCAAATATGCACTTGCAGATTCTGCAGAAAGTGTGTTTCTAAACTGCTCCATCGCAAGGAATGTTCAGCTCTGTGAGTTCCACTCAATCATCCCAAAGAATTTTCTGAGAAAGCTTCTGTCTAGATGTCGTGTGAAGATATACCCGTTTCGAACGAAGGACACAGAGTGGTCCAAATATCCACTTGTAGATCCTGCAAAAAGAGTGTTTCAAACGTGAACTTTGAAAGGAAAGTTCAACTCTGGGATTTGAATGCAAACATCACAAAGAAGATTCTGAGACTGCTTCTGTATAGTTTTTATGTGAAGATGATTCCGTTTCCAACGAAATCTTCAAAGAGGTCTACATGTCCCCTTGCAGATGCCACAGAAAGAGAGTTTCAAAACTGCGCTCTCAAAAGGAGTGTTCAACTCCGTGAGTTGAATGCAGTCATCACAGAGAAGCTTCTGAGAATGCTTCTATCTAGTATTTAGGTGAAGATATTTCCTTTTCCACCACAAACCACAAAGCCCTCCAAACGTCCACTTGCAGATTCTAGAAAAAGAGTGTTTCATAGCTGCTCTTTCCAAAGGAAAGTTCAACTCTGGGAGTTGAATACAAACATCACCAAAAGGTTCCTGAGAATGCATCTGTCTAGTTTTTCTATGAAGCTATTCCCTTTACTACCATAGGCCTCAAAGCGCTCCAAATCTCCACTTGCACATTCCACAACAAGAGTGTTTCCAAACTGCTCTATCAATAGGAATGTTCAACTCTGTGAGGTGAATGCAATCATCACAAAGCAGTTTCTGAGAATGCTTCCGTTTAGTTAGGTGCAGTTATCCCGTTTCCAACGAAATCCTCAGAGAGGTCCAAATATCCACTTGTAGATTCTACAAAAAGTGTGTCTCAAACCTGCTCCATCCAAAGGAATGGTCAGCTCTGTGATTTAAACTCAATCATCACAAAGTATTTTCTGAGAATGCTTCTGTCTAGATTTTATGCGAAGATATACCCGTTTCGAACGAAGGCCACAGAGTGGTCCAAATAGCCACTTGCAGATCCTACAAAAAGAGTGTTTCAAACCTGAACTATCAAATGAAGGTTCAACTCTGGGATTTGAATGCAAACATCACCAAGAAGTTTCTGAGAATGCTTCTGTTTAGTTTTTATGTGAAGATATTCCCGTTTCCAAAGACATCTTCGGAGAGATCCACATATCCACTTGCAGATTCCACAAAAAGAGAGTTTCAACACTGCTCTATCCATAGGAGGGTTCAACTCTGTGAGTTGAATGCAATCATCACAGAGAAGTTTCTGAGAAGGCTTCTCTCCAGTTTTTTTGTGACCATAATTCGTTTTCCACCACAGGCCTGAAAGCGCTCCAAATGTCCACTTGCAGACACTACGAAAAGCATGTTTCAGAACTACTCTATGAAAAGCAACGTGAAACTCTGGGAGTTGAACACAAACATCACAGAGAAGTTTCTGAGAATGCTTCTGTTTTAGTTCTGTGCGTTTTATCCCGTTTCCAACGAAATCCTCAGAGAGGCCCAAATATCCACTTGCAGATTCCACAGAAAGAGTGATTGGAAACTGCTGTTTGAAAAGGAACCTTCAACTCTGTGAGTTGAATGCAATCATCACAAAGAAGTTTCTGACAATGCTTCTGTTTTAGTTCTGTGCGGTTTATCCCGTTTCCAACGAAATCCTCAGAGAGGACCAAACATCCACTTGCAGTTTCTACAAAAAGAGTGTTTCAAAGCTGCACTATCAAAGAAAGGTTCAGCACTGTGAGTTGAATGCAAACATCACGAAGAGGGCTCTGAGAATTCTTCTGTTTAGTTCTGTGCGGTTTATCCCGTTTCCAACGAAATCCTCAGAGAGGACCAAATATCCACTTGCAGTTTCTACAAGAAGAGTGTTTCAAAGCTGAACTATCAAAGAAAGGTTCAGCACTGTGAGTTGAATGCAAACATCACGAAGAGGGTTCTGAGAATGCTTCTGTCTTCTTTCTATAGGAAGTTATTTCCTTTACTACGGTAGGCCTCAAAGAAGTGCAATTATCCCCTTGCAGTTTCTACAAAAAGAGTGTTTCAAACCTGAACTATCAAAGAAAGGTTCCACACTGTGAGTTGAATGCAGACATCACGAAGAAGGTTCTGAGAATGCTTCTGTTTAGTCAGCTGAAATTATCCCGTTTCCAACGAATTCCTCAGAGAGGTCCAAATATGCACTTGCAGATTCTGCAGAAAGTGTGTTTCTAAACTGCTACATCGCAAGGAATGTTCAGCTCTGTGAGTTCCACTCAATCATCCCAAAGAATTTTCTGAGAAAGCTTCTGTCTAGATGTCGTGTGAAGATATACCCGTTTCGAACGAAGGACACAGAGTGGTCCAAATATCCACTTGTAGATCCTGCAAAAAGAGTGTTTCAAACGTGAACTTTGAAAGGAAAGTTCAACTCTGGGATTTGAATGCAAACATCACAAAGAAGATTCTGAGACTGCTTCTGTATAGTTTTTATGTGAAGATGATTCCGTTTCCAACGAAATCTTCAAAGAGGTCTACATGTCCCCTTGCAGATGCCACAGAAAGAGAGTTTCAAAACTGCGCTCTCAAAAGGAGTGTTCAACTCCGTGAGTTGAATGCAGTCATCACAGAGAAGCTTCTGAGAATGCTTCTATCTAGTATTTAGGTGAAGATATTTCCTTTTCCACCACAAACCACAAAGCCCTCCAAACGTCCACTTGCAGATTCTAGAAAAAGAGTGTTTCATAGCTGCTCTTTCCAAAGGAAAGTTCAACTCTGGGAGTTGAATACAAACATCACCAAAAAGTTCCTGAGAATGCATCTGTCTAGTTTTTCTATGAAGCTATTCCCTTTACTACCACAGGCCTCAAAGCGCTCCAAATCTCCACTTGCACATTCCACAACAAGAGTGTTTCCAAACTGCTCTATCAATAGGAATGTTCAACTCTGTGAGGTGAATGCAATCATCACAAAGCAGTTTCTGAGAATGCTTCCGTTTAGTTAGGTGCAGTTATCCCGTTTCCAACGAAATCCTCAGAGAGGTCCAAATATCCACTTGTAGATTCTACAAAAAGTGTGTCTCAAACCTGCTCCATCCAAAGGAATGGTCAGCTCTGTGATTTAAACTCAATCATCACAAAGTATTTTCTGAGAATGCTTCTGTCTAGATTTTATGCGAAGATATACCCGTTTCGAACGAAGGCCACAGAGTGGTCCAAATAGCCACTTGCAGATCCTACAGAAAGAGTGTTTCAAACCTGAACTATCAAAGGAAGGTTCAACTCTGGGATTTGAATGCAAACATCACCAAGAAGTTTCTGAGAATGCTTCTGTTTAGTTTTTATGTGAAGATATTCCCGTTTCCAAAGACATCTTCGGAGAGGTCCACATATCCACTTGCAGATTCCACAAAAAGAGAGTTTCAACACTGCTCTATCCATAGGAGGGTTCAACTCTGTGAGTTGAATGCAATCATCACAGAGAAGTTTCTGAGAAGGCTTCTCTCCAGTTTTTATGTGACCATAATTCGTTTTCCACCACAGGCCTGAAAGCGCTCCAAATGTCCACTTGCAGACACTACGAAAAGCATGTTTCAGAACTACTCTATGAAAAGCAACGTGAAACTCTGGGAGTTGAACACAAACATCACAGAGAAGTTTCTGAGAATGCTTCTGTTTAGCTTTTCTGTGAAGATTCTCCCGTTTCCAAAGAAATCTTCAAAGAGGTCGAAATATCCACTTGCAGATTCCACAGAAAGAGTGATTGGAAACTGCTGTTTGAAAAGGAACCTTCAACTCTGTGAGTTGAATGCAATCATCACAAAGAAGTTTCTGACAATGCTTCTATCTAGCTTTTACGGGAAGATAATTCCTTTTCCACCACAGGCCTCAAAGCTCCCCAAATGTCCACTTGCACATTCTGGAAAAAGAGTGTTTCAAAGCTTCTCTCTCGAAAGGAAAGTTCAACTCTGTGAGTTGAATGCAAGCATCACAAAGAAGTTTCTGAGAATGCTAATGTCTAGCTTTTATATGAAGCTATTTCCTTTACTACCATAGGCCTCAAAGCGGTCCATATCTCCACTTGCAGATTCTACACAAAGAGAGTTTCCAAACTGCTCTGTCAAAGGGAATGTTCAACTCTGTGACTTGAATGCAATCATCACAAAGTAGTTTCTGAGAATGCTTCTGTTTTAGTTCTGTGCGTTTTATCCCGTTTCCAACGAAATCCTCAGAGAGGCCCAAATATCCACTTGCAGATTCTACAAATAGTGTGTTTCGAAACTGCTCCATCCAAAGGAATGTTCAGCTCTGTGAGTTAAACTCAGTCGTCACCAAGAGTTTTCTGTGAATGCTTCTGTTTTAGTTCTGTGCGGTTTATCCCGTTTCCAATGAAATCCTCAGAGAGGTCCAAATATCTACTTGCAGTTTCTACAGAAAGACCGTTTCCAACCTGAACTATCAAAGAAAGGTTCAACACTGTGAGTTGAATGCAAACATCACGAAGAAGGTTCTGAGAATGCTTCTGTTTAGTTCTGTGCGGTTTATCCCGTTTCCAACGAAATCCTCAGAGAGCACCAAATATCCACTTGCAGTTTCTACAAAAAGAGTGTTTCAAAGCTGAACTATCAAAGAAAGGTTCAGCACCGTGAGTTGAATGCAAACATCACGAAGAGGGTTCTGAGAATGCTTCTGTCTTCTTTTTATAGGAAGTTATTTCCTTTACTACGGTAGGCCTCAAAGAAGTGCAATGATCCCCTTGCAGTCTCTACAAAAAGAGTGTTTCAAACCTGAACTATCAAAGAAAGGTTCCACACTGTGAGTTGAATGCAGACATCACGAAGAAGGTTCTGAGAATGCTTCTGTTTAGTCAGCTGAAATTATCCCGTTTCCAACGAATTCCTCAGAGAGGTCCACATATGCACTTGCAGATTCTGCAGAAAGGGTGTTTCTAAACTGCTACATCGCAAGGAGTGTTCAGCTCTGTTTGCTCAACTCAATCATCCCAAAGAATTTTCTGAGAAAGCTTCTGTCTAGATGTCATGTGAAGATATACCCGTTTCGAACGAAGGACACAGAGTGGTCCAAATATCCACTTGTAGATCCTGCAAAAAGAGTGTTTCAAACGTGAACTTTGAAAGGAAAGTTCAACTCCTGGGATTTGAATGCAAACATCACAAAGAAGATGCTGAGACTGCTTCTGTATAGTTTTTATGTGAAGATGATTCCGTTTCCAACGAAATCTTCAAAGAGGTCTGCATGTCCCCTTGCAGATGCCACAGAAAGAGAGTTTCAAAACTGCGCTCTCAAAAGGAGTGTTCAACTCCGTGAGGTTGAATGCAGTCATCACAGAGAAGCTTCTGAGAATGCTTCTATCTAGTATTTAGGTGAAGATATTTCCTTTTCCTCCACAAACCACAAAGCCCTCCAAAAGTCCACTTGCAGATTCTAGAAAAAGAGTGTTTCATAGCTGCTCTTTCCAAAGGAAAGTTCAACTCTGGGAGTTGAATACAAACATCACCAAAAAGTTCCTGAGAATGCATCTGTCTAGTTTTTCTATTAAGCTATTCCCTTTACTACCATAGGCCTCAAAGCGCTCCAAATCTCCACTTGCACATTCCACAACAAGAGTGTTTCCAAACTGCTCTATCAATAGGAATGTTCAACTCTGTGAGGTGAATGCAATCATCACAAAGCAGTTTCTGAGAATGCTTCCGTTTAGTTAGGTGCAGTTATCCCGTTTCCAACGAAATCCTCAGAGAGGTCCAAATATCCACTTGTAGATTCTACAAAAAGTGTGTCTCAAACCTGCTCCATCCAAAGGAATGTTCAGCTCTGTGATTTTAACTCAATCATCACAAAGTATTTTCTGAGAATGCTTCTGTCTAGATTTTATGCGAAGATATACCCGTTTCGAACGAAGGCCACAGAGTGGTCCAAATATCCACTTGCAGATCCTACAAAAAGAGTGTTTCAAACCTGAACTCTCAAAGGAAGGTTCGACTCTGGGATTTGAATGCAAACATCACCAAGAAGTTTCTGAGAATGCTTCTGTTTAGTTTTTATGTGAAGATATTCCCGTTTCCAAAGACATCTTCGGAGAGGTCCACATATCCACTTGCAGATTCCACAAAAAGAGAGTTTCAACACTGCTCTATCCATAGGAGGGTTCAACTCTGTGAGTTGAATGCAATCATCACAGAGAAGTTTCTGAGAAGGCTTCTCTCCAGTTTTTATGTGACCATAATTCGTTTTCCACCACAGGCCTGAAAGCGCTCCAAATGTCCACTTGTAGACACTACGAAAAGCATGTTTCAGAACTACTCTATGAAAAGCAATGTGAAACTCTGGGAGTTGAACACAAACATCACAGAGAAGTTTCTGAGAATGCTTCTGTTTAGCTTTCCTGTGAAGATTCTCCCGTTTCCAACGAAATCTTCAAAATAGGTCCAAATATCCACTTGCAGATTCCACAGAAAGAGTGATTGGAAACTGCTCTTTGAAAAGGAACCTTCAACTCTGTGAGTTGAATGCAATCATCACAAAGAAGTTTCTGACAATGCTTCTATCTAGCTTTTACGGGAAGATAATTCCTTTTCCACCACAGGCCTCAAAGCCCTCCAAATGTCCACTTGCAGATTCTGGAAAAAGAGTGTTTCAAAGCTTCTCTCTCGAAAGGAAAGTTCAACTCTGTGAGTTGAATGCAAGCATCACAAAGAAGTTTCTGAGAATGCTACTGTCTAGCTTTTATATGAAGCTATTTCCTTTACTACCATAGGCCTCAAAGCGGTCCATATCTCCACTTGCAGATTCTACACAAAGAGAGTTTCCAAACTGCTCTGTCAAAGGGAATGTTCAACTCTGTGACTTGAATGCAATCATCACAAAGTAGTTTCTGAGAATGCTTCTGTTTAGTTCTGTGCGGTTTATCCCGTTTCCAACGAAATCCTCAGAGAGGCCCAAATATCCACTTGCACATTCTACAAATAGTGTGTTTCGAAACTGCTCCATCCAAAGGAATGTTCAGCTCTGTGAGTTAAACTCAGTCGTCACCAAGAGTTTTCTGTGAATGCTTCTGTTTTAGTTCTGTGCGGGTTATCCCGTTTCCAACGAAATCCTCAGAGAGGTCCAAATATCTACTTGCAGTTTCTACAGAAAGACCGTTTCAAACCTGAACTATCAAAGAAAGGTTCAACACTGTGAGTTGAATGCAAACATCACGAAGAAGGTTCTGAGAATGCTTCTGTTTTAGTTCTGTGCGGTTTATCCAGTTTCCAACGAAATCCTCAGAGAGGTCCAAATATCCACTTGCAGTTTCTAGAAAAAGAGTGTTTCAAAGCTGCACTATCAAAGAAAGGTTCAGCACTGTGAGTTGAATGCAAACATCACGAAGAGGGCTCTGAGAATGCTTCTGTCTTCTTTTTATAGGAAGTTATCTCCTTTACTACAGTAGGCCTCAAAGAAGTGCAATGATCCCCTTGCAGTTTCTACAAAAAGAGTGTTTCAAACCTGAACTATCAAAGAAAGGTTCCACACTTTGAGTTGAATGCAGACATCACGAAGAAGGTTCTGAGAATGCTTCTGTTTAGTCAGCTGAAATTATCCCGTTTCCAACGAATTCCTCACAGAGGTCCAAATATGCACTTGCAGATTCTGCAGAAAGTGTGTTTCTAAACTGCTACATCACAAGGAATGCTCAGCTGCTGTGAGTTCAACTCAATCATCCCAAAGAATTTTCTGAGAAAGCTTCTGTCTAGATGTCATGTGAAGATATAACCGTTTCGAACGAAGGACACAGAGTGGTCCAAATATCCACTTGTAGATCCTGCAAAAAGAGTGTTTCAAACGTGAACTTTGAAAGGAAAGTTCAACTCGGGGATTTGAATGCAAACATCACAAAGAAGATTCTGAGACTGCTTCTGTATAGTTTTTATGTGAAGATGATTCCGTTTCCAACGAAATCTTCAAAGAGGTCTACATGTCCCCTTGCAGATGCCACAGAAAGAGAGTTTCAAAACTACGCTCTCAAAAGGAGTGTTCAACTCCGTGAGTTGAATGCAGTCATCACAGAGAAGCTTCTGAGAATGCTTCTATCTAGTATTTAGGTGAAGATATTTCCTTTTCCACCACAAACCACAAAGCCCTCCAAACGTCCACTTGCAGATTCTAGAAAAAGAGTGTTTCATAGCTGCTCTTTCCAAAGGAAAGTTCAACTCTGGGAGTTGAATACAAACATCACCAAAAAGTTCCTGAGAATGCATCTGTCTAGTTTTTCTATGAAGCTATTCCCTTTACTACCACAGGCCTCAAAGCGCTCCAAATCTCCACTTGCACATTCCACAACAAGAGTGTTTCCAAACTGCTCTATCAATAGGAATGTTCAACTCTGTGAGGTGAATGCAATCATCACAAAGCAGTTTCTGAGAATGCTTCCGTTTAGTTAGGTGCAGTTATCCCGTTTCCAACGAAATCCTCAGAGAGGTCCAAATATCCACTTGTAGATTCTACAAAAAGTGTGTCTCAAACCTGCTCCATCCAAAGGAATGGTCAGCTCTGTGATTTAAACTCAATCATCACAAAGTATTTTCTGAGAATGCTTCTGTCTAGATTTTATGCGAAGATATACCCGTTTCGAACGAAGGCCACAGAGTGGTCCAAATAGCCACTTGCAGATCCTACAGAAAGAGTGTTTCAAACCTGAACTATCAAAGGAAGGTTCAACTCTGGGATTTGAATGCAAACATCACCAAGAAGTTTCTGAGAATGCTTCTGTTTAGTTTTTATGTGAAGATATTCCCGTTTCCAAAGACATCTTCGGAGAGGTCCACATATCCACTTGCAGATTCCACAAAAAGAGAGTTTCAACACTGCTCTACCCATAGGAGGGTTCAACTCTGTGAGTTGAATGCAATCATCACAGAGAAGTTTCTGAGAAGGCTTCTCTCCAGTTTTTATGTGACCATAATTCGTTTTCCACCACAGGCCTGAAAGCGCTCCAAATGTCCACTTGCAGACACTACGAAAAGCATGTTTCAGAACTACTCTATGAAAAGCAACGTGAAACTCTGGGAGTTGAACACAAACATCACAGAGAAGTTTCTGAGAATGCTTCTGTTTTAGTTCTGTGCGTTTTATCCCGTTTCCAACGAAATCCTCAGAGAGGCCCAAATATCCACTTGCAGATTCCACAGAAAGAGTGATTGGAAACTGCTGTTTGAAAAGGAACCTTCAACTCTGTGAGTTGAATGCAATCATCACAAAGAAGTTTCTGACAATGCTTCTGTTTTAGTTCTGTGCGGTTTATCCCGTTTCCAACGAAATCCTCAGAGAGGACCAAACATCCACTTGCAGTTTCTACAAAAAGAGTGTTTCAAAGCTGCACTATCAAAGAAAGGTTCAGCACTGTGAGTTGAATGCAAACATCACGAAGAGGGCTCTGAGAATTCTTCTGTTTAGTTCTGTGCGGTTTATCCCGTTTCCAACGAAATCCTCAGAGAGGACCAAATATCCACTTGCAGTTTCTACAAGAAGAGTGTTTCAAAGCTGAACTATCAAAGAAAGGTTCAGCACTGAGAGTTGAATGCAAACATCACGAAGAGGGTTCTGAGAATGCTTCTGTCTTCTTTCTATAGGAAGTTATTTCCTTTACTGCGGTAGGCCTCAAAGAAGTGCAATTATCCCCTTGCAGTTTCTACAAAAAGAGTGTTTCAAACCTGAACTATCAAAGAAAGGTTCCACACTGTGAGTTGAATGCAGACACCACGAAGAAGGTTCTGAGAATGCTCTGTTTAGTCAGCTGAAATTATCCCGTTTCCAACGAATTCCTCAGAGAGGTCCAAATATGCACTTGCAGATTCTGCAGAAAGTGTGTTTCTAAACTGCTACATCGCAAGGAATGTTCAGCTCTGTGAGTTCCACTCAATCATCCCAAAGAATTTTCTGAGAAAGCTTCTGTCTAGATGTCGTGTGAAGATATACCCGTTTCGAACGAAGGACACAGAGTGGTCCAAATATCCACTTGTAGATCCTGCAAAAAGAGTGTTTCAAACGTGAACTTTGAAAGGAAAGTTCAACTCTGGGATTTGAATGCAAACATCACAAAGAAGATTCTGAGACTGCTTCTGTATAGTTTTTATGTGAAGATGATTCCGTTTCCAACGAAATCTTCAAAGAGGTCTACATGTCCCCTTGCAGATGCCACAGAAAGAGAGTTTCAAAACTGCGCTCTCAAAAGGAGTGTTCAACTCCGTGAGTTGAATGCAGTCATCACAGAGAAGCTTCTGAGAATGCTTCTATCTAGTATTTAGGTGAAGATATTTCCTTTTCCACCACAAACCACAAAGCCCTCCAAACGTCCACTTGCAGATTCTAGAAAAAGAGTGTTTCATAGCTGCTCTTTCCAAAGGAAAGTTCAACTCTGGGAGTTGAATACAAACATCACCAAAAGGTTCCTGAGAATGCATCTGTCTAGTTTTTCTATGAAGCTATTCCCTTTACTACCATAGGCCTCAAAGCGCTCCAAATCTCCACTTGCACATTCCACAACAAGAGTGTTTCCAAACTGCTCTATCAATAGGAATGTTCAACTCTGTGAGGTGAATGCAATCATCACAAAGCAGTTTCTGAGAATGCTTCCGTTTAGTTAGGTGCAGTTATCCCGTTTCCAACGAAATCCTCAGAGAGGTCCAAATATCCACTTGTAGATTCTACAAAAAGTGTGTCTCAAACCTGCTCCATCCAAAGGAATGGTCAGCTCTGTGATTTAAACTCAATCATCACAAAGTATTTTCTGAGAATGCTTCTGTCTAGATTTTATGCGAAGATATACCCGTTTCGAACGAAGGCCACAGAGTGGTCCAAATAGCCACTTGCAGATCCTACAGAAAGAGTGTTTCAAACCTGAACTATCAAAGGAAGGTTCAACTCTGGGATTTGAATGCAAACATCACCAAGAAGTTTCTGAGAATGCTTCTGTTTAGTTTTTATGTGAAGATATTCCCGTTTCCAAAGACATCTTCGGAGAGGTCCACATATCCACTTGCAGATTCCACAAAAAGAGTTTCAACACTGCTCTATCCATAGGAGGGTTCAACTCTGTGAGTTGAATGCAATCATCACAGAGAAGTTTCTGAGAAGGCTTCTCTCCAGTTTTTATGTGACCATAATTCGTTTTCCACCACAGGCCTGAAAGCGCTCCAAATGTCCACTTGCAGACACTACGAAAAGCATGTTTCAGAACTACTCTATGAAAAGCAACGTGAAACTCTGGGAGTTGAACACAAACATCACAGAGAAGTTTCTGAGAATGCTTCTGTTTTAGTTCTGTGCGTTTTATCCCGTTTCCAACGAAATCCTCAGAGAGGCCCAAATATCCACTTGCAGATTCCACAGAAAGAGTGATTGGAAACTGCTGTTTGAAAAGGAACCTTCAACTCTGTGAGTTGAATGCAATCATCACAAAGAAGTTTCTGACAATGCTTCTGTTTTAGTTCTGTGCGGTTTATCCCGTTTCCAACGAAATCCTCAGAGAGGACCAAACATCCACTTGCAGTTTCTACAAAAAGAGTGTTTCAAAGCTGCACTATCAAAGAAAGGTTCAGCACTGTGAGTTGAATGCAAACATCACGAAGAGGGCTCTGAGAATTCTTCTGTTTAGTTCTGTGCGGTTTATCCCGTTTCCAACGAAATCCTCAGAGAGGACCAAATATCCACTTGCAGTTTCTACAAGAAGAGTGTTTCAAAGCTGAACTATCAAAGAAAGGTTCAGCACTGTGAGTTGAATGCAAACATCACGAAGAGGGTTCTGAGAATGCTTCTGTCTTCTTTCTATAGGAAGTTATTTCCTTTACTACGGTAGGCCTCAAAGAAGTGCAATTATCCCCTTGCAGTTTCTACAAAAAGAGTGTTTCAAACCTGAACTATCAAAGAAAGGTTCCACACTGTGAGTTGAATGCAGACATCACGAAGAAGGTTCTGAGAATGCTTCTGTTTAGTCAGCTGAAATTATCCCGTTTCCAACGAATTCCTCAGAGAGGTCCAAATATGCACTTGCAGATTCTGCAGAAAGTGTGTTTCTAAACTGCTACATCGCAAGGAATGTTCAGCTCTGTGAGTTCCACTCAATCATCCCAAAGAATTTTCTGAGAAAGCTTCTGTCTAGATGTCCTGTGAAGATATACCCGTTTCGAACGAAGGACACAGAGTGGTCCAAATATCCACTTGTAGATCCTGCAAAAAGAGTGTTTCAAACGTGAACTTTGAAAGGAAAGTTCAACTCTGGGATTTGAATGCAAACATCACAAAGAAGATTCTGAGACTGCTTCTGTATAGTTTTTATGTGAAGATGATTCCGTTTCCAACGAAATCTTCAAAGAGGTCTACATGTCCCCTTGCAGATGCCACAGAAAGAGAGTTTCAAAACTGCGCTCTCAAAAGGAGTGTTCAACTCCGTGAGTTGAATGCAGTCATCACAGAGAAGCTTCTGAGAATGCTTCTATCTAGTATTTAGGTGAAGTATATTTCCTTTTCCACCACAAACCACAAAGCCCTCCAAACGTCCACTTGCAGATTCTAGAAAAAGAGTGTTTCATAGCTGCTCTTTCCAAAGGAAAGTTCAACTCTGGGAGTTGAATACAAACATCACCAAAAAGTTCCTGAGAATGCATCTGTCTAGTTTTTCTATGAAGCTATTCCCTTTACTACCACAGGCCTCAAAGCGCTCCAAATCTCCACTTGCACATTCCACAACAAGAGTGTTTCCAAACTGCTCTATCAATAGGAATGGTCAACTCTGTGAGGTGAATGCAATCATCACAAAGCAGTTTCTGAGAATGCTTCCGTTTAGTTAGGTGCAGTTATCGCGTTTCCAACGAAATCCTCAGAGAGGTCCAAATATCCACTTGTAGATTCTACAAAAGGTGTGTCTCAAACCTGCTCCATCCAAAGGAATGTTCAGCTCTGTGAGTTAAACTCAATCATCACAAAGTATTTTCTGAGAATGCTTCTGTCTAGATTTTATGTGAAGATGTACCCGTTTCGAACGAAGGCCACAGAGTGGTCCAAATATCCACTTGCAGATCCTACAAAAAGAGTGTTTCAAACCTGAACTATCACAGGAAGGTTCAACTCTGGGATTTGAATGCAAACATCACCAAGAAGTTTCTGAGAATGCTTCTGTTTAGTTTTTATGTGAAGATATTCCCGTTTCCAAAGACATCTTCGGAGAGGTCCACATATCCACTTGCAGATTCCACAAAAAGAGAGTTTCAACAATGCTCTATCCATAGGAGGGTTGAAATCTGTGAGTTGAATGCAATCATCACAGAGAAGTTTCTGAGAAGGCTTCTCTCCAGTTTTTATGGGACCATAATTCGTTTTCCACCACAGGCCTGAAAGCGCTCCAAATGTCCACTTGCAGACACTACGAAAAGCATGTTTCAGAACTACTCTATGAAAAGCAATGTGAAACTCTGGGAGTTGAACACAAACATCACAGAGAAGTTTCTGAGAATGCTTCTGTTTAGCTTTTCTGTGAAGATTCTCCCGTTTCCAACGAAATCTTCAAAGAGGTCCAAATATCCACTTGCAGATTCCACAGAAAGAGTGTTTGGAAACTGCTGTTTGTAAAGGAACCTTCATCTCTGTGAGTTGAATGCAATCATCACAAAGAAGTTTCTGACAATGCTTCTATCTAGCTTTTACGGGAAGTTAATTCCTTTTCTACCACAGGCCTCAAAGCCCTCCAAATGTCCACTTGCAGATTCTGGAAAAAGAGTGTTTCAAAGCTTCTCTCTCGAAAGGAAAGTTCAACTCTGTGAGTTGAATGCAAGCATCACAAAGAAGTTTCTGAGAATGCTACTGTCTAGCTTTTATATGAAGCTATTTCCTTTACTACCATAGGCCTCAAAGCGGTCCATATCTCCACTTGCAGATTCTACACAAAGAGAGTTTCCAAACTGCTCTGTCAAAGGGAATGTTCAACTCTGTGACTTGAATGCAATCATCACAAAGTAGTTTCTGAGAATGCTTCTGTTTAGTTCTGTGCGGTTTATCCCGTTTCCAACGAAATCCTCAGAGAGGCCCAAATATCCACTTGCACATTCTACAAATAGTGTGTTTCGAAACTGCTCCATCCAAAGGAATGTTCAGCTCTGTGAGTTAAACTCAGTCGTCACCAAGAGTTTTCTGTGAATGCTTCTGTTTAGTTCTGTGCGGTTTATCCCGTTTCCAACGAAATCCTCAGAGAGGACCAAATATCCACTTGCAGTTTCTACAAGAAGAGTGTTTCAAAGCTGAACTATCAAAGAAAGGTTCAGCACTGTGAGTTGAATGGAAACATCACGAAGAGGGTTCTGAGAATGCTTCTGTCTTCTTTCTATAGGAAGTTATTTCCTTTACTACGGTAGGCCTCAAAGAAGTGCAATTATCCCCTTGCAGTTTCTACAAAAAGAGTGTTTCAAACCTGAACTATCAAAGAAAGGTTCCACACTGTGAGTTGAATGCAGACATCACGAAGAAGGTTCTGAGAATGCTTCTGTTTAGTCAGCTGAAATTATCCCGTTTCCAACGAATTCCTCGGAGAGGTCCAAATATGCACTTGCAGATTCTGCAGAAAGTGTGTTTCTAAACTGCTACATCGCAAGGAATGTTCAGCTCTGTGAGTTCCACTCAATCATCCCAAAGAATTTTCTGAGAAAGCTTCTGTCTAGATGTCGTGTGAAGATATACCCGTTTCGAACGAAGGACACAGAGTGGTCCAAATATCCACTTGTAGATCCTGCAAAAAGAGTGTTTCAAACGTGAACTTTGAAAGGAAAGTTCAACTCTGGGATTTGAATGCAAACATCACAAAGAAGATTCTGAGACTGCTTCTGTATAGTTTTTATGTGAAGATGATTCCGTTTCCAACGAAATCTTCAAAGAGGTCTACATGTCCCCTTGCAGATGCCACAGAAAGAGAGTTTCAAAACTGCGCTCTCAAAAGGAGTGTTCAACTCCGTGAGTTGAATGCAGTCATCACAGAGAAGCTTCTGAGGATGCTTCTATCTAGTATTTAGGTGAAGATATTTCCTTTTCCACCACAAACCACAAAGCCCTCCAAACGTCCACTTGCAGATTCTAGAAAAAGAGTGTTTCATAGCTGCTCTTTCCAAAGGAAAGTTCAACTCTGGGAGTTGAATACAAACATCACCAAAAAGTTCCTGAGAATGCATCTGTCTAGTTTTTCTATGAAGCTATTCCCTTTACTACCATAGGCCTCAAAGCGCTCCAAATCTCCACTTGCACATTCCACAACAAGAGTGTTTCCAAACTGCTCTATCAATAGGAATGTTCAACTCTGTGAGGTGAATGCAATCATCACAAAGCAGTTTCTGAGAATGCTTCCGTTTAGTTAGGTGCAGTTATCCCGTTTCCAACGAAATCCTCAGAGAGGTCCAAATATCCACTTGTAGATTCTACAAAAAGTGTGTCTCAAACCTGCTCCATCCAAAGGAATGGTCAGCTCTGTGATTTAAACTCAATCATCACAAAGTATTTTCTGAGAATGCTTCTGTCTAGATTTTATGCGAAGATATACCCGTTTCGAACGAAGGCCACAGAGTGGTCCAAATAGCCACTTGCAGATCCTACAGAAAGAGTGTTTCAAACCTGAACTATCAAAGGAAGGTTCAACTCTGGGATTTGAATGCAAACATCACCAAGAAGTTTCTGAGAATGCTTCTGTTTAGTTTTTATGTGAAGATATTCCCGTTTCCAAAGACATCTTCGGAGAGGTCCACATATCCACTTGCAGATTCCACAAAAAGAGAGTTTCAACACTGCTCTATCCATAGGAGGGTTCAACTCTGTGAGTTGAATGCAATCATCACAGAGAAGTTTCTGAGAAGGCTTCTCTCCAGTTTTTATGTGACCATAATTCGTTTTCCACCACAGGCCTGAAAGCGCTCCAAATGTCCACTTGCAGACACTACGAAAAGCATGTTTCAGAACTACTCTATGAAAAGCAACGTGAAACTCTGGGAGTTGAACACAAACATCACAGAGAAGTTTCTGAGAATGCTTCTGTTTTAGTTCTGTGCGTTTTATCCCGTTTCCAACGAAATCCTCAGAGAGGCCCAAATATCCACTTGCAGATTCCACAGAAAGAGTGATTGGAAACTGCTGTTTGAAAAGGAACCTTCAACTCTGTGAGTTGAATGCAATCATCACAAAGAAGTTTCTGACAATGCTTCTGTTTTAGTTCTGTGCGGTTTATCCCGTTTCCAACGAAATCCTCAGAGAGGACCAAACATCCACTTGCAGTTTCTACAAAAAGAGTGTTTCAAAGCTGCACTATCAAAGAAAGGTTCAGCACTGTGAGTTGAATGCAAACATCACGAAGAGGGCTCTGAGAATTCTTCTGTTTAGTTCTGTGCGGTTTATCCCGTTTCCAACGAAATCCTCAGAGAGGACCAAATATCCACTTGCAGTTTCTACAAGAAGAGTGTTTCAAAGCTGAACTATCAAAGAAAGGTTCAGCACTGTGAGTTGAATGCAAACATCACGAAGAGGGTTCTGAGAATGCTTCTGTCTTCTTTCTATAGGAAGTTATTTCCTTTACTACGGTAGGCCTCAAAGAAGTGCAATTATCCCCTTGCAGTTTCTACAAAAAGAGTGTTTCAAACCTGAACTATCAAAGAAAGGTTCCACACTGTGAGTTGAATGCAGACATCACGAAGAAGGTTCTGAGAATGCTTCTGTTTAGTCAGCTGAAATTATCCCGTTTCCAACGAATTCCTCAGAGAGGTCCAAATATGCACTTGCAGATTCTGCAGAAAGTGTGTTTCTAAACTGCTCCATCGCAAGGAATGTTCAGCTCTGTGAGTTCCACTCAATCATCCCAAAGAATTTTCTGAGAAAGCTTCTGTCTAGATGTCGTGTGAAGATATACCCGTTTCGAACGAAGGACACAGAGTGGTCCAAATATCCACTTGTAGATCCTGCAAAAAGAGTGTTTCAAACGTGAACTTTGAAAGGAAAGTTCAACTCTGGGATTTGAATGCAAACATCACAAAGAAGATTCTGAGACTGCTTCTGTATAGTTTTTATGTGAAGATGATTCCGTTTCCAACGAAATCTTCAAAGAGGTCTACATGTCCCCTTGCAGATGCCACAGAAAGAGAGTTTCAAAACTGCGCTCTCAAAAGGAGTGTTCAACTCCGTGAGTTGAATGCAGTCATCACAGAGAAGCTTCTGAGAATGCTTCTATCTAGTATTTAGGTGAAGATATTTCCTTTTCCACCACAAACCACAAAGCCCTCCAAACGTCCACTTGCAGATTCTAGAAAAAGAGTGTTTCATAGCTGCTCTTTCCAAAGGAAAGTTCAACTCTGGGAGTTGAATACAAACATCACCAAAAAGTTCCTGAGAATGCATCTGTCTAGTTTTTCTATGAAGCTATTCCCTTTACTACCACAGGCCTCAAAGCGCTCCAAATCTCCACTTGCACATTCCACAACAAGAGTGTTTCCAAACTGCTCTATCAATAGGAATGTTCAACTCTGTGAGGTGAATGCAATCATCACAAAGCAGTTTCTGAGAATGCTTCCGTTTAGTTAGGTGCAGTTATCCCGTTTCCAACGAAATCCTCAGAGAGGTCCAAATATCCACTTGTAGATTCTACAAAAAGTGTGTCTCAAACCTGCTCCATCCAAAGGAATGGTCAGCTCTGTGATTTAAACTCAATCATCACAAAGTATTTTCTGAGAATGCTTCTGTCTAGATTTTATGCGAAGATATACCCGTTTCGAACGAAGGCCACAGAGTGGTCCAAATAGCCACTTGCAGATCCTACAGAAAGAGTGTTTCAAACCTGAACTATCAAAGGAAGGTTCAACTCTGGGATTTGAATGCAAACATCACCAAGAAGTTTCTGAGAATGCTTCTGTTTAGTTTTTATGTGAAGATATTCCCGTTTCCAAAGACATCTTCGGAGAGGTCCACATATCCACTTGCAGATTCCACAAAAAGAGAGTTTCAACACTGCTCTATCCATAGGAGGGTTCAACTCTGTGAGTTGAATGCAATCATCACAGAGAAGTTTCTGAGAAGGCTTCTCTCCAGTTTTTATGTGACCATAATTCGTTTTCCACCACAGGCCTGAAAGCGCTCCAAATGTCCACTTGCAGACACTACGAAAAGCATGTTTCAGAAGTACTCTATGAAAAGCAACGTGAAACTCTGGGAGTTGAACACAAACATCACAGAGAAGTTTCTGAGAATGCTTCTGTTTTAGTTCTGTGCGTTTTATCCCGTTTCCAACGAAATCCTCAGAGAGGCCCAAATATCCACTTGCAGATTCCACAGAAAGAGTGATTGGAAACTGCTGTTTGAAAAGGAACCTTCAACTCTGTGAGTTGAATGCAATCATCACAAAGAAGTTTCTGACAATGCTTCTGTTTTAGTTCTGTGCGGTTTATCCCGTTTCCAACGAAATCCTCAGAGAGGACCAAATATCCACTTGCAGTTTCTACAAAAAGAGTGTTTCAAAGCTGCACTATCAAAGAAAGGTTGAGCACTGTGAGTTGAATGCAAACATCACGAAGAGGGCTCTGAGAATTCTTCTGTTTAGTTCTGTGCGGTTTATCCCGTTTCCAACGAAATCCTCAGAGAGGACCAAATATCCACTTGCAGTTTCTACAAGAAGAGTGTTTCAAAGCTGAACTATCAAAGAAAGGTTCAGCACTGTGAGTTGAATGCAAACATCACGAAGAGGGTTCTGAGAATGCTTCTGTCTTCTTTCTATAGGAAGTTATTTCCTTTACTACGGTAGGCCTCAAAGAAGTGCAATTATCCCCTTGCAGTTTCTACAAAAAGAGTGTTTCAAACCTGAACTATCAAAGAAAGGTTCCACACTGTGAGTTGAATGCAGACATCACGAAGAAGGTTCTGAGAATGCTTCTGTTTAGTCAGCTGAAATTATCCCGTTTCCAACGAATTCCTCAGAGAGGTCCAAATATGCACTTGCAGATTCTGCAGAAAGTGTGTTTCTAAACTGCTACATCGCAAGGAATGTTCAGCTCTGTGAGTTCCACTCAATCATCCCAAAGAATTTTCTGAGAAAGCTTCTGTCTAGATGTCGTGTGAAGATATACCCGTTTCGAACGAAGGACACAGAGTGGTCCAAATATCCACTTGTAGATCCTGCAAAAAGAGTGTTTCAAACGTGAACTTTGAAAGGAAAGTTCAACTCTGGGATTTGAATGCAAACATCACAAAGAAGATTCTGAGACTGCTTCTGTATAGTTTTTATGTGAAGATGATTCCGTTTCCAACGAAATCTTCAAAGAGGTCTACATGTCCCCTTGCAGATGCCACAGAAAGAGAGTTTCAAAACTGCGCTCTCAAAAGGAGTGTTCAACTCCGTGAGTTGAATGCAGTCATCACAGAGAAGCTTCTGAGAATGCTTCTATCTAGTATTTAGGTGAAGATATTTCCTTTTCCACCACAAACCACAAAGCCCTCCAAACGTCCACTTGCAGATTCTAGAAAAAGAGTGTTTCATAGCTGCTCTTTCCAAAGGAAAGTTCAACTCTGGGAGTTGAATACAAACATCACCAAAAAGTTCCTGAGAATGCATCTGTCTACTTTTTCTATGAAGCTATTCCCTTTACTACCATAGGCCTCAAAGCGCTCCAAATCTCCACTTGCGCATTCCACAACAAGAGTTTTTCCAAACTGCTCTATCAATAGGAATGTTCAACTCTGTGAGGTGAATGCAATCATGACAAAGCAGTTTCTGAGAATGCTTCCGTTTAGTTAGGTGCAGTTATCCCGTTTCCAACGAAATCCTCAGAGAGGTCCAAATATCCACTTGTAGATTCTACAAAAAGTGTGTCTCAAACCTGCTCCATCCAAAGGAATGTTCAGCTCTGTGAGTTCAACTCAATCATCACAAATTATTTTCTGAGAATGCTTCTGTCTAGATTTTATGCGAAGATGTACCCGTTTCGAACGAAGGCCACAGAGTGGTCCAAATATCCACTTGCAGATCCTACAAAAAGAGTGTTTCAAACCTGAACTATCAAAGGAAGGTTCAACTCTGGGATTTGAATGCAAACATCACCAAGAAGTTTCTGAGAATGCTTTCTGTTTAGTTTTTATGTGAAGATATTCCCGTTTCCAAAGACATCTTCGGAGAGGTCCACATATCCACTTGCAGATTCCACAAAAAGAGAGTTTCAACACTGCTCTATCCATAGGAGGGTTCAACTCTGTGAGTTGAATGCAATCATCACAGAGAAGTTTCTGAGAAGGCTTCTCTCCAGTTTTTATGTGACCATAATTCGTTTTCCACCACAGGCCTGAAAGCGCTCCAAATGTCCACTTGCAGACACTACGAAAAGCATGTTTCAGAAGTACTCTATGAAAAGCAACGTGAAACTCTGGGAGTTGAACACAAACATCACAGAGAAGTTTCTGAGAATGCTTCTGTTTTAGTTCTGTGCGTTTTATCCCGTTTCCAACGAAATCCTCAGAGAGGCCCAAATATCCACTTGCAGATTCCACAGAAAGAGTGATTGGAAACTGCTGTTTGAAAAGGAACCTTCAACTCTGTGAGTTGAATGCAATCATCACAAAGAAGTTTCTGACAATGCTTCTGTTTTAGTTCTGTGCGGTTTATCCCGTTTCCAACGAAATCCTCAGAGAGGACCAAACATCCACTTGCAGTTTCTACAAAAAGAGTGTTTCAAAGCTGCACTATCAAAGAAAGGTTCAGCACTGTGAGTTGAATGCAAACATCACGAAGAGGGCTCTGAGAATTCTTCTGTTTAGTTCTGTGCGGTTTATCCCGTTTCCAACGAAATCCTCAGAGAGGACCAAATATCCACTTGCAGTTTCTACAAGAAGAGTGTTTCAAAGCTGAACTATCAAAGAAAGGTTCAGCACTGTGAGTTGAATGCAAACATCACGAAGAGGGTTCTGAGAATGCTTCTGTCTTCTTTCTATAAGAAGTTATTTCCTTTACTACGGTAGGCCTCAAAGAAGTGCAATTATCCCCTTGCAGTTTCTACAAAAAGAGTGTTTCAAACCTGAACTATCAAAGAAAGGTTCCACACTGTGAGTTGAATGCAGACATCACGAAGAAGGTTCTGAGAATGCTTCTGTTTAGTCAGCTGAAATTATCCCGTTTCCAACGAATTCCTCAGAGAGGTCCAAATATGCACTTGCAGATTCTGCAGAAAGTGTGTTTCTAAACTGCTACATCGCAAGGAATGTTCAGCTCTGTGAGTTCCACTCAATCATCCCAAAGAATTTTCTGAGAAAGCTTCTGTCTAGATGTCGTGTGAAGATATACCCGTTTCGAACGAAGGACACAGAGTGGTCCAAATATCCACTTGTAGATCCTGCAAAAAGAGTGTTTCAAACGTGAACTTTGAAAGGAAAGTTCAACTCTGGGATTTGAATGCAAACATCACAAAGAAGATTCTGAGACTGCTTCTGTATAGTTTTTATGTGAAGATGATTCCGTTTCCAACGAAATCTTCAAAGAGGTCTACATGTCCCCTTGCAGATGCCACAGAAAGAGAGTTTCAAAACTGCGCTCTCAAAAGGAGTGTTCAACTCCGTGAGTTGAATGCAGTCATCACAGAGAAGCTTCTGAGAATGCTTCTATCTAGTATTTAGGTGAAGATATTTCCTTTTCCACCACAAACCACAAAGCCCTCCAAACGTCCACTTGCAGATTCTAGAAAAAGAGTGTTTCATAGCTGCTCTTTCCAAAGGAAAGTTCAACTCTGGGAGTTGAATACAAACATCACCAAAAGGTTCCTGAGAATGCATCTGTCTAGTTTTTCTATGAAGCTATTCCCTTTACTACCATAGGCCTCAAAGCGCTCCAAATCTCCACTTGCACATTCCACAACAAGAGTGTTTCCAAACTGCTCTATCAATAGGAATGTTCAACTCTGTGAGGTGAATGCAATCATCACAAAGCAGTTTCTGAGAATGCTTCCGTTTAGTTAGGTGCAGTTATCCCGTTTCCAACGAAATCCTCAGAGAGGTCCAAATATCCACTTGTAGATTCTACAAAAAGTGTGTCTCAAACCTGCTCCATCCAAAGGAATGTTCAGCTCTGTGATTTTAACTCAATCATCACAAAGTATTTTCTGAGAATGCTTCTGTCTAGATTTTATGCGAAGATATACCCGTTTCGAACGAAGGCCACAGAGTGGTCCAAATAGCCACTTGCAGATCCTACAAAAAGAGTGTTTCAAACCTGAACTATCACAGGAAGGTTCAACTCTGGGATTTGAATGCAAACATCACCAAGAAGTTTCTGAGAATGCTTCCGTTTAGTTATTATGTGAAGATATTCCCGTTTCCAAAGACATCTTCGGAGAGGTCCACATATCCACTTGCAGATTCCACAAAAAGAGAGTTTCAACACTGCTCTATCCATAGGAGGGTTCAACTCTGTGAGTTGAATGCAATCATCACAGAGAAGTTTCTGAGAAAGCTCTCTCCAGTTTTTATGTGACCATAATTCGTTTTCCACCACAGGCCTGAAAGCGCTCCAAATGTCCACTTGCAGACACTACGAAAAGCATGTTTCAGAACTACTCTATGAAAAGCAACGTGAAACTCTGGGAGTTGAACACAAACATCACAGAGAAGTTTCTGAGAATGCTCTCTGTTTTAGTTCTGTGCGTTTTATCCCGTTTCCAACAAAATCCTCAGAGAGGCCCAAATATCCACTTGCAGATTCCACAGAAAGAGTGATTGGAAACTGCTGTTTGAAAAGGAACCTTCAACTCTGTGAGTTGAATGCAATCATCACAAAGAAGTTTCTGACAATGCTTCTGTTTTAGTTCTGTGCGGTTTATCCCGTTTCCAACGAAATCCTCAGAGAGGACCAAACATCCACTTGCAGTTTCTACAAAAAGAGTGTTTCAAAGCTGCACTATCAAAGAAAGGTTCAGCACTGTGAGTTGAATGCAAACATCACGAAGAGGGCTCTGAGAATTCTTCTGTTTAGTTCTGTGCGGTTTATCCCGTTTCCAACGAAATCCTCAGAGAGGACCAAATATCCACTTGCAGTTTCTACAAGAAGAGTGTTTCAAAGCTGAACTATCAAAGAAAGGTTCAGCACTGTGAGTTGAATGCAAACATCACGAAGAGGGTTCTGAGAATGCTTCTGTCTTCTTTCTATAGGAAGTTATTTCCTTTACTACGGTAGGCCTCAAAGAAGTGCAATTATCCCCTTGCAGTTTCTACAAAAAGAGTGTTTCAAACCTGAACTATCAAAGAAAGGTTCCACACTGTGAGTTGAATGCAGACATCACGAAGAAGGTTCTGAGAATGCTTCTGTTTAGTCAGCTGAAATTATCCCGTTTCCAACGAATTCCTCAGAGAGGTCCAAATATGCACTTGCAGATTCTGCAGAAAGTGTGTTTCTAAACTGCTACATCGCAAGGAATGTTCAGCTCTGTGAGTTCCACTCAATCATCCCAAAGAATTTTCTGAGAAAGCTTCTGTCTAGATGTCGTGTGAAGATATACCCGTTTCGAACGAAGGACACAGAGTGGTCCAAATATCCACTTGTAGATCCTGCAAAAAGAGTGTTTCAAACGTGAACTTTGAAAGGAAAGTTCAACTCTGGGATTTGAATGCAAACATCACAAAGAAGATTCTGAGACTGCTTCTGTATAGTTTTTATGTGAAGATGATTCCGTTTCCAACGAAATCTTCAAAGAGGTCTACATGTCCCCTTGCAGATGCCACAGAAAGAGAGTTTCAAAACTGCGCTCTCAAAAGGAGTGTTCAACTCCGTGAGTTGAATGCAGTCATCACAGAGAAGCTTCTGAGAATGCTTCTATCTAGTATTTAGGTGAAGATATTTCCTTTTCCACCACAAACCACAAAGCCCTCCAAACGTCCACTTGCAGATTCTAGAAAAAGAGTGTTTCATAGCTGCTCTTTCCAAAGGAAAGTTCAACTCTGGGAGTTGAATACAAACATCACCAAAAAGTTCCTGAGAATGCATCTGTCTAGTTTTTCTATGAAGCTATTCCCTTTACTACCATAGGCCTCAAAGCGCTCCAAATCTCCACTTGCACATTCCACAACAAGAGTGTTTCCAAACTGCTCTATCAATAGGAATGTTCAACTCTGTGAGGTGAATGCAATCATCACAAAGCAGTTTCTGAGAATGCTTCCGTTTAGTTAGGTGCAGTTATCCCGTTTCCAACGAAATCCTCAGAGAGGTCCAAATATCCACTTGTAGATTCTACAAAAAGTGTGTCTCAAACCTGCTCCATCCAAAGGAATGTTCAGCTCTGTGAGTTAAACTCAATCATCACAAAGTATTTTCTGAGAATGCTTCTGTCTAGATTTTATGCGAAGATATACCCGTTTCGAACGAAGGCCACAGAGTGGTCCAAATATCCACTTGCAGATCCTACAAAAAGAGTGTTTCAAACCTGAACTATCAAAGGAAGGTTCAACTCTGGGATTTGAATGCAAACATCACCAAGAAGTTTCTGAGAATGCTTCTGTTTAGTTTTTATGTGAAGATATTCCCGTTTCCAAAGACATCTTCGGAGAGGTCCACATATCCACTTGCAGATTCCACAAAAAGAGAGTTTCAACACTGCTCTATCCATAGGAGGGTTCAACTCTGTGAGTTGAATGCAATCATCACAGAGAAGTTTCTGAGAAGGCTTCTCTCCAGTTTTTATGTGACCATAATTCGTTTTCCACCACAGGCCTGAAAGCGCTCCAAATGTCCACTTGTAGACACTACGAAAAGCATGTTTCAGAACTACTCTATGAAAAGCAATGTGAAACTCTGGGAGTTGAACACAAACATCACAGAGAAGTTTCTGAGAATGCTTCTGTTTAGCTTTCCTGTGAAGATTCTCCCGTTTCCAATGAAATCTTCAAAATAGGTCCAAATATCCACTTGCAGATTCCACAGAAAGAGTGATTGGAAACTGCTCTTTGAAAAGGAACCTTCAACTCTGTGAGTTGAATGCAATCATCACAAAGAAGTTTCTGACAATGCTTCTATCTAGCTTTTACGGGAAGATAATTCCTTTTCCACCACAGGCCTCAAAGCCCTCCAAATGTCCACTTGCAGATTCTGGAAAAAGAGTGTTTCAAAGCTTCTCTCTCGAAAGGAAAGTTCAACTCTGTGAGTTGAATGCAAGCATCACAAAGAAGTTTCTGAGAATGCTACTGTCTAGCTTTTATATGAAGCTATTTCCTTTACTACCATAGTCCTCAAAGCGGTCCATATCTCCACTTGCAGATTCTACACAAAGAGAGTTTCCAAACTGCTCTGTCAAAGGGAATGTTCAACTCTGTGACTTGAATGCAATCATCACAAAGTAGTTTCTGAGAATGCTTCTGTTTAGTTCTGTGCGGTTTATCCCGTTTCCAACGAAATCCTCAGAGAGGCCCACATATCCACTTGCACATTCTACAAATAGTGTGTTTCGAAACTGCTCCATCCAAACGAATGTTCAGCTCTGTGAGTTAAACTCAGTCGTCACCAAGAGTTTTCTGTGAATGCTTCTGTTTTAGTTCTGTGCGGGTTATCCCGTTTCCAACGAAATCCTCAGAGAGGTCCAAATATCTACTTGCAGTTTCTACAGAAAGACCGTTTCAAACCTGAACTATCAAAGAAAGGTTCAACACTGTGAGTTGAATGCAAACATCACGAAGAAGGTTCTGAGAATGCTTCTGTTTAGTTCTGTGCAGTATATCCCGTTTCCAACGAATTCCTCAGAGAGGACCAAATATCCACTTGCAGTTTCTACAAAAAGAGTGTTTCAAAGCTGAACTATCAAAGAAAGGTTCAGCACTGTGAGTTGAATGCAAACATCACGAAGAGGGTTCTGAGAATGCTTCTGTCTTCTTTTTATAGGAAGTTATTTCCTTTACTACGGTAGGCCTCAAAGAAGTGCAATTATCCCCTTGCAGTTTCTACAAAAAGAGTGTTTCAAACCTGAACTATCAAAGAAAGGTTCCACACTGTGAGTTGAATGCAGACATCACGAAGAAGGTTCTGAGAATGCTTCTGTTTAGTCAGGTGAAATTATCCCGTTTCCAACGAATTCCTCAGAGAGGTCCAAATATGCACTTGCAGATTCTGCAGAAAGTGTGTTTCTAAACTGCTACATCGAAAGGAATGTTCAGCTCTGTGAGTTCCACTCAATCATCCCAAAGAATTTTCTGAGAAAGCTTCTGTCTAGATGTCATGTGAAGATATACCCGTTTCGAACGAAGGACACAGAGTGGTCCAAATATCCACTTGTAGATCCTGCAAAAAGAGTGTTTCAAACGTGAACTTTGAAAGGAAAGTTCAACTCTGGGATTTGAATGCAAACATCACAAAGAAGATTCTGAGACTGCTTCTGTATAGTTTTTATGTGAAGATGATTCCGTTTCCAACGAAATCTTCAAAGAGGTCTACATGTCCCCTTGCAGATGCCACAGAAAGAGAGTTTCAAAACTGCGCTCTCAAAAGGAGTGTTCAACTCCGTGAGTTGAATGCAGTCATCACAGAGAAGCTTCTGAGAATGCTTCTATCTAGTATTTAGGTGAAGATATTTCCTTTTCCACCACAAACCACAAAGCCCTCCAAACGTCCACTTGCAGATTCTAGAAAAAGAGTGTTTCATAGCTGCTCTTTCCAAAGGAAAGTTCAACTCTGGGAGTTGAATACAAACATCACCAAAAAGTTCCTGAGAATGCATCTGTCTAGTTTTTCTATGAAGCTATTCCCTTTACTACCACAGGCCTCAAAGCGCTCCAAATCTCCACTTGCACATTCCACAACAAGAGTGTTTCCAAACTGCTCTATCAATAGGAATGTTCAACTCTGTGAGGTGAATGCAATCATCACAAAGCAGTTTCTGAGAATGCTTCCGTTTAGTTAGGTGCAGTTATCCCGTTTCCAACGAAATCCTCAGAGAGGTCCAAATATCCACTTGTAGATTCTACAAAAAGTGTGTCTCAAACCTGCTCCATCCAAAGGAATGGTCAGCTCTGTGATTTAAACTCAATCATCACAAAGTATTTTCTGAGAATGCTTCTGTCTAGATTTTATGCGAAGATGTACCCGTTTCGAACAAAGGCCACAGAGTGGTCCAAATATCCACTTGCAGATCCTACAAAAAGAGTGTTTCAAACCTGAACTATCAAAGGAAGGTTCAACTCTGGGATTTGAATGCAAACATCACCAAGAAGTTTCTGAGAATGCTCTGTTTAGTTTTTATGTGAAGATATTCCCGTTTCCAAAGACATCTTCGGAGAGGTCCACATATCCACTTGCAGATTCCACAAAAAGAGAGTTTCAACACTGCTCTATCCATAGGAGGGTTCAACTCTGTGAGTTGAATGCAATCATCACAGAGAAGTTTCTGAGAAGGCTTTCTCTCCAGTTTTTATGTGACCATAATTCGTTTTCCACCACAGGCCTGAAAGCGCTCCAAATGTCCACTTGCAGACACTACGAAAAGCATGTTTCAGAACTACTCTATGAAAAGCAACGTGAAACTCTGGGAGTTGAACACAAACATCACAGAGAAGTTTCTGAGAATGCTTCTGTTTTAGTTCTGTGCGTTTTATCCCGTTTCCAACGAAATCCTCAGAGAGGCCCAAATATCCACTTGCAGATTCCACAGAAAGAGTGATTGGAAACTGCTGTTTGAAAAGGAACCTTCAACTCTGTGAGTTGAATGCAATCATCACAAAGAAGTTTCTGACAATGCTTCTGTTTTAGTTCTGTGCGGTTTATCCCGTTTCCAACGAAATCCTCAGAGAGGACCAAACATCCACTTGCAGTTTCTACAAAAAGAGTGTTTCAAAGCTGCACTATCAAAGAAAGGTTCAGCACTGTGAGTTGAATGCAAACATCACGAAGAGGGCTCTGAGAATTCTTCTGTTTAGTTCTGTGCGGTTTATCCCGTTTCCAACGAAATCCTCAGAGAGGACCAAATATCCACTTGCAGTTTCTACAAGAAGAGTGTTTCAAAGCTGAACTATCAAAGAAAGGTTCAGCACTGTGAGTTGAATGCAAACATCACGAAGAGGGTTCTGAGAATGCTTCTGTCTTCTTTCTATAGGAAGTTATTTCCTTTACTACGGTAGGCCTCAAAGAAGTGCAATTATCCCCTTGCAGTTTCTACAAAAAGAGTGTTTCAAACCTGAACTATCAAAGAAAGGTTCCACACTGTGAGTTGAATGCAGACATCACGAAGAAGGTTCTGAGAATGCTTCTGTTTAGTCAGCTGAAATTATCCCGTTTCCAACGAATTCCTCAGAGAGGTCCAAATATGCACTTGCAGATTCTGCAGAAAGTGTGTTTCTAAACTGCTCCATCGCAAGGAATGTTCAGCTCTGTGAGTTCCACTCAATCATCCCAAAGAATTTTCTGAGAAAGCTTCTGTCTAGATGTCGTGTGAAGATATACCCGTTTCGAACGAAGGACACAGAGTGGTCCAAATATCCACTTGTAGATCCTGCAAAAAGAGTGTTTCAAACGTGAACTTTGAAAGTAAAGTTCAACTCTGGGATTTGAATGCAAACATCACAAAGAAGATTCTGAGACTGCTTCTGTATAGTTTTTATGTGAAGATGATTCCGTTTCCAACGAAATCTTCAAAGAGGTCTACATGTCCCCTTGCAGATGCCACAGAAAGAGAGTTTCAAAACTGCGCTCTCAAAAGGAGTGTTCAACTCCGTGAGTTGAATGCAGTCATCACAGAGAAGCTTCTGAGAATGCTTCTATCTAGTATTTAGGTGAAGATATTTCCTTTTCCACCACAAACCACAAAGCCCTCCAAACGTCCACTTGCAGATTCTAGAAAAAGAGTGTTTCATAGCTGCTCTTTCCAAAGGAAAGTTCAAGTCTGGGAGTTGAATACAAACGTCACCAAAAAGTTCCTGAGAATGCATCTGTCTAGTTTTTCTATGAAGCTATTCCCTTTACTACCATAGGCCTCAAAGCGCTCCAAATCTCCACTTGCACATTCCACAACAAGAGTGTTTCCAAACTGCTCTATCAATAGGAATGTTCAACTCTGTGAGGTGAATGCAATCATCACAAAGCAGTTTCTGAGAATGCTTCCGTTTAGTTAGGTGCAGTTATCGCGTTTCCAACGAAATCCTCAGAGAGGTCCAAATATCCACTTGTAGATTCTACAAAAAGTGTGTCTCAAACCTGCTCCATCCAAAGGAATGTTCAGCTCTGTGAGTTAAACTCAATCATCACAAAGTATTTTCTGAGAATGCTTCTGTCTAGATTTTATGCGAAGATATACCCGTTTCGAACGAAGGCCACAGAGTGGTCCAAATATCCACTTGCAGATCCTACAAAAAGAGTGTTTCAAACCTGAACTATCAAAGGAAGGTTCAACTCTGGGATTTGAATGCAAACATCACCAAGAAGTTTCTGAGAATGCTTCTGTTTAGTTTTTATGTGAAGATATTCCCGTTTCCAAAGACATCTTCGGAGAGGTCCACATATCCACTTGCAGATTCCACAAAAAGAGAGTTTCAACACTGCTCTATCCATAGGAGGGTTCAACTCTGTGAGTTGAATGCAATCATCACAGAGAAGTTTCTGAGAAGGCTTCTCTCCAGTTTTTATGTGACCATAATTCGTTTTCCACCACAGGCCTGAAAGCGCTCCAAATGTCCACTTGTAGACACTACGAAAAGCATGTTTCAGAACTACTCTATGAAAAGCAATGTGAAACTCTGGGAGTTGAACACAAACATCACAGAGAAGTTTCTGAGAATGCTTCTGTTTAGCTTTTCTGTGAAGATTCTCCCGTTTCCAACGAAATCTTCAAAGAGGTCCAAATATCCACTTGCAGATTCCACAGAAAGAGTGTTTGGAAACTGCTGTTTGTAAAGGAACCTTCATCTCTGTGAGTTGAATGCAATCATCACAAAGAAGTTTCTGACAATGCTTCTATCTAGCTTTTACGGGAAGATAATTCCTTTTCCACCACAGGCCTCAAAGCCCTCCAAATGTCCACTTGCAGATTCTGGAAAAAGAGTGTTTCAAAGCTTCTCTCTCGAAAGGAAAGTTCAACTCTGTGAGTTGAATGCAAGCATCACAAAGAAGTTTCTGAGAATGCTACTGTCTAGCTTTTATATGAAGCTATTTCCTTTACTACCATAGGCCTCAAAGCGGTCCATATCTCCACTTGCAGATTCTACACAAAGAGAGTTTCCAAACTGCTCTGTCAAAGGGAATGTTCAACTCTGTGACTTGAATGCAATCATCACAAAGTAGTTTCTGAGAATGCTTCTGTTTAGTTCTGTGCGGTTTATCCCGTTTCCAACGAAATCCTCAGAGAGGCCCACATATCCACTTGCACATTCTACAAATAGTGTGTTTCGAAACTGCTCCATCCAAAGGAATGTTCAGTTCTGTGAGTTAAACTCAGTCGTCACCAAGAGTTTTCTGTGAATGCTTCTGTTTTAGTTCTGTGCGGTTTATCCCGTTTCCAACGAAATCCTCAGAGAGGTCCAAATATCTACTTGCAGTTTCTACAGAAAGACCGTTTCAAACCTGAACTATCAAAGAAAGGTTCAACACTGTGAGTTGAATGCAAACATCACGAAGAAGGTTCTGAGAATGCTTCTGTTTAGTTCTGTGCAGTTTATCCCGTTTCCAACGAAATCCTCAGAGAGGACCAAATATCCACTTGCAGTTTCTACAAAAAGAGTGTTTCAAAGCTGAACTATCAAAGAAAGGTTCAGCACTGTGAGTTGAATGCAAACATCACGAAGAGGGTTCTGAGAATGCTTCTGTCTTCTTTTTATAGGAAGTTATTTCCTTTACTACGGTACTCCTCAAAGAGTGCAATTATCCCCTTGCAGTTTCTACAAAAAGAGTGTTTCAAACCTGAACTATCAAAGAAAGGTTCCACACTGTGAGTTGAATGCAGACATCACGAAGAAGGTTCTGAGAATGCTTCTGTTTAGTCAGCTGAAATTATCCCGTTTCCAACGAATTCCTCACAGAGGTCCAAATATGCACTTGCAGATTCTGCAGAAAGTGTGTTTCTAAACTGCTACATCGCAAGGAATGCTCAGCTCTGTGAGTTCAACTCAATCATCCCAAAGAATTTTCTGAGAAAGCTTCTGTCTAGATGTCATGTGAAGATATACCCGTTTCGATCGAAGGACACAGAGTGGTCCAAATATCCACTTGTAGATCCTGCAAAAAGAGTGTTTCAAACGTGAACTTTGAAAGGAAAGTTCAACTCGGGGATTTGAATGCAAACATCACAAAGAAGATTCTGAGACTGCTTCTGTGTAGTTTTTATGTGAAGATGATTCCGTTTCCAACGAAATCTTCAAAGAGGTCTACATGTCCCCTTGCAGATGCCACAGAAAGAGAGTTTCAAAACTGCGCTCTCAAAAGGAGTGTTCAACTCCGTGAGTTGAATGCAGTCATCACAGAGAAGCTTCTGAGGATGCTTCTATCTAGTATTTAGGTGAAGATATTTCCTTTTCCACCACAAACCACAAAGCCCTCCAAACGTCCACTTGCAGATTCTAGAAAAACAGTGTTTCATAGCTGCTCTTTCCAAAGGAAAGTTCAACTCTGGGAGTTGAATACAAACATCACCAAAAAGTTCCTGAGAATGCATCTGTCTAGTTTTTCTATGAAGCTATTCCCTTTACTACCATAGGCCTCAAAGCGCTCCAAATCTCCACTTGCACATTCCACAACAAGAGTGTTTCCAAACTGCTCTATCAATAGGAATGTTCAACTCTGTGAGGTGAATGCAATCATCACAAAGCAGTTTCTGAGAATGCTTCCGTTTAGTTAGGTGCAGTTATCCCGTTTCCAACGAAATCCTCAGAGAGGTCCAAATATCCACTTGTAGATTCTACAAAAAGTGTGTCTCAAACCTGCTCCATCCAAAGGAATGTTCAGCTCTGTGATTTAAACTCAATCATCACAAAGTATTTTCTGACAATGCTTCTGTCTAGATTTTATGCGAAGATATACCCGTTTCGAACGAAGGCCACAGAGTGGTCCAAATATCCACTTGCAGATCCTACAAAAAGAGTGTTTCAAACCTGAACTATCAAAGGAAGGTTCAACTCTGGGATTTGAATGCAAACATCACCAAGAAGTTTCTGAGAATGCTTCTGTTTAGTTTTTATGTGAAGATATTCCCGTTTCCAAAGACATCTTCGGAGAGGTCCACATATCCACTTGCAGATTCCACAAAAAGAGAGTTTCAACACTGCTCTATCCATAGGAGGGTTCAACTCTGTGAGTTGAATGCAATCATCACAGAGAAGTTTCTGAGAAGTCTTCTCTCCAGTTTTTATGTGACCATAATTCGTTTTCCACCACAGGCCTGAAAGCGCTCCAAATGTCCACTTGTAGACACTACGAAAAGCATGTTTCAGAACTACTCTATGAAAAGCAATGTGAAACTCTGGGAGTTGAACACAAACATCACAGAGAAGTTTCTGAGAATGCTTCTGTTTAGCTTTCCTGTGAAGATTCTCCCGTTTCCAACGAAATCTTCAAAATAGGTCCAAATATCCACTTGCAGATTCCACACAAAGAGTGATTGGAAACTGCTCTTTGAAAAGGAACCTTCAACTCTGTGAGTTGAATGCAATCATCACAAAGAAGTTTCTGACAATGCTTCTATCTAGCTTTTACGGGAAGATAATTCCTTTTCCACCACAGGCCTCAAAGCCCTCCAAATGTCCACTTGCAGATTCTGGAAAAAGAGTGTTTCAAAGCTTCTCTCTCGAAAGGAAAGTTCAACTCTGTGAGTTGAATGCAAGCATCACAAAGAAGTTTCTGAGAATGCTGCTGTCTAGCTTTTATATGAAGCTATTTCCTTTACTACCATAGGCCTCAAAGCGGTCCATATCTCCACTTGCAGATTCTACGCAAAGAGAGTTTCCAAACTGCTCTGTCAAAGGGAATGTTCAACTCTGTGACTTGCATGCAATCATCACAAAGTAGTTTCTGAGAATGCTTCTGTTTAGTTCTGTGCGGTTTATCCCGTTTCCAACGAAATCCTCAGAGAGGCCCACATATCCACTTGCACATTCTACAAATAGTGTGTTTCGAAACTGCTCCATCCAAAGGAATGTTCAGCTCTGTGAGTTAAACTCAGTCGTCACCAAGAGTTTTCTGTGAATGCTTCTGTTTTAGTTCTGTGCGGGTTATCCCGTTTCCAACGAAATCCTCAGAGAGGTCCAAATATCTACTTGCAGTTTCTACAGAAAGACCGTTTCAAACCTGAACTATCAAAGAAAGGTTCAACACTTGTGAGTTGAATGCAAACATCACGAAGAAGGTTCTGAGAATGCTTCTGTTTTAGTTCTGTGTGGTTTATCCCGTTTCCAATGAAATCCTCAGAGAGGTCCAAATATCCACTTGCAGTTTCTACAAAAAGAGTGTTTCATAGCTGAACTATCAAAGAAACGTTCAGCACTGTGATTTGAATGCAAACATCACGAAGAAGGTTCTGAGAATGCTTCTGTTTAGTTCTGTGCGGTTTATCCCGTTTCCAATGAAATCCTCAGAGAGGCCCAAATATCCACTTGCAGTTTCTACAAAAAGAGTGTTTCAAACCTGAACTATCAAAGAAAGGTTCAGCACTGTGAGTTGAATGCAAACATCACGAAGAGGGTTCTGAGAATGCTCTGTTTTAGTTCTGTGCGGTTTATCCCGTTTCCAACGAAATCCTCAGAGAGGTCCAAATATCTACTTGCAGTTTCTACAGAAAGACCGTTTCAAACCTGAACTATCAAAGAAAGGTTCAACACTGTGAGTTGAATGCAAACATCACGAAGAAGGTTCTGAGAATGCTTTCTGTTTAGTTCTGTGCGGTTTATCCCGTTTCCAACGAAATCCTCAGAGAGGACCAAATATCCACTTGCAGTTTCTACAAGAAGAGTGTTTCAAAGCTGAACTATCAAAGAAAGGTTCAGCACTGTGAGTTGAATGCAAACATCACGAAGAGGGTTCTGAGAATGCTTCTGTCTTCTTTCTATAGGAAGTTATTTCCTTTACTACGGTAGGCCTCAAAGAAGTGCAATTATCCCCTTGCAGTTTCTACAAAAAGAGTGTTTCAAACCTGAACTATCAAAGAAAGGTTCCACACTGTGAGTTGAATGCAGACATCACGAAGAAGGTTCTGAGAATGCTTCTGTTTAGTCAGCTGAAATTATCCCGTTTCCAACGAATTCCTCAGAGAGGTCCAAATATGCACTTGCAGATTCTGCAGAAAGTGTGTTTCTAAACTGCTCCATCACAAGGAATGTTCAGCTCTGTGAGTTCCACTCAATCATCCCAAAGAATTTTCTGAGAAAGCTTCTGTCTAGATGTCGTGTGAAGTTATACCCGTTTCGAACGAAGGACACAGAGTGGTCCAAATATCCACTTGTAGATCCTGCAAAAAGAGTGTTTCAAACGTGAACTTTGAAAGGAAAGTTCAACTCTGGGATTTGAATGCAAACATCACAAAGAAGATTCTGAGACTGCTTCTGTATAGTTTTTATGTGAAGATGATTCCGTTTCCAACGAAATCTTCAAAGAGGTCTACATATCCCCTTGCAGATGCCACAGAAAGAGAGTTTCAAAACTGCGCTCTCAAAAGGAGTGTTCAACTCCGTGAGTTGAATGCAGTCATCACAGAGAAGCTTCTGAGAATGCTTCTATCTAGTATTTAGGTGAAGATATTTCCTTTTCCACCACAAACCACAAAGCCCTCCAAACGTCCACTTGCAGATTCTAGAAAAAGAGTGTTTCATAGCTGCTCTTTCCAAAGGAAAGTTCAACTCTGGGAGTTGAATACAAACATCACCAAAAAGTTCCTGAGAATGCATCTGTCTAGTTTTTCTATGAAGCTATTCCCTTTACTACCATAGACCTCAAAGCGCTCCAAATCTCCACTTGCACATTCCACAACAAGAGTGTTTCCAAACTGCTCTATCAATAGGAATGTTCAACTCTGTGAGGTGAATGCAATCATCACAAAGCAGTTTCTGAGAATGCTTCCGTTTAGTTAGGTGCAGTTATCCCGTTTCCAACGAAATCCTCAGAGAGGTCCAAATATCCACTTGTAGATTCTACAAAAAGTGTGTCTCAAACCTGCTCCATCCAAAGGAATGTTCAGCTCTGTGAGTTAAACTCAATCATCACAAAGTATTTTCTGAGAATGCTTCTGTCTAGATTTTATGCGAAGATATACCCGTTTCGAACGAAGGCCACAGAGTGGTCCAAATATCCACTTGCAGATCCTACAAAAAGAGTGTTTCAAACCTGAACTATCAAAGGAAGGTTCAACTCTGGGATTTGAATGCAAACATCACCAAGAAGTTTCTGAGAATGCTTCTGTTTAGTTTTTATGTGAAGATATTCCCGTTTCCAAAGACATCTTCGGAGAGGTCCACATATCCGCTTGCAGATTCCACAAAAAGAGAGTTTCAACACTGCTCTATCCATAGGAGGGTTCAACTCTGTGAGTTGAATGCAGTCATCACAGAGAAGTTTCTGAGAAGGCTTCTCTCCAGTTTTTATGTGACCATAATTCGTTTTCCACCACAGGCCTGAAAGCGCTCCAAATGTCCACTTGTAGACACTACGAAAAGCATGTTTCAGAACTACTCTATGAAAAGCAATGTGAAACTCTGGGAGTTGAACACAAACATCACAGAGAAGTTTCTGAGAATGCTTTCTGTTTAGCTTTTCTGTGAAGATTCTCCCGTTTCCAACGAAATCTTCAAAGAGGTCGAAATATCCACTTGCAGATTCCACAGAAAGAGTGATTGGAAACTGCTGTTTGAAAAGGAACCTTCAACTCTGTGAGTTGAATGCAATCATCACAAAGAAGTTTCTGACAATGCTTCTATCTAGCTTTTACGGGAAGATAATTCCTTTTCCACCACAGGCCTCAAAGCTCCCCAAATGTCCACTTGCACATTCTGGAAAAAGAGTGTTTCAAAGCTTCTCTCTCGAAAGGAAAGTTCAACTCTGTGAGTTGAATGCAAGCATCACAAAGAAGTTTCTGAGAATGCTACTGTCTAGCTTTTATATGAAGGTATTTCCTTTACTACCATAGGCCTCAAAGCGGTCCATATCTCCACTTGCAGATTCTACACAAAGAGAGTTTCCAAACTGCTCTGTCAAAGGGAATGTTCAACTCTGTGACTTGAATGCAATCATCACAAAGTAGTTTCTGAGAATGCTTCTGTTTTAGTTCTGTGCGTTTTATCCCGTTTCCAACGAAATCCTCAGAGAGGCCCAAATATCCACTTGCACATTCTACAAATAGTGTGTTTCGAAACTGCTCCATCCAAAGGAATGTTCAGCTCTGTGAGTTAAACTCAGTCGTCACCAAGAGTTTTCTGTGAATGCTTCTGTTTTAGTTCTGTGCGGTTTATCCCGTTTCCAACGAAATCCTCAGAGAGGACCAAACATCCACTTGCAGTTTCTACAAAAAGAGTGTTTCAAAGCTGCACTATCAAAGACAGGTTCAGCACTGTGAGTTGAATGCAAACATCACGAAGAGGGCTCTGAGAATGCTTCTGTTTAGTTCTGTGCGATTTATCCCCTTTCCAACGAAATCCTCAGAGAGGACCAAATATCCACTTGCAGTTTCTACAAGAAGAGTGTTTCAAAGCTGAACTATCAAAGAAAGGTTCAGCACTGTGAGTTGAATGCAAACATCACGAAGAGGGTTCTGAGAATGCTTCTGTCTTCTTTCTATAGGAAGTTATTTCCTTTACTATGGTAGGCCTCAAAGAAGTGCAATTATCCCCTTGCAGTTTCTACAAAAAGAGTGTTTCAAACCTGAACTATCAAAGAAAGGTTCCACACTGTGAGTTGAATGCAGACATCACGAAGAAGGTTCTGAGAATGCTTCTGTTTAGTCAGCTGAAATTATCCCGTTTCCAACGAATTCCTCAGAGAGGTCCAAATATGCACTTGCAGATTCTGCAGAAGGTGTGTTTCTAAACTGCTACATCGCAAGGAATGTTCAGCTCTGTGAGTTCCACTCAATCATCCCAAAGAATTTTCTGAGAAAGCTTCTGTCTAGATGTCATGTGAAGATATACCCGTTTCGAACGAAGGACACAGAGTGGTCCAAATATCCACTTGTAGATCCTGCAAAAAGAGTGTTTCAAACGTGAACTTTGAAAGGAAATTTCAACTCTGGGATTTGAATGCAAACATCACAAAGAAGATTCTGAGACTGCTTCTGTATAGTTTTTATGTGAAGATGATTCCGTTTCCAACGAAATCTTCAAAGAGGTCCACATGTCCCCTTGCGGATGCCACAGAAAGAGAGTTTCAAAACTGCGCTCTCAAAAGGAGTGTTCAACTCCGTGAGTTGAATGCAGTCATCACAGAGAAGCTTCTGAGAATGCTTCTATCTAGTATTTAGGTGAAGATATTTCCTTTTCCACCACAAACCACAAAGCCCTCCAAACGTCCACTTGCAGATTCTAGAAAAAGAGTGTTTCATAGCTGCTCTTTCCAAAGGAAAGTTCAACTCTGGGAGTTGAATACAAACATCACCAAAAAGTTCCTGAGAATGCATCTGTCTAGTTTTTCTATGAAGCTATTCCCTTTACTACCATAGGCCTCAAAGCGCTCCAAATCTCCACTTGCACATTCCACAACAAGAGTGTTTCCAAACTGCTCTATCAATAGGAATGTTCAACTCTGTGAGGTGAATGCAATCATCACAAAGCAGTTTCTGAGAATGCTTCCGTTTAGTTAGGTGCAGTTATCCCGTTTCCAACGAAATCCTCAGAGAGGTCCAAATATCCACTTGTAGATTCTACAAAAAGTGTGTCTCAAACCTGCTCCATCCAAAGGAATGGTCAGCTCTGTGATTTAAACTCAATCATCACAAAGTATTTTCTGAGAATGCTTCTGTCTAGATTTTATGCGAAGATATACCCGTTTCGAACGAAGGCCACAGAGTGGTCCAAATAGCCACTTGCAGATCCTACAGAAAGAGTGTTTCAAACCTGAACTATCAAAGGAAGGTTCAACTCTGGGATTTGAATGCAAACATCACCAAGAAGTTTCTGAGAATGCTTCTGTTTAGTTTTTATGTGAAGATATTCCCGTTTCCAAAGACATCTTCGGAGAGGTCCACATATCCACTTGCAGATTCCACAAAAAGAGAGTTTCAACACTGCTCTATCCATAGGAGGGTTCAACTCTGTGAGTTGAATGCAATCATCACAGAGAAGTTTCTGAGAAGGCTTCTCTCCAGTTTTTATGTGACCATAATTCGTTTTCCACCACAGGCCTGAAAGCGCTCCAAATGTCCACTTGCAGACACTACGAAAAGCATGTTTCAGAACTACTCTATGAAAAGCAACGTGAAACTCTGGGAGTTGAACACAAACATCACAGAGAAGTTTCTGAGAATGCTTCTGTTTTAGTTCTGTGCGTTTTATCCCGTTTCCAACGAAATCCTCAGAGAGGCCCAAATATCCACTTGCAGATTCCACAGAAAGAGTGATTGGAAACTGCTGTTTGAAAAGGAACCTTCAACTCTGTGAGTTGAATGCAATCATCACAAAGAAGTTTCTGACAATGCTTCTATCTAGCTTTTACGGGAAGATAATTCCTTTTCCACCACAGGCCTCAAAGCCCTCCAAATGTCCACTTGCAGATTCTGGAAAAAGAGTGTTTCAAAGCTTCTCTCTCGAAAGGAAAGTTCAACTCTGTGAGTTGAATGCAAGCATCACAAAGAAGTTTCTGAGGATGCTACTGTCTAGCTTTTATATGAAGCTATTTCCTTTACTACCATAGGCCTCAAAGCGGTCCATATCTCCACTTGCAGATTCTACACAAAGAGAGTTTCCAAACTGCTCTGTCAAAGGGAATGTTCAACTCTGTGACTTGAATGCAATCATCACAAAGTAGTTTCTGAGAATGCTTCTGTTTAGTTCTGTGCGGTTTATCCCGTTTCCAACGAAATCCTCAGAGAGGCCCAAATATCCACTTGCACATTCTACAAATAGTGTGTTTCGAAACTGCTCCATCCAAAGGAATGTTCAGCTCTGTGAGTTAAACTCAGTCGTCACCAAGAGTTTTCTGTGAATGCTTCTGTTTAGTTCTGTGCGGTTTATCCCGTTTCCAACGAAATCCTCAGAGAGGTCCAAATATCTACTTGCAGTTTCTACAGAAAGACCGTTTCAAACCTGAACTATCAAAGAAAGGTTCAACACTGTGAGTTGAATGCAAACATCACGAAGAAGGTTCTGAGAATGCTTCTGTTTAGTTCTGTGCGGTTTATCCCGTTTCCAACGAAATCCTCAGAGAGGACCAAATATCCACTTGCAGTTTCTACAAGAAGAGTGTTTCAAAGCTGAACTATCAAAGAAAGGTTCAGCACTGTGAGTTGAATGCAAACATCACGAAGAGGGTTCTGAGAATGCTCTGTCTTCTTTCTATAGGAAGTTATTTCCTTTACTACGGTAGGCCTCAAAGAAGTGCAATTATCCCCTTGCAGTTTCTACAAAAAGAGTGTTTCAAACCTGAACTATCAAAGAAAGGTTCCACACTGTGAGTTGAATGCAGACATCACGAAGAAGGTTCTGAGAATGCTTCTGTTTAGTCAGCTGAAATTATCCCGTTTCCAACGAATTCCTCAGAGAGGTCCAAATATGCACTTGCAGATTCTGCAGAAAGTGTGTTTCTAAACTGCTACATCGCAAGGAATGTTCAGCTCTGTGAGTTCCACTCAATCATCCCAAAGAATTTTCTGAGAAAGCTTCTGTCTAGATGTCGTGTGAAGATATACCCGTTTCGAACGAAGGACACAGAGTGGTCCAAATATCCACTTGTAGATCCTGCAAAAAGAGTGTTTCAAACGTGAACTTTGAAAGGAAAGTTCAACTCTGGGATTTGAATGCAAACATCACAAAGAAGATTCTGAGACTGCTTCTGTATAGTTTTTATGTGAAGATGATTCCGTTTCCAACGAAATCTTCAAAGAGGTCTACATGTCCCCTTGCAGATGCCACAGAAAGAGAGTTTCAAAACTGCGCTCTCAAAAGGAGTGTTCAACTCCGTGAGTTGAATGCAGTCATCACAGAGAAGCTTCTGAGAATGCTTCTATCTAGTATTTAGGTGAAGATATTTCCTTTTCCACCACAAACCACAAAGCCCTCCAAACGTTCACTTGCAGATTCTAGAAAAAGAGTGTTTCATAGCTGCTCTTTCCAAAGGAAAGTTCAACTCTGGGAGTTGAATACAAACATCACCAAAAAGTTCCTGAGAATGCATCTGTCTAGTTTTTCTATGAAGCTATTCCCTTTACTACCATAGGCCTCAAAGCGCTCCAAATCTCCACTTGCACATTCCACAACAAGAGTGTTTCCAAACTGCTCTATCAATAGGAATGTTCAACTCTGTGAGGTGAATGCAATCATCACAAAGCAGTTTCTGAGAATGCTTCCGTTTAGTTAGGTGCAGTTATCCCGTTTCCAACGAAATCCTCAGAGAGGTCCAAATATCCACTTGTAGATTCTACAAAAAGTGTGTCTCAAACCTGCTCCATCCAAAGGAATGGTCAGCTCTGTGATTTAAACTCAATCATCACAAAGTATTTTCTGAGAATGCTTCTGTCTAGATTTTATGCGAAGATATACCCGTTTCGAACGAAGGCCACAGAGTGGTCCAAATAGCCACTTGCAGATCCTACAGAAAGAGTGTTTCAAACCTGAACTATCAAAGGAAGGTTCAACTCTGGGATTTGAATGCAAACATCACCAAGAAGTTTCTGAGAATGCTTCTGTTTAGTTTTTATGTGAAGATATTCCCGTTTCCAAAGACATCTTCGGAGAGGTCCACATATCCACTTGCAGATTCCACAAAAAGAGAGTTTCAACACTGCTCTATCCATAGGAGGGTTCAACTCTGTGAGTTGAATGCAATCATCACAGAGAAGTTTCTGAGAAGGCTTCTCTCCAGTTTTTATGTGACCATAATTCGTTTTCCACCACAGGCCTGAAAGCGCTCCAAATGTCCACTTGCAGACACTACGAAAAGCATGTTTCAGAACTACTCTATGAAAAGCAACGTGAAACTCTGGGAGTTGAACACAAACATCACAGAGAAGTTTCTGAGAATGCTTCTGTTTTAGTTCTGTGCGTTTTATCCCGTTTCCAACGAAATCCTCAGAGAGGCCCAAATATCCACTTGCAGATTCCACAGAAAGAGTGATTGGAAACTGCTGTTTGAAAAGGAACCTTCAACTCTGTGAGTTGAATGCAATCATCACAAAGAAGTTTCTGACAACGCTTCTGTTTTAGTTCTGTGCGGTTTATCCCGTTTCCAACGAAATCCTCAGAGAGGACCAAACATCCACTTGAAGTTTCTACAAAAAGAGTGTTTCAAAGCTGCACTATCAAAGAAAGGTTCAGCACTGTGAGTTGAATGCAAACATCACGAAGAGGGCTCTGAGAATTCTTCTGTTTAGTTCTGTGCGGTTTATCCCGTTTCCAACGAAATCCTCAGAGAGGACCAAATATCCACTTGCAGTTTCTACAAGAAGAGTGTTTCAAAGCTGAACTATCAAAGAAAGGTTCAGCACTGTGAGTTGAATGCAAACATCACGAAGAGGGTTCTGAGAATGCTTCTGTCTTCTTTCTATAGGAAGTTATTTCCTTTACTACGGTAGGCCTCAAAGAAGTGCAATTATCCCCTTGCAGTTTCTACAAAAAGAGTGTTTCAAACCTGAACTATCAAAGAAAGGTTCCACACTGTGAGTTGAATGCAGACATCACGAAGAAGGTTCTGAGAATGCTTCTGTTTAGTCAGCTGAAATTATCCCGTTTCCAACGAATTCCTCAGAGAGGTCCAAATATGCACTTGCAGATTCTGCAGAAAGTGTGTTTCTAAACTGCTACATCGCAAGGAATGTTCAGCTCTGTGAGTTCCACTCAATCATCCCAAAGAATTTTCTGAGAAAGCTTCTGTCTAGATGTCGTGTGAAGATATACCCGTTTCGAACGAAGGACACAGAGTGGTCCAAATATCCACTTGTAGATCCTGCAAAAAGAGTGTTTCAAACGTGAACTTTGAAAGGAAAGTTCAACTCTGGGATTTGAATGCAAACATCACAAAGAAGATTCTGAGACTGCTTCTGTATAGTTTTTATGTGAAGATGATTCCGTTTCCAACGAAATCTTCAAAGAGGTCTACATGTCCCCTTGCAGATGCCACAGAAAGAGAGTTTCAAAACTGCGCTCTCAAAAGGAGTGTTCAACTCCGTGAGTTGAATGCAGTCATCACAGAGAAGCTTCTGAGAATGCTTCTATCTAGTATTTAGGTGAAGATATTTCCTTTTCCACCACAAACCACAAAGCCCTCCAAACGTCCACTTGCAGATTCTAGAAAAAGAGTGTTTCATAGCTGCTCTTTCCAAAGGAAAGTTCAACTCTGGGAGTTGAATACAAACATCACCAAAAAGTTCCTGAGAATGCATCTGTCTAGTTTTTCTATGAAGCTATTCCCTTTACTACCATAGGCCTCAAAGCGCTCCAAATCTCCACTTGCACATTCCACAACAAGAGTGTTTCCAAACTGCTCTATCAATAGGAATGTTCAACTCTGTGAGGTGAATGCAATCATCACAAAGCAGTTTCTGAGAATGCCTCCGTTTAGTTAGGTGCAGTTATCCCGTTTCCAACGAAATCCTCAGAGAGGTCCAAATATCCACTTGTAGATTCTACAAAAAGTGTGTCTCAAACCTGCTCCATCCAAAGGAATGGTCAGCTCTGTGATTTAAACTCAATCATCACAAAGTATTTTCTGAGAATGCTTCTGTCTAGATTTTATGCGAAGATATACCCGTTTCGAACGAAGGCCACAGAGTGGTCCAAATAGCCACTTGCAGATCCTACAGAAAGAGTGTTTCAAACCTGAACTATCAAAGGAAGGTTCAACTCTGGGATTTGAATGCAAACATCACCAAGAAGTTTCTGAGAATGCTTCTGTTTAGTTTTTATGTGAAGATATTCCCGTTTCCAAAGACATCTTCGGAGAGGTCCACATATCCACTTGCAGATTCCACAAAAAGAGAGTTTCAACACTGCTCTATCCATAGGAGGGTTCAACTCTGTGAGTTGAATGCAATCATCACAGAGAAGTTTCTGAGAAGGCTTCTCTCCAGTTTTTATGTGACCATAATTCGTTTTCCACCACAGGCCTGAAAGCGCTCCAAATGTCCACTTGCAGACACTACGAAAAGCATGTTTCAGAACTACTCTATGAAAAGCAACGTGAAACTCTGGGAGTTGAACACAAACATCACAGAGAAGTTTCTGAGAATGCTTCTGTTTAGCTTTTCTGTGAAGATTCTCCCGTTTCCAATGAAATCTTCAAAGAGGTCAAAATATCCACTTGCAGATTCCACAGAAAGAGTGATTGGAAACTGCTGTTTGAAAAGGAACCTTCAACTCTGTGAGTTGAATGCAATCATCACAAAGAAGTTTCTGACAATGCTTCTATCTAGCTTTTACGGGAAGATAATTCCTTTTCCACCACAGGCCTCAAAGCTCCCCAAATGTCCACTTGCACATTCTGGAAAAAGAGTGTTTCAAAGCTTCTCTCTCGAAAGGAAAGTTCAACTCTGTGAGTTGAATGCAAGCATCACAAAGAAGTTTCTGAGAATGCTACCGTCTAGCTTTTATATGAAGCTATTTCCTTTACTACCATAGGCCTCAAAGCGGTCCATATCTCCACTTGCAGATTCTACACAAAAAGAGTTTCCAAACTGCTCTGTCAAAGGGAATGTTCAACTCTGTGACTTGAATGCAATCATCACAAAGTAGTTTACTGAGAATGCTTCTGTTTAGTTCTGTGCGGTTTATCCCGTTTCCAACGAAATCCTCAGTGAGGCCCAAATATCCACTTGCACATTCTACAAATAGTGTGTTTCGAAACTGCTCCATCCAAAGGAATGTTCAGCTCTGTGAGTTAAACTCAGTCGTCACCAAGAGTTTTCTGTGAATGCTTCTGTTTTAGTTCTGTGCGGGTTATCCCGTTTCCAACGAAATCCTCAGAGAGGTCCAAATATCTACTTGCAGTTTCTACAGAAAGACCGTTTCAAACCTGAACTATCAAAGAAAGGTTCAACACTGTGAGTTGAATGCAAACATCACGAAGAAGGTTCTGAGAATGCTTCTGTTTAGTTCTGTGCGGTTTATCCCGTTTCCAACGAAATCCTCAGAGAGGTCCAAATATCCACTTGCAGTTTCTACAAGAAGAGTGTTTCAAAGCTGAACTATCAAAGAAAGGTTCAGCACTGTGAGTTGAATGCAAACATCACGAAGAGGGTTCTGAGAATGCTTCTGTCTTCTTTCTATAGGAAGTTATTTCCTTTACTACGGTAGGCCTCAAAGAAGTGCAATTATCCCCTTGCAGTTTCTACAAAAAGAGTGTTTCAAACCTGAACTATCAAAGAAAGGTTCCACACTGTGAGTTGAATGCAGACATCACGAAGAAGGTTCTGAGAATGCTTCTGTTTAGTCAGCTGAAATTATCCCGTTTCCAACGAATTCCTCAGAGAGGTCCAAATATGCACTTGCAGATTCTGCAGAAAGTGTGTTTCTAAACTGCTACATCGCAAGGAATGTTCAGCTCTGTGAGTTCCACTCAATCATCCCAAAGAATTTTCTGAGAAAGCTTCTGTCTAGATGTCGTGTGAAGATATACCCGTTTCAAACGAAGGACACAGAGTGGTCCAAATATCCACTTGTAGATCCTGCAAAAAGAGTGTTTCAAACGTGAACTTTGAAAGGAAAGTTCAACTCTGGGATTTGAATGCTAACATCACAAAGAAGATTCTGAGACTGCTTCTGTATAGTTTTTATGTGAAGATGATTCCGTTTCCAACGAAATCTTCAAAGAGGTCTACATGTCCCCTTGCAGATGCCACAGAAAGAGAGTTTCAAAACTGCGCTCTCAAAAGGAGTGTTCAACTCCGTGAGTTGAATGCAGTCATCACAGAGAAGCTTCTGAGAATGCTTCTATCTAGTATTTAGGTGAAGATATTTCCTTTTCCACCACAAACCACAAAGCCCTCCAAACGTCCACTTGCAGATTCTAGAAAAAGAGTGTTTCATAGCTGCTCTTTCCAAAGGAAAGTTCAACTCTGGGAGTTGAATACAAACATCACCAAAAAGTTCCTGAGAATGCATCTGTCTAGTTTTTCTATGAAGCTATTCCCTTTACTACCACAGGCCTCAAAGCGCTCCAAATCTCCACTTGCACATTCCACAACAAGAGTGTTTCCAAACTGCTCTATCAATAGGAATGTTCAACTCTGTGAGGTGAATGCAATCATCACAAAGCAGTTTCTGAGAATGCTTCCGTTTAGTTAGGTGCAGTTATCCCGTTTCCAACGAAATCCTCAGAGAGGTCCAAATATCCACTTGTAGATTCTACAAAAAGTGTGTCTCAAACCTGCTCCATCCAAAGGAATGGTCAGCTCTGTGATTTAAACTCAATCATCACAAAGTATTTTCTGAGAATGCTTCTGTCTAGATTTTATGCGAAGATATACCCGTTTCGAACGAAGGCCACAGAGTGGTCCAAATAGCCACTTGCAGATCCTACAGAAAGAGTGTTTCAAACCTGAACTATCAAAGGAAGGTTCAACTCTGGGATTTGAATGCAAACATCACCAAGAAGTTTCTGAGAATGCTTCTGTTTAGTTTTTATGTGAAGATATTCCCGTTTCCAAAGACATCTTCGGAGAGGTCCACATATCCACTTGCAGATTCCACAAAAAGAGAGTTTCAACACTGCTCTATCCATAGGAGGGTTCAACTCTGTGAGTTGAATGCAATCATCACAGAGAAGTTTCTGAGAAGGCTTCTCTCCAGTTTTTATGTGACCATAATTCGTTTTCCACCACAGGCCTGAAAGCGCTCCAAATGTCCACTTGCAGACACTACGAAAAGCATGTTTCAGAACTACTCTATGAAAAGCAACGTGAAACTCTGGGAGTTGAACACAAACATCACAGAGAAGTTTCTGAGAATGCTTCTGTTTTAGTTCTGTGCGTTTTATCCCGTTTCCAACGAAATCCTCAGAGAGGCCCAAATATCCACTTGCAGATTCCACAGAAAGAGTGATTGGAAACTGCTGTTTGAAAAGGAACCTTCAACTCTGTGAGTTGAATGCAATCATCACAAAGAAGTTTCTGACAATGCTTCTGTTTTAGTTCTGTGCGGTTTATCCCGTTTCCAACGAAATCCTCAGAGAGGACCAAACATCCACTTGCAGTTTCTACAAAAAGAGTGTTTCAAAGCTGCACTATCAAAGAAAGGTTCAGCACTGTGAGTTGAATGCAAACATCACGAAGAGGGCTCTGAGAATTCTTCTGTTTAGTTCTGTGCGGTTTATCCCGTTTCCAACGAAATCCTCAGAGAGGACCAAATATCCACTTGCAGTTTCTACAAGAAGAGTGTTTCAAAGCTGAACTATCAAAGAAAGGTTCAGCACTGTGAGTTGAATGCAAACATCACGAAGAGGGTTCTGAGAATGCTTCTGTCTTCTTTCTATAGGAAGTTATTTCCTTTACTACGGTAGGCCTCAAAGAAGTGCAATTATCCCCTTGCAGTTTCTACAAAAAGAGTGTTTCAAACCTGAACTATCAAAGAAAGGTTCCACACTGTGAGTTGAATGCAGACATCACGAAGAAGGTTCTGAGAATGCTTCTGTTTAGTCAGCTGAAATTATCCCGTTTCCAACGAATTCCTCAGAGAGGTCCAAATATGCACTTGCAGATTCTGCAGAAAGTGTGTTTCTAAACTGCTACATCGCAAGGAATGTTCAGCTCTGTGAGTTCCACTCAATCATCCCAAAGAATTTTCTGAGAAAGCTTCTGCCTAGATGTCATGTGAAGATATACCCGTTTCGAACGAAGGACACAGAGTGGTCCAAATATCCACTTGTAGATCCTGCAAAAAGAGTGTTTCAAACGTGAACTTTGAAAGGAAAGTTCAACTCTGGGATTTGAATGCAAACATCACAAAGAAGATTCTGAGACTGCTTCTGTATAGATTTTATGTGAAGATGATTCCGTTTCCAACGAAATCTTCAAAGAGGTCTACATGTCCCCTTGCGGATGCCACAGAAAGAGAGTTTCAAAACTGCGCTCTCAAGAGGAGTGTTCAACTCCGTGAGTTGAATGCAGTCATCACAGAGAAGCTTCTGAGAATGCTTCTCTCTAGTATTTAGGTGAAGATATTTCCTTTTCCACCACAAACCACAAAGCCCTCCAAACGTCCACTTGCAGATTCTAGAAAAAGAGTGTTTCATAGCTGCTCTTTCCAAAGGAAAGTTCAACTCTGGGAGTTGAATACAAACATCACCAAAAAGTTCCTGAGAATGCATCTGTCTAGTTTTTCTATGAAGCTATTCCCTTTACTACCATAGGCCTCAAAGCGCTCCAAATCTCCACTTGCACATTCCACAACAAGAGTGTTTCCAACCTGCTCTATCAATAGGAATGTTCAACTCTGTGAGGTGAATGCAATCATCACAAAGCAGTTTCTGAGAATGCTTCCGTTTAGTTAGGTGCAGTTATCCCGTTTCCAACGAAATCCTCAGAGAGGTCCAAATATCCACTTGTAGATTCTACAAAAAGTGTGTCTCAAACCTGCTCCATCCAAAGGAATGTTCAGCTCTGTGAGTTCAACTCAATCATCACAAAGTATTTTCTGAGAATGCTTCTGTCTAGATTTTATGCGAAGATGTACCCGTTTCGAACGAAGGCCACAGAGTGGTCCAAATATCCACTTGCAGATCCTACAAAAAGAGTGTTTCAAACCTGAACTCTCAAAGGAAGGTTCAACTCTGGGATTTGAATGCAAACATCACCAAGAAGTTTCTGAGAATGCTTCTGTTTAGTTTTTATGTGAAGATATTCCCGTTTCCAAAGACATCTTCGGAGAGGTCCACATATCCGCTTGCAGATTCCACAAAAAGAGAGTTTCAACACTGCTCTATCCATAGGAGGGTTCAACTCTGTGAGTTGAATGCAATCATCACAGAGAAGTTTCTGAGAAGGCTTCTCTCCAGTTTTTATGTGACCATAATTCGTTTTCCACCACAGGCCTGAAAGCGCTCCAAATGTCCACTTGCAGACACTACGAAAAGCATGTTTCAGAACTACTCTACGAGAAGCAATGTGAAACTCTGGGAGTTGAACACAAACATCACAGAGAGGTTTCTGAGAATGCTTCTGTTTAGCTTTTCTGTGAAGATTCTCCCGTTTCCAACGAAATCTTCAAAGAGGTCCAAATATCCACTTGCAGATTCCACAGAAAGTGTGATTGGAAACTGCTCTTTGAAAAGGAACCTTCAACTCTGTGACTTGAATGCAATCATCACAAAGAAGTTTCTGACAATGCTTCTATCTAGCTTTTACGGGAAGATAATTCCTTTTCCACCACAGGCCTCAAAGCCCTCCAAATGTCCACTTGCAGATTCTGGAAAAAGAGTGTTTCAAAGCTTCTCTCTCGAAAGGAAAGTTCAACTCTGTGAGTTGAATGCAAGCATCACAAAGAAGTTTCTGAGAATGCTTACGGTCTGGTTTTATATGAAGCTATTTCCTTTACTACCATAGGCCTCAAAGCGGTCCATATCTCCACTTGCAGATTCTACACAAAGAGAGTTTCCAAACTGCTCTGTCAAAGGGAATGTTCAACTCTGTGACTTGAATGCAATCATCACAAAGTAGTTTCTGAGAATGCTTCTGTTTAGTTCTGTGCGGTTTATCCCGTTTCCAACGAAATCCTCAGAGAGGCCCACATATCCACTTGCACATTCTACAAATAGTGTGTTTTGAAACTGCTCCATCCAAAGGAATGTTCAGCTCTGTGAGTTAAACTCAGTCGTCACCAAGAGTTTTCTGTGAATGCTTCTGTTTTAGTTCTGTGCGGGTTATCCCGTTTCCAACGAAATCCTCAGAGAGGTCCAAATATCTACTTGCAGTTTCTACAGAAAGACCGTTTCAAACCTGAACTATCAAAGAAAGGTTCAACACTGTGAGTTGAATGCAAACATCACGAAGAAGGTTCTGAGAATGCTTCTGTTTAGTTCTGTGCGGTTTATCCCGTTTCCAACGAAATCCTCAGAGAGGACCAAATATCCACTTGCAGTTTCTACAAGAAGAGTGTTTCAAAGCTGAACTATCAAAGAAAGATTCAGCACTGTGAGTTGAATGCAAACATCACGAAGAGGGTTCTGAGAATGCTTCTGTCTTCTTTCTATAGGAAGTTATTTCCTTTACTACGGTAGGCCTCAAAGAAGTGCAATTATCCCCTTGCAGTTTCTACAAAAAGAGTGTTTCAAACCTGAACTATCAAAGAAAGGTTCCACACTGTGAGTTGAATGCAGACATCACGAAGAAGGTTCTGAGAATGCTTCTGTTTAGTCAGCTGAAATTATCCCGTTTCCAACGAATTCCTCAGAGAGGTCCAAATATGCACTTGCAGATTCTGCAGAAAGTGTGTTTCTAAACTGCTACATCGCAAGGAATGTTCAGCTCTGTGAGTTCCACTCAATCATCCCCAAGAATTTTCTGAGAAAGCTTCTGTCTAGATGTCATGTGAAGATATACCCGTTTCGAACGAAGGACACAGAGTGGTCCAAATATCCACTTGTAGATCCTGCAAAAAGAGTGTTTCAAACGTGAACTTTGAAAGGAAAGTTCAACTCTGGGATTTGAATGCAAACATCACAAAGAAGATTCTGAGACTGCTTCTGTATAGTTTTTATGTGAAGATGATTCCGTTTCCAACGAAATCTTCAAAGAGGTCTACATGTCCCCTTGCAGATGCCACAGAAAGAGAGTTTCAAAAGTGCGCTCTCAAAAGGAGTGTTCAACTCCGTGAGTTGAATGCAGTCATCACAGAGAAGCTTCTGAGAATGCTTCTATCTAGTATTTAGGTGAAGATATTTCCTTTTCCACCACAAACCACAAAGCCCTCCAAACGTCCACTTGCAGATTCTAGAAAAAGAGTGTTTCATAGCTGCTCTTTCCAAAGGAAAGTTCAACTCTGGGAGTTGAATACAAACATCACCAAAAAGTTCCTGAGAATGCATCTGTCTAGTTTTTCTATGAAGCTATTCCCTTTACTACCATAGGCCTCAAAGCGCTCCAAATCTCCACTTGCACATTCCACAAGAAGAGTGTTTCCAAACTGCTCTATCAATAGGAATGTTCAACTCTGTGAGGTGAATGCAATCATCACAAAGCAGTTTCTGAGAATGCTTCCGTTTAGTTAGGTGCAGTTATCCCGTTTCCAACGAAATCCTCAGAGAGGTCCAAATATCCACTTGTAGATTCTACAAAAAGTGTGTCTCAAACCTGCTCCATCCAAAGGAATGTTCAGCTCTGTGAGTTCAACTCAATCATCACAAAGTATTTTCTGAGAATGCTTCTGTCTAGATTTTATGCGAAGATATACCCGTTTCGAACGAAGGCCACAGAGTGGTCCAAATATCCACTTGCAGATCCTACAAAAAGAGTGTTTCAAACCTGAACTATCAAAGGAAGGTTCAACTCTGGGATTTGAATGCAAACATCACCAAGAAGTTTCTGAGAATGCTTCTGTTTAGTTTTTATGTGAAGATATTCCCGTTTCCAAAGACATCTTCGGAGAGGTCCACATATCCACTTGCAGATTCCACAAAAAGAGAGTTTCAACACTGCTCTATCCATAGGGAGGGTTCAACTCTGTGAGTTGAATGCAATCATCACAGAGAAGTTTCTGAGAAGGCTTCTCTCCAGTTTTTATGTGACCATAATTCGTTTTCCACCACAGGCCTGAAAGCGCTCCAAATGTCCACTTGTAGACACTACGAAAAGCATGTTTCAGAACTACTCTATGAAAAGCAATGTGAAACTCTGGGAGTTGAACACAAACATCACAGAGAAGTTTCTGAGAATGCTTCTGTTTAGCTTTCCTGTGAAGATTCTCCCGTTTCCAACGAAATCTTCAAAATAGGTCCAAATATCCACTTGCAGATTCCACAGAAAGAGTGATTGGAAACTGCTCTTTGAAAAGGAACCTTCAACTCTGTGAGTTGAATGCAATCATCACAAAGAAGTTTCTGACAATGCTTCTATCTAGCTTTTACGGGAAGATAATTCCTTTTCCACCACAGGCCTCAAAGCCCTCCAAATGTCCACTTGCAGATTCTGGAAAAAGAGTGTTTCAAAGCTTCTCTCTCGAAAGGAAATTTCAACTCTGTGAGTTGAATGCAAGCATCACAAAGAAGTTTCTGAGAATGCTACTGTCTAGCTTTTATATGAAGCTATTTCCTTTACTACCATAGGCCTCAAAGCGGTCCATATCTCCACTTGCAGATTCTACACAAAGAGAGTTTCCAAACTGCTCTGTCAAAGGGAATGTTCAACTCTGTGACTTGAATGCAATCATCACAAAGTAGTTTCTGAGAATGCTTCTGTTTTAGTTCTGTGCGTTTTATCCCGTTTCCAATGAAATCCTCAGAGAGGCCCAAATATCCACTTGCAGATTCTACAAATAGTGTGTTTCGAAACTGCTCCATCCAAAGGAATGTTCAGCTCTGTGAGTTAAACTCAGTCGTCACCAAGAGTTTTCTGTGAATGCTTCTGTTTTAGTTCTGTGCGGTTTATCCCGTTTCCAACGAAATCCTCAGAGAGGACCAAATATCCACTTGCAGTTTCTACAAAAAGAGTGTTTCAAAGCTGCACTATCAAAGAAAGGTTCAGCACTGTGAGTTGAATGCAAACATCACGAAGAGGGCTCTGAGAATGCTTCTGTTTAGTTCTGTGCGGTTTATCCCGTTTCCAACGAAATCCTCAGAGAGGACCAAATATCCACTTGCAGTTTCTACAAGAAGAGTGTTTCAAAGCTGAACTATCAAAGAAAGGTTCAGCACTGTGAGTTGAATGCAAACATCACGAAGAGGGTTCTGAGAATGCTTCTGTCTTCTTTCTATAGGAAGTTATTTCCTTTACTACGGTAGGCCTCAAAGAAGTGCAATTATCCCCTTGCAGTTTCTACAAAAAGAGTGTTTCAAACCTGAACTATCAAAGAAAGGTTCCACACTGTGAGTTGAATGCAGACATCACGAAGAAGGTTCTGAGAATGCTTCTGTTTAGTCAGCTGAAATTATCCCGTTTCCAACGAATTCCTCAGAGAGGTCCAAATATGCACTTGCAGATTCTGCAGAAAGTGTGTTTCTAAACTGCTACATCGCAAGGAATGTTCAGCTCTGTGAGTTCCACTCAATCATCCCAAAGAATTTTCTGAGAAAGCTTCTGTCTAGATGTCGTGTGAAGATATACCCGTTTCGAACGAAGGACACAGAGTGGTCCAAATATCCACTTGTAGATCCTGCAAAAAGAGTGTTTCAAACGTGAACTTTGAAAGGAAAGTTCAACTCTGGGATTTGAATGCAAACATCACAAAGAAGATTCTGAGACTGCTTCTGTATAGTTTTTATGTGAAGATGATTCCGTTTCCAACGAAATCTTCAAAGAGGTCTACATGTCCCCTTGCAGATGCCACAGAAAGAGAGTTTCAAAACTGCGCTCTCAAAAGGAGTGTTCAACTCCGTGAGTTGAATGCAGTCATCACAGAGAAGCTTCTGAGAATGCTTCTATCTAGTATTTAGGTGAAGATATTTCCTTTTCCACCACAAACCACAAAGCCCTCCAAACGTCCACTTGCAGATTCTAGAAAAAGAGTGTTTCATAGCTGCTCTTTCCAAAGGAAAGTTCAACTCTGGGAGTTGAATACAAACATCACCAAAAAGTTCCTGAGAATGCATCTGTCTAGTTTTTCTATGAAGCTATTCCCTTTACTACCATAGGCCTCAAAGCGCTCCAAATCTCCACTTGCACATTCCACAACAAGAGTGTTTCCAAACTGCTCTATCAATAGGAATGTTCAACTCTGGTGAGGTGAATGCAATCATCACAAAGCAGTTTCTGAGAATGCTTCCGTTTAGTTAGGTGCAGTTATCCCGTTTCCAACGAAATCCTCAGAGAGGTCCAAATATCCACTTGTAGATTCTACAAAAAGTGTGTCTCAAACCTGCTCCATCCAAAGGAATGGTCAGCTCTGTGATTTAAACTCAATCATCACAAAGTATTTTCTGAGAATGCTTCTGTCTAGATTTTATGCGAAGATATACCCGTTTCGAACGAAGGGCCACAGAGTGGTCCAAATAGCCACTTGCAGATCCTACAGAAAGAGTGTTTCAAACCTGAACTATCAAAGGAAGGTTCAACTCTGGGATTTGAATGCAAACATCACCAAGAAGTTTCTGAGAATGCTTCTGTTTAGTTTTTATGTGAAGATATTCCCGTTTCCAAAGACATCTTCGGAGAGGTCCACATATCCACTTGCAGATTCCACAAAAAGAGAGTTTCAACACTGCTCTATCCATAGGAGGGTTCAACTCTGTGAGTTGAATGCAATCATCACAGAGAAGTTTCTGAGAAGGCTTCTCTCCAGTTTTTATGTGACCATAATTCGTTTTCCACCACAGGCCTGAAAGCGCTCCAAATGTCCACTTGCAGACACTACGAAAAGCATGTTTCAGAACTACTCTATGAAAAGCAACGTGAAACTCTGGGAGTTGAACACAAACATCACAGAGAAGTTTCTGAGAATGCTTCTGTTTTAGTTCTGTGCGTTTTATCCCGTTTCCAACGAAATCCTCAGAGAGGCCCAAATATCCACTTGCAGATTCCACAGAAAGAGTGATTGGAAACTGCTGTTTGAAAAGGAACCTTCAACTCTGTGAGTTGAATGCAATCATCACAAAGAAGTTTCTGACAATGCTTCTATCTAGCTTTTACGGGAAGATAATTCCTTTTCCACCACAGGCCTCAAAGCTCCCCAAATGTCCACTTGCACATTCTGGAAAAAGAGTGTTTCAAAGCTTCTCTCTCGAAAGGAAAGTTCAACTACTGTGAGTTGAATGCAAGCATCACAAAGAAGTTTCTGAGAATGCTACTGTCTAGCTTTTATATGAAGCTATTTCCTTTACTACCATAGGCCTCAAAGCGGTCCATATCTCCACTTGCAGATTCTACACAAAGTGAGTTTCCAAACTGCTCTGTCAAAGGGAATGTTCAACTCTGTGACTTGAATGCAATCATCACAAAGTAGTTTCTGAGAATGCTCTGTTTAGTTCTGTGCGGTTTATCCCGTTTCCAACGAAATCCTCAGAGAGGCCCAAGTATCCGCTTGCAGATCCTACAGATAGTGTGTTTCCAAACTGCTCCATCCAAAGGAATGTTCAGCCCTGTGAGTTAAACTCAGTCGTCACAAAGAGTTTTCTGAGAATGCTGTCTGTTTTAGTTCTGTGCGGGTTATCCCGTTTCCAACGAAATCCTCAGAGAGGTCCAAATATCTACTTGCAGTTTCTACAGAAAGACCGTTTCAAACCTGAACTATCAAAGAAAGGTTCAACACTGTGAGTTGAATGCAAACATCACGAAGAAGTTCTGAGAATGCTTCTGTTTAGTTCTGTGCAGTTTATCCCGTTTCCAACGAAATCCTCAGAGAGGACCAAATATCCACTTGCAGTTTCTACAAAAAGAGTGTTTCAAAGCTGAACTATCAAAGAAAGGTTCAGCACTGTGAGTTGAATGCAAACATCACGAAGAGGGTTCTGAGAATGCTTCTGTCTTCTTTTTATAGGAAGTTATTTCCTTTACTACGGTACTCCTCAAAGAGTGCAATTATCCCCTTGCAGTTTCTACAAAAAGAGTGTTTCAAACCTGAACTATCAAAGAAAGGTTCCACACTGTGAGTTGAATGCAGACATCACGAAGAAGGTTCTGAGAATGCTTCTGTTTAGTCAGCTGAAATTATCCCGTTTCCAACGAATTCCTCACAGAGGTCCAAATATGCACTTGCAGATTCTGCAGAAAGTGTGTTTCTAAACTGCTACATCGCAAGGAATGCTCAGCTCTGTGAGTTCAACTCAATCATCCCAAAGAATTTTCTGAGAAAGCTTCTGTCTAGATGTCATGTGAAGATATACCCGTTTCGAACGAAGGACACAGAGTGGTCCAAATATCCACTTGTAGATCCTGCAAAAAGAGTGTTTCAAACGTGAACTTTGAAAGGAAAGTTCAACTCGGGGATTTGAATGCAAACATCACAAAGAAGATTCTGAGACTGCTTCTGTATAGTTTTTATGTGAAGATGATTCCGTTTCCAACGAAATCTTCAAAGAGGTCTACATGTCCCCTTGCAGATGCCACAGAAAGAGAGTTTCAAAACTGCGCTCTCAAAAGGAGTGTTCAACTCCGTGAGTTGAATGCAGTCATCACAGAGAAGCTTCTGAGAATGCTTCTATCTAGTATTTAGGTGAAGATATTTCCTTTTCCACCACAAACCACAAAGCCCTCCAAACGTCCACTTGCAGATTCTAGAAAAAGAGTGTTTCATAGCTGCTCTTTCCAAAGGAAAGTTCAACTCTGGGAGTTGAATACAAACATCACCAAAAAGTTCCTGAGAATGCATCTGTCTAGTTTTTCTATGAAGCTATTCCCTTTACTACCACAGGCCTCAAAGCGCTCCAAATCTCCACTTGCACATTCCACAACAAGAGTGTTTCCAAACTGCTCTATCAATAGGAATGTTCAACTCTGTGAGGTGAATGCAATCATCACAAAGCAGTTTCTGAGAATGCTTCCGTTTAGTTAGGTGCAGTTATCCCGTTTCCAACGAAATCCTCAGAGAGGTCCAAATATCCACTTGTAGATTCTACAAAAAGTGTGTCTCAAACCTGCTCCATCCAAAGGAATGGTCAGCTCTGTGATTTAAACTCAATCATCACAAAGTATTTTCTGAGAATGCTTCTCTCCAGTTTTTATGTGACCATAATTCGTTTTCCACCACAGGCCTGAAAGCGCTCCAAATGTCCACTTGCAGACACTACGAAAAGCATGTTTCAGAACTACTCTATGAAAAGCAACGTGAAACTCTGGGAGTTGAACACAAACATCACAGAGAAGTTTCTGAGAATGCTTCTGTTTTAGTTCTGTGCGTTTTATCCCGTTTCCAACGAAATCCTCAGAGAGGCCCAAATATCCACTTGCAGATTCCACAGAAAGAGTGATTGGAAACTGCTGTTTGAAAAGGAACCTTCAACTCTGTGAGTTGAATGCAATCATCACAAAGAAGTTTCTGACAATGCTTCTGTTTTAGTTCTGTGCGGTTTATCCCGTTTCCAACGAAATCCTCAGAGAGGACCAAACATCCACTTGCAGTTTCTACAAAAAGAGTGTTTCAAAGCTGCACTATCAAAGAAAGGTTCAGCACTGTGAGTTGAATGCAAACATCACGAAGAGGGCTCTGAGAATTCTTCTGTTTAGTTCTGTGCGGTTTATCCCGTTTCCAACGAAATCCTCAGAGAGGACCAAATATCCACTTGCAGTTTCTACAAGAAGAGTGTTTCAAAGCTGAACTATCAAAGAAAGGTTCAGCACTGTGAGTTGAATGCAAACATCACGAAGAGGGTTCTGAGAATGCTTCTGTCTTCTTTCTATAGGAAGTTATTTCCTTTACTACGGTAGGCCTCAAAGAAGTGCAATTATCCCCTTGCAGTTTCTACAAAAAGAGTGTTTCAAACCTGAACTATCAAAGAAAGGTTCCACACTGTGAGTTGAATGCAGACATCACGAAGAAGGTTCTGAGAATGCTTCTGTTTAGTCAGCTGAAATTATCCCGTTTCCAACGAATTCCTCAGAGAGGTCCAAATATGCACTTGCAGATTCTGCAGAAAGTGTGTTTCTAAACTGCTACATCGCAAGGGAATGTTCAGCTCTGTGAGTTCCACTCAATCATCCCAAAGAATTTTCTGAGAAAGCTTCTGTCTAGATGTCGTGTGAAGATATACCCGTTTCGAACGAAGGACACAGAGTGGTCCAAATATCCACTTGTAGATCCTGCAAAAAGAGTGTTTCAAACGTGAACTTTGAAAGGAAAGTTCAACTCTGGGATTTGAATGCAAACATCACAAAGAAGATTCTGAGACTGCTTCTGTATAGTTTTTATGTGAAGATGATTCCGTTTCCAACGAAATCTTCAGAGAGGTCTACATGTCCCCTTGCAGATGCCACAGAAAGAGAGTTTCAAAACTGCGCTCTCAAAAGGAGTGTTCAGCTCCGTGAGTTGAATGCAGTCATCACAGAGAAGCTTCTGAGAATGCTTCTATCTAGTATTTAGGTGAAGATATTTCCTTTTCCACCACAAACCACAAAGCCCTCCAAACGTCCACTTGCAGATTCTAGAAAAACAGTGTTTCATAGCTGCTCTTTCCAAAGGAAAGTTCAACTACTGGGAGTTGAATACAAACATCACCAAAAAGTTACCTGAGAATGCATCTCTCTAGTTTTTCTATGAAGCTATTCCCTTTACTACCATAGGCCTCAAAGCGCTCCAAATCTCCACTTGCACATTCCACAACAAGAGTGTTTCCAAACTGCTCTATCAATAGGAATGTTCAACTCTGTGAGGTGAATGCAATCATCACAAAGCAGTTTCTGAGAATGCTTCCGTTTAGTTAGGTGCAGTTATCCCGTTTCCAACGAAATCCTCAGAGAGGTCCAAATATCCACTTGTAGATTCTACAAAAAGTGTGTCTCAAACCTGCTCCATCCAAAGGAATGGTCAGCTCTGTGATTTAAACTCAATCATCACAAAGTATTTTCTGAGAATGCTTCTGTCTAGATTTTATGCGAAGATATACCCGTTTCGAACGAAGGCCACAGAGTGGTCCAAATAGCCACTTGCAGATCCTACAAAAAGAGTGTTTCAAACCTGAACTATCAAAGGAAGGTTCAACTCTGGGATTTGAATGCAAACATCACCAAGAAGTTTCTGAGAATGCTTCTGTTTAGTTTTTATGTGAAGATATTCCCGTTTCCAAAGACATCTTCGGAGAGGTCCACATATCCACTTGCAGATTCCACAAAAAGAGAGTTTCAACACTGCTCTATCCATAGGAGGGTTCAACTCTGTGAGTTGAATGCAATCATCACAGAGAAGTTTCTGAGAAGGCTTCTCTCCAGTTTTTATGTGACCATAATTCGTTTTCCACCACAGGCCTGAAAGCGCTCCAAATGTCCACTTGCAGACACTACGAAAAGCATGTTTCAGAACTACTCTATGAAAAGCAACGTGAAACTCTGGGAGTTGAACACAAACATCACAGAGAAGTTTCTGAGAATGCTTCTGTTTTAGTTCTGTGCGTTTTATCCCGTTTCCAACGAAATCCTCAGAGAGGCCCAAATATCCACTTGCAGATTCCACAGAAAGAGTGATTGGAAACTGCTGTTTGAAAAGGAACCTTCAACTCTGTGAGTTGAATGCAATCATCACAAAGAAGTTTCTGACAATGCTTCTGTTTTAGTTCTGTGCGGTTTATCCCGTTTCCAACGAAATCCTCAGAGAGGACCAAACATCCACTTGCAGTTTCTACAAAAAGAGTGTTTCAAAGCTGCACTATCAAAGAAAGGTTCAGCACTGTGAGTTGAATGCAAACATCACGAAGAGGGCTCTGAGAATTCTTCTGTTTAGTTCTGTGCGGTTTATCCCGTTTCCAACGAAATCCTCAGAGAGGACCAAATATCCACTTGCAGTTTCTACAAGAAGAGTGTTTCAAAGCTGAACTATCAAAGAAAGGTTCAGCACTGTGAGTTGAATGCAAACATCACGAAGAGGGTTCTGAGAATGCTTCTGTCTTCTTTCTATAGGAAGTTATTTCCTTTACTACGGTAGGCCTCAAAGAAGTGCAATTATCCCCTTGCAGTTTCTACAAAAAGAGTGTTTCAAACCTGAACTATCAAAGAAAGGTTCCACACTGTGAGTTGAATGCAGACATCACGAAGAAGGTTCTGAGAATGCTTCTGTTTAGTCAGCTGAAATTATCCCGTTTCCAACGAATTCCTCAGAGAGGTCCAAATATGCACTTGCAGATTCTGCAGAAAGTGTGTTTCTAAACTGCTACATCGCAAGGAATGTTCAGCTCTGTGAGTTCCACTCAATCATCCCAAAGAATTTTCTGAGAAAGCTTCTGTCTAGATGTCGTGTGAAGATATACCCGTTTCGAACGAAGGACACAGAGTGGTCCAAATATCCACTTGTAGATCCTGCAAAAAGAGTGTTTCAAACGTGAACTTTGAAAGGAAAGTTCAACTCTGGGATTTGAATGCAAACATCACAAAGAAGATTCTGAGACTGCTTCTGTATAGTTTTTATGTGAAGATGATTCCGTTTCCAACGAAATCTTCAAAGAGGTCTACATGTCCCCTTGCAGATGCCACAGAAAGAGAGTTTCAAAACTGCGCTCTCAAAAGGAGTGTTCAACTCCGTGAGTTGAATGCAGTCATCACAGAGAAGCTTCTGAGAATGCTTCTATCTAGTATTTAGGTGAAGATATTTCCTTTTCCACCACAAACCACAAAGCCCTCCAAACGTCCACTTGCAGATTCTAGAAAAAGAGTGTTTCATAGCTGCTCTTTCCAAAGGAAAGTTCAACTCTGGGAGTTGAATACAAACATCACCAAAAAGTTCCTGAGAATGCATCTGTCTAGTTTTTCTATGAAGCTATTCCCTTTACTACCATAGGCCTCAAAGCGCTCCAAATCTCCACTTGCACATTCCACAACAAGAGTGTTTCCAAACTGCTCTATCAATAGGAATGTTCAACTCTGTGAGGTGAATGCAATCATCACAAAGCAGTTTCTGAGAATGCTTCCGTTTAGTTAGGTGCAGTTATCCCGTTTCCAACGAAATCCTCAGAGAGGTCCAAATATCCACTTGTAGATTCTACAAAAAGTGTGTCTCAAACCTGCTCCATCCAAAGGAATGGTCAGCTCTGTGATTTAAACTCAATCATCACAAAGTATTTTCTGAGAATGCTTCTGTCTAGATTTTATGCGAAGATATACCCGTTTCGAACGAAGGCCACAGAGTGGTCCAAATAGCCACTTGCAGATCCTACAGAAAGAGTGTTTCAAACCTGAACTATCAAAGGAAGGTTCAACTCTGGGATTTGAATGCAAACATCACCAAGAAGTTTCTGAGAATGCTTCTGTTTAGTTTTTATGTGAAGATATTCCCGTTTCCAAAGACATCTTCGGAGAGGTCCACATATCCACTTGCAGATTCCACAAAAAGAGAGTTTCAACACTGCTCTATCCATAGGAGGGTTCAACTCTGTGAGTTGAATGCAATCATCACAGAGAAGTTTCTGAGAAGGCTTCTCTCCAGTTTTTATGTGACCATAATTCGTTTTCCACCACAGGCCTGAAAGCGCTCCAAATGTCCACTTGCAGACACTACGAAAAGCATGTTTCAGAACTACTCTATGAAAAGCAACGTGAAACTCTGGGAGTTGAACACAAACATCACAGAGAAGTTTCTGAGAATGCTTCTGTTTTAGTTCTGTGCGTTTTATCCCGTTTCCAACGAAATCCTCAGAGAGGCCCAAATATCCACTTGCAGATTCCACAGAAAGAGTGATTGGAAACTGCTGTTTGAAAAGGAACCTTCAACTCTGTGAGTTGAATGCAATCATCACAAAGAAGTTTCTGACAATGCTTCTGTTTTAGTTCTGTGCGGTTTATCCCGTTTCCAACGAAATCCTCAGAGAGGACCAAACATCCACTTGCAGTTTCTACAAAAAGAGTGTTTCAAAGCTGCACTATCAAAGAAAGGTTCAGCACTGTGAGTTGAATGCAAACATCACGAAGAGGGCTCTGAGAATTCTTCTGTTTAGTTCTGTGCGGTTTATCCCGTTTCCAACGAAATCCTCAGAGAGGACCAAATATCCACTTGCAGTTTCTACAAGAAGAGTGTTTCAAAGCTGAACTATCAAAGAAAGGTTCAGCACTGTGAGTTGAATGCAAACATCACGAAGAGGGTTCTGAGAATGCTTCTGTCTTCTTTCTATAGGAAGTTATTTCCTTTACTACGGTAGGCCTCAAAGAAGTGCAATTATCCCCTTGCAGTTTCTACAAAAAGAGTGTTTCAAACCTGAACTATCAAAGAAAGGTTCCACACTGTGAGTTGAATGCAGACATCACGAAGAAGGTTCTGAGAATGCTTCTGTTTAGTCAGCTGAAATTATCCCGTTTCCAACGAATTCCTCAGAGAGGTCCAAATATGCACTTGCAGATTCTGCAGAAAGTGTGTTTCTAAACTGCTACATCGCAAGGAATGTTCAGCTCTGTGAGTTCCACTCAATCATCCCAAAGAATTTTCTGAGAAAGCTTCTGTCTAGATGTCGTGTGAAGATATACCCGTTTCGAACGAAGGACACAGAGTGGTCCAAATATCCACTTGTAGATCCTGCAAAAAGAGTGTTTCAAACGTGAACTTTGAAAGGAAAGTTCAACTCTGGGATTTGAATGCAAACATCACAAAGAAGATTCTGAGACTGCTTCTGTATAGTTTTTATGTGAAGATGATTCCGTTTCCAACGAAATCTTCAAAGAGGTCTACATGTCCCCTTGCAGATGCCACAGAAAGAGAGTTTCAAAACTGCGCTCTCAAAAGGAGTGTTCAACTCCGTGAGTTGAATGCAGTCATCACAGAGAAGCTTCTGAGAATGCTTCTATCTAGTATTTAGGTGAAGATATTTCCTTTTCCACCACAAACCACAAAGCCCTCCAAACGTCCACTTGCAGATTCTAGAAAAAGAGTGTTTCATAGCTGCTCTTTCCAAAGGAAAGTTCAACTCTGGGAGTTGAATACAAACATCACCAAAAAGTTCCTGAGAATGCATCTGTCTAGTTTTTCTATGAAGCTATTCCCTTTACTACCATAGGCCTCAAAGCGCTCCAAATCTCCACTTGCACATTCCACAACAAGAGTGTTTCCAAACTGCTCTATCAATAGGAATGTTCAACTCTGTGAGGTGAATGCAATCATCACAAAGCAGTTTCTGAGAATGCTTCCGTTTAGTTAGGTGCAGTTATCGCGTTTCCAACGAAATCCTCAGAGAGGTCCAAATATCCACTTGTAGATTCTACAAAAAGTGTGTCTCAAACCTGCTCCATCCAAAGGAATGTTCAGCTCTGTGAGTTAAACTCAATCATCACAAAGTATTTTCTGAGAATGCTTCTGTCTAGATTTTATGTGAAGATGTACCCGTTTCGAACGAAGGCCACAGAGTGGTCCAAATATCCACTTGCAGATCCTACAAAATGAGTGTTTCAAACCTGAACTATCACAGGAAGGTTCAACTCTGGGATTTGAATGCAAACATCACCAATAAGTTTCTGAGAATGCTTCTGTTTAGTTTTTATGTGAAGATATTCCCGTTTCCAAAGACATCTTCGGAGAGGTCCACATATCCACTTGCAGATTCCACAAAAAGAGAGTTTCAACAATGCTCTATCCATAGGAGGGTTCAAATCTGTGAGTTGAATGCAATCATCACAGAGAAGTTTCTGAGAAGGCTTCTCTCCAGTTTTTATGGGACCATAATTCGTTTTCCACCACAGGCCTGAAAGCGCTCCAAATGTCCACTTGCAGACACTACGAAAAGCATGTTTCAGAACTACTCTATGAAAAGCAATGTGAAACTCTGGGAGTTGAACACAAACATCACAGAGAAGTTTCTGAGAATGCTTCTGTTTAGCTTTTCTGTGAAGATTCTCCCGTTTCCAACGAAATCTTCAAAGAGGTCCAAATATCCACTTGCAGATTCCAGAGAAAGAGTGTTTGGAAACTGCTGTTTGTAAAGGAACCTTCATCTCTATGAGTTGAATGCAATCATCAGAAAGAAGTTTCTGACAATGCTTCTATCTAGCTTTTATGGGAAGTTAATTCCTTTTCCACCACAGGCCTCAAAGCCCTCCAAATGTCCACTTGCAGATTCTGGAAAAAGAGTGTTTCAAAGCTTCTCTCTCGAAAGGAAAGTTCAACTCTGTGAGTTGAATGCAAGCATCACAAAGAAGTTTCTGAGAATGCTACTGTCTAGCTTTTATATGAAGCTATTTCCTTTACTACCATAGGCCTCAAAGCGGTCCATATCTCCACTTGCAGATTCTACACAAAGAGAGTTTCCAAACTGCTCTGTCAAAGGGAATGTTCAACTCTGTGACTTGAATGCAATCATCACAAAGTAGTTTTTGAGAATGCTTCTGTTTAGTTCTGTGCGGTTTATCCCGTTTCCAACGAAATCCTCAGAGAGGCCCAAATATCCACTTGCACATTCTACAAATAGTGTGTTTCGAAACTGCTCCATCCAAAGGAATGTTCAGCTCTGTGAGTTAAACTCAGTCGTCACCAAGAGTTTTCTGTGAATGCTTCTGTTTTAGTTCTGTGCGGGTTATCCCGTTTCCAACGAAATCCTCAGAGAGGTCCAAAGATCTACTTGCAGTTTCTACAGAAAGACCGTTTCAAACCTGAACTATCAAAGAAAGGTTCAACACTGTGAGTTGAATGCAAACATCACGAAGAAGGTTCTGAGAATGCTTCTGTTTAGTTCTGTGCGGTTTATCCCGTTTCCAACGAAATCCTCAGAGAGGACCAAATATCCACTTGCAGTTTCTACAAGAAGAGTGTTTCAAAGCTGAACTATCAAAGAAAGATTCAGCACTGTGAGTTGAATGCAAACATCACGAAGAGGGTTCTGAGAATGCTTCTGTCTTCTTTCTATAGGAAGTTATTTCCTTTACTACGGTAGGCCTCAAAGAAGTGCAATTATCCCCTTGCAGTTTCTACAAAAAGAGTGTTTCAAACCTGAACTATCAAAGAAAGGTTCCACACTGTGAGTTGAATGCAGACATCACGAAGAAGGTTCTGAGAATGCTTCTGTTTAGTCAGCTGAAATTATCCCGTTTCCAACGAATTCCTCAGAGAGGTCCAAATATGCACTTGCAGATTCTGCAGAAAGTGTGTTTCTAAACTGCTACATCGCAAGGAATGTTCAGCTCTGTGAGTTCCACTCAATCATCCCAAAGAATTTTCTGAGAAAGCTTCTGTCTAGATGTCATGTGAAGATATACCCGTTTCGAACGAAGGACACAGAGTGGTCCAAATATCCACTTGCAGATCCTGCAAAAAGAGTGTTTCAAACGTGAAGTTGGAAAGGAAAGTTCAACTCTGGGATTTGAATGCAAACATCACAAAGAAGATTCTGAGACTGCTTCTGTATAGTTTTGATGTGAAGATGATTCCGTTTCCAACGAAATCTTCAAAGAGGTCTACATGTCCCCTTGCAGATGCCACAGAAAGAGAGTTTCAAAACTGCGCTCTCAAAAGGAGTGTTCAACTCCGTGAGTTGAATGCAGTCATCACAGAGAAGCTTCTGAGAATGCTTCTATCTAGTATTTAGGTGAAGATATTTCCTTTTCCACCACAAACCACAAAGCCCTCCAAACGTCCACTTGCAGATTCTAGAAAAAGAGTGTTTCATAGCTGCTCTTTCCAAAGGAAAGTTCAACTCTGGGAGTTGAATACAAACATCACCAAAAAGTTCCTGAGAATGCATCTGTCTAGTTTTTCTATGAAGCTATTCCCTTTACTACCACAGGCCTCAAAGCGCTCCAAATCTCCACTTGCACATTCCACAACAAGAGTGTTTCCAAACTGCTCTATCAATAGGAATGTTCAACTCTGTGAGGTGAATGCAATCATCACAAAGCAGTTTCTGAGAATGCTTCCGTTTAGTTAGGTGCAGTTATCCCGTTTCCAACGAAATCCTCAGAGAGGTCCAAATATCCACTTGTAGATTCTACAAAAGGTGTGTCTCAAACCTGCTCCATCCAAAGGAATGTTCAGCTCTGTGAGTTAAACTCAATCATCACAAAGTATTTTCTGAGAATGCTTCTGTCTAGATTTTATGCGAAGATATACCCGTTTCGAACGAAGGCCACAGAGTGGTCCAAATATCCACTTGCAGATCCTACAAAAAGAGTGTTTCAAACCTGAACTATCAAAGGAAGGTTCAACTCTGGGATTTGAATGCAAACATCACCAAGAAGTTTCTGAGAATGCTTCTGTTTAGTTTTTATGTGAAGATATTCCCGTTTCCAAAGACATCTTCGGAGAGGTCCACATATCCACTTGCAGATTCCACAAAAAGAGAGTTTCAACACTGCTCTATCCATAGGAGGGTTCAACTCTGTGAGTTGAATGCAATCATCACAGAGAAGTTTCTGAGAAGGCTTCTCTCCAGTTTTTATGTGACCATAATTCGTTTTCCACCACAGGCCTGAAAGCGCTCCAAATGTCCACTTGTAGACACTACGAAAAGCATGTTTCAGAACTACTCTATGAAAAGCAATGTGAAACTCTGGGAGTTGAACACAAACATCACAGAGAAGTTTCTGAGAATGCTTCTGTTTAGCTTTCCTGTGAAGATTCTCCCGTTTCCAACGAAATCTTCAAAATAGGTCCGAATATCCACTTGCAGATTACACACAAAGAGTGATTGGAAACTGCTCTTTGAAAAGGAACCTTCAACTCTGTGAGTTGAATGCAATCATCACAAAGAAGTTTCTGACAATGCTTCTATCTAGCTTTTACGGGAAGATAATTCCTTTTCCACCACAGGCCTCAAAGCCCTCCAAATGTCCACTTGCAGATTCTGGAAAAAGAGTGTTTCAAAGCTTCTCTCTCGAAAGGAAAGTTCAACTCTGTGAGTTGAATGCAAGCATCACAAAGAAGTTTCTGAGAATGCTACTGTCTAGCTTTTATATGAAGCTATTTCCTTTACTACCATAGGCCTCAAAGCGGTCCATATCTCCACTTGCAGATTCTACACAAAGAGAGTTTCCAAACTGCTCTGTCAAAGGGAATGTTCAACTCTGTGACTTGAATGCAATCATCACAAAGTAGTTTCTGAGAATGCTTCTGTTTAGTTCTGTGCGGTTTATCCCGTTTCCAACGAAATCCTCAGAGAGGCCCACATATCCACTTGCACATTCTACAAATAGTGTGTTTCGAAACTGCTCCATCCAAAGGAATGTTCAGCTCTGTGAGTTAAACTCAGTCGTCACCAAGAGTTTTCTGTGAATGCTTCTGTTTTAGTTGTGTGCGGTTTATCCCGTTTCCAGCGAAATCCTCAGAGAGGTCCAAATATCTACTTGCAGTTTCTACAGAAAGACCGTTTCAAACCTGAACTATCAAAGAAAGGTTCAACACTGTGAGTTGAATGCAAACATCACGAAGAAGGTTCTGAGAATGCTTCTGTATAGTTCTGTGCGGTTTATCCCGTTTCCAACGAAATCCTCAGAGAGGACCAAATATCCACTTGCAGTTTCTACAAAAAGAGTGTTTCAAAGCTGAACTATCAAAGAAAGGTTCAGCACCGTGAATTGAATGCAAACATCACGAAGAGGGTTCTGAGAATGTTTCTGTCTTCTTTTTATAGGAAGTTATTTCCTTTACAACGGTAGGCCTCAAAGAAGTGCAATTATCCCCTTGCAGTTTCTACAAAAAGAGTGTTTCAAACCTGAACTATCAAAGAAAGGTTCCACACTGTGAGTTGAATGCAGACATCACGAAGAAGGTTCTGAGAATGCTTCTGTTTAGTCAGCTGAAATTATCCCGTTTCCAACGAATTCCTCAGAGAGGTCCAAATATGCACTTGCAGATTCTGCAGAAAGTGTGTTTCTAAACTGCTACATTGCAAGGAATGTTCAGCTCTGTGAGTTCAACTCAATCATCCCAAAGAGTTTTCTGAGAAAGCTTCTGTCTAGATGTCATGTGAAGATATACCCGTTTCGAACGAAGGACACAGAGTGGTCCAAATATCCACTTGTAGATCCTGCAAAAAGAGTGTTTCAAACGTGAACTTTGAAAGGAAAGTTCAACTCGGGGATTTGAATGCAAACATCACAAAGAAGATTCTGAGACTGCTTCTGTGTAGTTTTTATGTGAAGATGATTCCGTTTCCAATGAAATCTTCAAAGAGGTCTACATGTCCCCTTGCAGATGCCACAGAAAGAGAGTTTCAAAACTGCGCTCTCAAAAGGAGTGTTCAACTCCGTGAGTTGAATGCAGTCATCACAGAGAAGCTTCTGAGGATGCTTCTATCTAGTATTTAGGTGAAGATATTTCCTTTTCCACCACAAACCACAAAGCCCTCCAAACGTCCACTTGCAGATTCTAGAAAAACAGTGTTTCATAGCTGCTCTTTCCAAAGGAAAGTTCAACTCTGGGAGTTGAATACAAACATCACCAAAAAGTTCCTGAGAATGCATCTGTCTAGTTTTTCTATGAAGCTATTCCCTTTACTACCATAGGCCTCAAAGCGCTCCAAATCTCCACTTGCACATTCCACAACAAGAGTGTTTCCAAACTGCTCTATCAATAGGAATGTTCAACTCTGTGAGGTGAATGCAATCATCACAAACCAGTTTCTGAGAATGCTTCCGTTTAGTTAGGTGCAGTTATCCCGTTTCCAACGAAATCCTCAGAGAGGTCCAAATATCCACTTGTAGATTCTACAAAAAGTGTGTCTCAAGCCTGCTCCATCCAAAGGAATGTTCAGCTCTGTGAGTTCAACTCAATCATCACAAAGCATTTTCTGAGAATGCTTCTGTCTAGATTTTATGCGAAGATATACCCGTTTCGAACGAAGGCCACAGAGTGGTCCAAATAGCCACTTGCAGATCCTACAAAAAGAGTGTTTCAAACCTGAACTATCAAAGGAAGGTTCAACTCTGGGATTTGAATGCAAACATCACCAAGAAGTTTCTGAGAATGCTTCTGTTTAGTTTTTATGTGAAGATATTCCCGTTTCCAAAGACATCTTCGGAGAGGTCCACATATCCACTTGCAGATTCCACAAAAAGAGAGTTTCAACACTGCTCTATCCATAGGAGGGTTCAACTCTGTGAGTTGAATGCAATCATCACAGAGAAGTTTCTGAGAAGGCTTCTCTCCAGTTTTTATGTGACCATAATTCGTTTTCCACCACAGGCCTGAAAGCGCTCCAAATGTCCACTTGCAGACACTACGAAAAGCATGTTTCAGAACTACTCTATGAAAAGCAACGTGAAACTCTGGGAGTTGAACACAAACATCACAGAGAAGTTTCTGAGAATGCTTCTGTTTTAGTTCTGTGCGTTTTATCTCGTTTCCAACGAAATCCTCAGAGAGGCCCAAATATCCACTTGCAGATTCCACAGAAAGAGTGATTGGAAACTGCTGTTTGAAAAGGAACCTTCAACTCTGTGAGTTGAATGCAATCATCACAAAGAAGTTTCTGACAATGCTTCTGTTTTAGTTCTGTGCGGTTTATCCCGTTTCCAGCGAAATCCTCAGAGAGGACCAAATATCCACTTGCAGTTTCTACAAAAAGAGTGTTTCAAAGCTGCACTATCAAAGAAAGGTTCAGCACTGTGAGTTGAATGCAAACATCACGAAGAGGGCTCTGAGAATTCTTCTGTTTAGTTCTGTGCGGTTTATCCCGTTTCCAACGAAATCCTCAGAGAGGACCAAATATCCACTTGCAGTTTCTACAAGAAGAGTGTTTCAAAGCTGAACTATCAAAGAAAGGTTCAGCACTGTGAGTTGAATGCAAACATCACGAAGAGGGTTCTGAGAATGCTTCTGTCTTCTTTCTATAGGAAGTTATTTCCTTTACTACGGTAGGCCTCAAAGAAGTGCAATTATCCCCTTGCAGTTTCTACAAAAAGAGTGTTTCAAACCTGAACTATCAAAGAAAGGTTCCACACTGTGAGTTGAATGCAGACATCACGAAGAAGGTTCCTGAGAATGCTTTCTGTTTAGTCAGCTGAAATTATCCCGTTTCCAACGAATTCCTCAGAGAGGTCCAAATATGCACTTGCAGATTCTGCAGAAAGTGTGTTTCTAAACTGCTACATCGCAAGGAATGTTCAGCTCTGTGAGTTCCACTCAATCATCCCAAAGAATTTTCTGAGAAAGCTTCTGTCTAGATGTCATGTGAAGATATACCCGTTTCGAACGATGGACACAGAGTGGTCCAAATATCCACTTGTAGATCCTGCAAAAAGAGTGTTTCAAACGTGAACTTTGAAAGGAAAGTTCAACTCTGGGATTTGAATGCAAACATCACAAAGAAGATTCTGAGACTGCTTCTGTATAGTTTTTATGTGAAGATGATTCCGTTTCCAACGAAATCTTCAAAGAGGTCTACATGTCCCCTTGCGGATGCCACAGAAAGAGAGTTTCAAAACTGCGCTCTCAAAAGGAGTGTTCAACTCCGTGAGTTGAATGCAGTCATCACAGAGAAGCTTCTGAGAATGCTTCTATCTAGTATTTAGGTGAAGATATTTCCTTTTTCACCACAAACCACAAAGCCCTCCAAACGTCCACTTGCAGATTCTAGAAAAAGAGTGTTTCATAGCTGCTCTTTCCAAAGGAAAGTTCAACTCTGGGAGTTGAATACAAACATCACCAAAAAGTTCCTGAGAATGCATCTGTCTAGTTTTTCTATGAAGCTATTCCCTTTACTACCATAGGCCTCAAAGCGCTCCAAATCTCCACTTGCACATTCCACAACAAGAGTGTTTCCAAACTGCTCTATCAATAGGAATGTTCAACTCTGTGAGGTGAATGCAATCATCACAAAGCAGTTTCTGAGAATGCTTCCGTTTAGTTAGGTGCAGTTATCCCGTTTCCAACGAAATCCTCAGAGAGGTCCAAATATCCACTTGTAGATTGTACAAAAGGTGTGTCTCAAACCTGCTCCATCCAAAGGAATGTTCAGCTCTGTGAGTTAAACTCAATCATCACAAAGTATTTTCTGAGAATGCTTCTGTCTAGATTTTATGCGAAGATATACCCGTTTCGAACGAAGGCCACAGAGTGGTCCAAATATCCACTTGCAGATCCTACAAAAAGAGTGTTTCAAACCTGAACTATCAAAGGAAGGTTCAACTCTGGGATTTGAATGCAAACATCACCAAGAAGTTTCTGAGAATGCTTCTGTTTAGTTTTTATGTGAAGATATTCCCGTTTCCAAAGACATCTTCGGAGAGGTCCACATATCCACTTGCAGATTCCACAAAAAGAGAGTTTCAACACTGCTCTATCCATAGGAGGGTTCAACTCTGTGAGTTGAATGCAATCATCACAGAGAAGTTTCTGAGAAGGCTTCTCTCCAGTTTTTATGTGACCATAATTCGTTTTCCACCACAGGCCTGAAAGCGCTCCAAATGTCCACTTGTAGACACTACGAAAAGCATGTTTCAGAACTACTCTATGAAAAGCAATGTGAAACTCTGGGAGTTGAACACAAACATCACAGAGAAGTTTCTGAGAATGCTTCTGTTTAGCTTTCCTGTGAAGATTCTCCCGTTTCCAACGAAATCTTCAAAATAGGTCCAAATATCCACTTGCAGATTCCACAGAAAGAGTGATTGGAAACTGCTCTTTGAAAAGGAACCTTCAACTCTGTGAGTTGAATGCAATCATCACAAAGAAGTTTCTGACAATGCTTCTATCTAGCTTTTACGGGAAGATAATTCCTTTTCCACCACAGGCCTCAAAGCCCTCCAAATGTCCACTTGCAGATTCTGGAAAAAGAGTGTTTCAAAGCTTCTCTCTCGAAAGGAAAGTTCAACTCTGTGAGTTGAATGCAAGCATCACAAAGAAGTTTCTGAGAATGCTACTGTCTAGCTTTTATATGAAGCTATTTCCTTTACTACCATAGGCCTCAAAGCGGTCCATATCTCCACTTGCAGATTCTACACAAAGAGAGTTTCCAAACTGCTCTGTCAAAGGGAATGTTCAACTCTGTGACTTGAATGCAATCATCACAAAGTAGTTTCTGAGAATGCTTCTGTTTAGTTCTGTGCGGTTTATCCCGTTTCCAACGAAATCCTCAGAGAGGCCTAAATATCCACTTGCACATTCTACAAATAGTGTGTTTCGAAACTGCTCCATCCAAAGGAATGTTCAGCTCTGTGAGTTAAACTCAGTCGTCACCAAGAGTTTTCTGTGAATGCTTCTGTTTTAGTTCTGTGCGGGTTATCCCGTTTCCAACGAAATCCTCAGAGAGGTCCAAATATCTACTTGCAGTTTCTACAGAAAGACCGTTTCAAACCTGAACTATCAAAGAAAGGTTCAACACTGTGAGTTGAATGCAAACATCACGAAGAAGGTTCTGAGAATGCTTCTGTTTAGTTCTGTGCAGTTTATCCCGTTTCCAACGAAATGCTCAGAGAGGACCAAATATCCACTTGCAGTTTCTACAAAAAGAGTGTTTCAAAGCTGAACTATCAAAGAAAGGTTCAGCACTGTGAGTTGAATGCAAACATCACGAAGAGGGTTCTGAGAATGCTTCTGTCTTCTTTTTATAGGAAGTTATTTCCTTTACTACGGTACTCCTCAAAGAGTGCAATTATCCCCTTGCAGTTTCTACAGAAAGAGTGTTTCAAACCTGAACTATCAAAGAAAGGTTCCACACTGTGAGTTGAATGCAGACATCACGAAGAAGGTTCTGAGAATGCTTCTGTTTAGTCAGCTGAAATTATCCCGTTTCCAACGAATTCCTCACAGAGGTCCAAATATGCACTTGCAGATTCTGCAGAAAGTGTGTTTCTAAACTGCTACATCGCAAGGAATGCTCAGCTCTGTGAGTTCAACTCAATCATCCCAAAGAATTTTCTGAGAAAGCTTCTGTCTAGATGTCATGTGAAGATATACCCGTTTCGAACGAAGGACACAGAGTGGTCCAAATATCCACTTGTAGATCCTGCAAAAAGAGTGTTTCAAACGTGAACTTTGAAAGGAAAGTTCAACTCGGGGATTTGAATGCAAACATCACAAAGAAGATTCTGAGACTGCTTCTGTGTAGTTTTTATGTGAAGATGATTCCGTTTCCAACGAAATCTTCAAAGAGGTCTACATGTCCCCTTGCAGATGCCACAGAAAGAGAGTTTCAAAACTGCGCTCTCAAAAGGAGTGTTCAACTCCGTGAGTTGAATGCAGTCATCACAGAGAAGCTTCTGAGGATGCTTCTATCTAGTATTTAGGTGAAGATATTTCCTTTTCCACCACAAACCACAAAGCCCTCCAAACGTCCACTTGCAGATTCTAGAAAAACAGTGTTTCATAGCTGCTCTTTCCAAAGGAAAGTTCAACTCTGGGAGTTGAATACAAACATCACCAAAAAGTTCCTGAGAATGCATCTGTCTAGTTTTTCTATGAAGCTATTCCCTTTACTACCATAGGCCTCAAAGCGCTCCAAATCTCCACTTGCACATTCCACAACAAGAGTGTTTCCAAACTGCTCTATCAATAGGAATGTTCAACTCTGTGAGGTGAATGCAATCATCACAAAGCAGTTTGCTGAGAATGCTTCCGTTTAGTTAGGTGCAGTTATCGCGTTTCCAACGAAATCCTCAGAGAGGTCCAAATATCCACTTGTAGATTCTACAAAAAGTGTGTCTCAAACCTGCTCCATCCAAAGGAATGTTCAGCTCTGTGAGTTAAACTCAATCATCACAAAGTATTTTCTGAGAATGCTTCTGTCTAGATTTTATGTGAAGATGTACCCGTTTCGAACGAAGGCCACAGAGTGGTCCAAATATCCACTTGCAGATCCTACAAAAAGAGTGTTTCAAACCTGAACTATCACAGGAAGGTTCAACTCTGGGATTTGAATGCAAACATCACCAAGAAGTTTCTGAGAATGCTTCTGTTTAGTTTTTATGTGAAGATATTCCCGTTTCCAAAGACATCTTCGGAGAGGTCCACATATCCACTTGCAGATTCCACAAAAAGAGAGTTTCAACAATGCTCTATCCATAGGAGGGTTCAAATCGGTGAGTTGAATGCAATCATCACAGAGAAGTTTCTGAGAAGTCTTCTCTCCAGTTTTTATGGGACCATAATTCGTTTTCCACCACAGGCCTGAAAGCGCTCCAAATGTCCACTTGCAGACACTACGAAAAGCATGTTTCAGAACTACTCTATGAAAAGCAATGTGAAACTGCTGGGAGTTGAACACAAACATCACAGAGAAGTTTCTGAGAATGCTTCTGTTTAGCTTTTCTGTGAAGATTCTCCCGTTTCCAACGAAATCTTCAAAGAGGTCGAAATATCCACTTGCAGATTCCACAGAAAGAGTGATTGGAAACTGCTGTTTGAAAAGGAACCTTCAATTCTGTGAGTTGAATGCAATCATCACAAAGAAGTTTCTGACAATGCTTCTATCTAGCTTTTACGGGAAGATAATTCCTTTTCCACCACAGGCCTCAAAGCTCCCCAAATGTCCACTTGCACATTCTGGAAAAAGAGTGATTCAAAGCTTCTCTCTCGAAAGGAAAGTTCAACTCTGTGAGTTGAATGCAAGCATCACAAAGAAGTTTCTGAGAATGCTACTGTCTAGCTTTTATATGAAGCTATTTCCTTTACTACCATAGGCCTCAAAGCGGTCCATATCTCCACTTGCAGATTCTACACAAAGAGAGTTTCCAAACTGCTCTGTCAAAGGGAATGTTCAACTCTGTGACTTGAATGCAATCATCCAAAGTAATTTCTGAGAATGCTTCTGTTTAATTCTGTGCGGTTTATCCCGTTTCCAACGAAATCCTCAGAGAGGCCCCAATATCCACTTGCACATTCTACAAATAGTGTGTTTCGAAACTGCTCCATCCAAAGGGATGTTCAGCTCTGTGAGTTAAACTCAGTCGTCACCAAGAGTTTTCTGTGAATGCTTCTGTTTTAGTTCTGTGCGGTTTATCCCGTTTCCAACGAAATCCTCAGAGAGGTCCAAATATCTACTTGCAGTTTCTACAGAAAGACCGTTTCAAACCTGAACTATCAAAGAAAGGTTCAACACTGTGAGTTGAATGCAAACATCACGAAGAAGGTTCTGAGAATGCTTCTGTTTAGTTCTGTGCGTTTTATCCCGTTTCCAACGAAATCCTCAGAGAGGACCAAATATTCACTTGCAGTTTTTACAAAAAGAGTGTTTCAAAGCTGAACTATCAAAGAAAGGTTCAGCACTGTGAGTTGAATGCAAACATCACGAAGAGGGTTCTGAGAATGCTTCTGTCTTCTTTTTATAGGAAGTTATTTCCTTTACTACGGTAATCCTCAAAGAGTGCAATTATCCCCTTGCAGTTTCTACAAAAAGAGTTTTTAAAACCTGAACTATCAAAGAAAGGTTCCACACTTTGAGTTGAATGCAGACATCACGAAGAAGGTTCTGAGAATGCTTCTGTTTAGTCAGCTGAAATTATCCCGTTTCCAACGAATTCCTCACAGAGGTCCAAATATGCACTTGCAGATTCTGCAGAAAGTGTGTTTCTAAACTGCTACATCGCAAGGAATGCTCACCTCTGTGAGTTCAACTCAATCATCCCAAAGAATTTTCTGAGAAAGCTTCTGTCTAGATGTCATGTGAAGATATACCCGTTTCGAACGAAGGACACAGAGTGGTCCAAATATCCACTTGTAGATCCTGCAAAAAGAGTGTTTCAAACGTGAACTTTGAAAGGAAAGTTCAACTCGGGGATTTGAATGCAAACATCACAAAGAAGATTCTGAGACTGCTTCTGTATAGTTTTTATGTGAAGATGATTCCGTTTCCAACGAAATCTTCAAAGAGGTCTACATGTCCCCTTGCAGATGCCACAGAAAGAGAATTTCAAAACTGCGCTCTCAAAAGGAGTGTTCAACTCCGTGAGTTGAATGCAGTCATCACAGAGAAGCTTCTGAGGATGCTTCTATCTAGTATTTAGGTGAAGATATTTCCTTTTCCACCACAAACCACAAAGCCCTCCAAACGTCCACTTGCAGATTCTAGAAAAACAGTGTTTCATAGCTGCTCTTTCCAAAGGAAAGTTCAACTCTGGGAGTTGAATACAAACATCACCAAAAAGTTCCTGAGAATGCATCTGTCTAGTTTTTCTATGAAGCTATTCCCTTTACTACCATAGGCCTCAAAGCGCTCCAAATCTCCACTTGCACATTCCACAACAAGAGTGTTTCCAAACTGCTCTATCAATAGGAATGTTCAACTCTGTGAGGTGAATGCAATCATCACAAAGCAGTTTCTGAGAATGCTTCCGTTTAGTTAGGTGCAGTTATCCCGTTTCCAACGAAATCCTCAGAGAGGTCCAAATATCCACTTGTAGATTCTACAAAAGGTGTGTCTCAAACCTGCTCCATCCAAAGGAATGTTCAGCTCTGTGAGTTAAACTCAATCATCACAAAGTATTTTCTGAGAATGCTTCTGTCTAGATTTTATGCGAAGATATACCCGTTTCGAACGAAGGCCACAGAGTGGTCCAAATATCCACTTGCAGATCCTACAAAAAGAGTGTTTCAAACCTGAACTATCAAAGGAAGGTTCAACTCTGGGATTTGAATGCAAACATCACCAAGAAGTTTCTGAGAATGCTTCTGTTTAGTATTTATGTGAAGATATTCCCGTTTCCAAAGACATCTTCGGATAGGTCCACATATTCACTTGCAGATTCCACAAAAAGAGAGTTTCAACACTGCTCTATCCATAGGAGGGTTCAACTCTGTGAGTTGAATGCAATCATCACAGAGAAGTTTCTGAGAAGGCTTCTCTCCAGTTTTTATGTGACCATAATTCGTTTTCCACCACAGGCCTGAAAGCGCTCCAAATGTCCACTTGTAGACACTACGAAAAGCATGTTTCAGAACTACTCTATGAAAAGCAATGTGAAACTCTGGGAGTTGAACACAAACATCACAGAGAAGTTTCTGAGAATGCTTCTGTTTAGCTTTCCTGTGAAGATTCTCCCGTTTCCAACGAAATCTTCAAAATAGGTCCAAATATCCACTTGCAGATTCCACAGAAAGAGTGATTGGAAACTGCTCTTTGAAAAGGAACCTTCAACTCTGTGAGTTGAATGCAATCATCACAAAGAAGTTTCTGACAATGCTTCTATCTAGCTTTTACGGGAAGATAATTCCTTTTCCACCACAGGCCTCAAAGCCCTCCAAATGTCCACTTGCAGATTCTGGAAAAAGAGTGTTTCAAAGCTTCTCTCTCGAAAGGAAAGTTCAACTCTGTGAGTTGAATGCAAGCATCACAAAGAAGTTTCTGAGAATGCTACTGTCTAGCTTTTATATGAAGCTATTTCCTTTACTACCATAGGCCTCAAAGCGGTCCATATCTCCACTTGCAGATTCTACACAAAGAGAGTTTCCAAACTGCTCTGTCAAAGGGAATGTTCAACTCTGTGACTTGAATGCAATCATCACAAAGTAGTTTCTGAGAATGCTTCTGTTTAGTTCTGTGCGGTTTATCCCGTTTCCAACGAAATCCTCAGAGAGGCCCCAATATCCACTTGCACATTCTACAAATAGTGTGTTTCGAAACTGCTCCATCCAAAGGAATGTTCAGCTCTGTGTGTTAAACTCAGTCGTCACCAAGAGTTTTCTGTGAATGCTTCTGTTTTAGTTGTGTGCGCTTTATCCCGTTTCCAACGAAATCCTCAGAGAGGTCCAAATATCTACTAGCAGTTTCTACAGAAAGACCGTTTCAAACCTGAACTATCAAAGAAAGGTTCAACACTGTGAGTTGAATGCAAACATCACGAAGAAGGTTCTGAGAATGCTTCTGTTTAGTTCTGTGCGGTTTATCCCGTTTCCAACGAAATCCTCAGAGAGGACCAAATATCCACTTGCAGTTTCTACAAAAAGAGTGTTTCAAAGCTGAACTATCAAAGAAAGGTTCAGCACCGTGAGTTGAATGCAAACATCACGAAGAGGGTTCTGAGAATGCTTCTGTCTTCTTTTTATAGGAAGTTATCTCCTTTACTACGGTAGGCCTCAAAGAAGTGCAATGATCCCCTTGCAGTTTCTACAAAAAGAGTGTTTCAAACCTGAACTATCAAAGAAAGGTTCCACACTGTGAGTTGAATGCAGACATCACGAAGAAGGTTCTGAGAATGCTTCTGTTTAGTCAGCTGAAATTATCCCGTTTCCAACGAATTCCTCAGAGAGGTCCACATATGCACTTGCAGATTCTGCAGAAAGTGTGTTTCTAAACTGCTACATCGCAAGGAGTGTTCAGCTCTGTTTGCTCAACTCAATCATCACAAAGAATTTTCTGAGAAAGCTTCTGTCTAGATGTCATGTGAAGATATACCCGTTTCGAACGAAGGACACAGAGTGGTCCAAATATCCACTTGTAGATCCTGCAAAAAGAGTGTTTCAAACGTGAACTTTGAAAGGCAAGTTCAACTCTGGGATTTGAATGCAAACATCACAAAGAAGATTCTGAGACTGCTTCTGTATAGTTTTGATGTGAAGATGATTCCGTTTCCAACGAAATCTTCAAAGAGGTCTACATGTCCCCTTGCAGATGCCACAGAAAGAGAGTTCCAAAACTGCGCTCTCAAAAGGAGTGTTCAACTCCGTGAGTTGAATGCAGTCATCACAGAGAAGCTTCTGAGAATGCTTCTATCTAGTATTTAGGTGAAGATATTTCCTTTTCCACCACAAACCACAAAGCCGTCCAAACGTCCACTTGCAGATTCTAGAAAAAGAGTGTTTCATAGCTGCTCTTTCCAAAGGAAAGTTCAACTCTGGGAGTTGAATACAAACATCACCAAAAAGTTCCTGATAATGCATCTGTCTAGTTTTTCTATGAAGCTATTCCCTTTACTACCATAGGCCCCAAAGCGCTCCAAATCTCCACTTGCACATTCCACAAGAAGAGTGTTTCCAAACTGCTCTATCAATACGAATGTTCAACTCTGTGAGGTGAATGCAATCATCACAAAGCAGTTTCTGAGAATGCTTCCGTTTAGTTAGGTGCAGTTATCCCGTTTCCAACGAAATCCTCAGAGAGGTCCAAATATCCACTTGTAGATTCTACAAAAAGTGTGTCTCAAACCTGCTCCATCCAAAGGAATGGTCAGCTCTGTGATTTAAACTCAATCATCACAAAGTATTTTCTGAGAATGCTTCTGTCTAGATTTTATGCGAAGATATACCCGTTTCGAACGAAGGCCACAGAGTGGTCCAAATAGCCACTTGCAGATCCTACAGAAAGAGTGTTTCAAACCTGAACTATCAAAGGAAGGTTCAACTCTGGGATTTGAATGCAAACATCACCAAGAAGTTTCTGAGAATGCTTCTGTTTAGTTTTTATGTGAAGATATTCCCGTTTCCAAAGACATCTTCGGAGAGGTCCACATATCCACTTGCAGATTCCACAAAAAGAGAGTTTCAACACTGCTCTATCCATAGGAGGGTTCAACTCTGTGAGTTGAATGCAATCATCACAGAGAAGTTTCTGAGAAGGCTTCTCTCCAGTTTTTATGTGACCATAATTCGTTTTCCACCACAGGCCTGAAAGCGCTCCAAATGTCCACTTGCAGACACTACGAAAAGCATGTTTCAGAACTACTCTATGAAAAGCAACGTGAAACTCTGGGAGTTGAACACAAACATCACAGAGAAGTTTCTGAGAATGCTTCTGTTTTAGTTCTGTGCGTTTTATCCCGTTTCCAACGAAATCCTCAGAGAGGCCCAAATATCCACTTGCAGATTCCACAGAAAGAGTGATTGGAAACTGCTGTTTGAAAAGGAACCTTCAACTCTGTGAGTTGAATGCAATCATCACAAAGAAGTTTCTGACAATGCTTCTGTTTTAGTTCTGTGCGGTTTATCCCGTTTCCAACGAAATCCTCAGAGAGGACCAAACATCCACTTGCAGTTTCTACAAAAAGAGTGTTTCAAAGCTGCACTATCAAAGAAAGGTTCAGCACTGTGAGTTGAATGCAAACATCACGAAGAGGGCTCTGAGAATTCTTCTGTTTAGTTCTGTGCGGTTTATCCCGTTTCCAACGAAATCCTCAGAGAGGACCAAATATCCACTTGCAGTTTCTACAAGAAGAGTGTTTCAAAGCTGAACTATCAAAGAAAGGTTCAGCACTGTGAGTTGAATGCAAACATCACGAAGAGGGTTCTGAGAATGCTTCTGTCTTCTTTCTATAGGAAGTTATTTCCTTTACTACGGTAGGCCTCAAAGAAGTGCAATTATCCCCTTGCAGTTTCTACAAAAAGAGTGTTTCAAACCTGAACTATCAAAGAAAGGTTCCACACTGTGAGTTGAATGCAGACATCACGAAGAAGGTTCTGAGAATGCTTCTGTTTAGTCAGCTGAAATTATCCCGTTTCCAACGAATTCCTCAGAGAGGTCCAAATATGCACTTGCAGATTCTGCAGAAAGTGTGTTTCTAAACTGCTACATCGCAAGGAATGTTCAGCTCTGTGAGTTCCACTCAATCATCCCAAAGAATTTTCTGAGAAAGCTTCTGTCTAGATGTCGTGTGAAGATATACCCGTTTCGAACGAAGGACACAGAGTGGTCCAAATATCCACTTGTAGATCCTGCAAAAAGAGTGTTTCAAACGTGAACTTTGAAAGGAAAGTTCAACTCTGGGATTTGAATGCAAACATCACAAAGAAGATTCTGAGACTGCTTCTGTATAGTTTTTATGTGAAGATGATTCCGTTTCCAACGAAATCTTCAAAGAGGTCTACATGTCCCCTTGCAGATGCCACAGAAAGAGAGTTTCAAAACTGCGCTCTCAAAAGGAGTGTTCAACTCCGTGAGTTGAATGCAGTCATCACAGAGAAGCTTCTGAGAATGCTTCTATCTAGTATTTAGGTGAAGATATTTCCTTTTCCACCACAAACCACAAAGCCCTCCAAACGTCCACTTGCAGATTCTAGAAAAAGAGTGTTTCATAGCTGCTCTTTCCAAAGGAAAGTTCAACTCTGGGAGTTGAATACAAACATCACCAAAAAGTTCCTGAGAATGCATCTGTCTAGTTTTTCTATGAAGCTATTCCCTTTACTACCATAGGCCTCAAAGCGCTCCAAATCTCCACTTGCACATTCCACAACAAGAGTGTTTCCAAACTGCTCTATCAATAGGAATGTTCAACTCTGTGAGGTGAATGCAATCATCACAAAGCAGTTTCTGAGAATGCTTCCGTTTAGTTAGGTGCAGTTATCCCGTTTCCAACGAAATCCTCAGAGAGGTCCAAATATCCACTTGTAGATTCTACAAAAAGTGTGTCTCAAACCTGCTCCATCCAAAGGAATGGTCAGCTCTGTGATTTAAACTCAATCATCACAAAGTATTTTCTGAGAATGCTTCTGTCTAGATTTTATGCGAAGATATACCCGTTTCGAACGAAGGCCACAGAGTGGTCCAAATAGCCACTTGCAGATCCTACAGAAAGAGTGTTTCAAACCTGAACTATCAAAGGAAGGTTCAACTCTGGGATTTGAATGCAAACATCACCAAGAAGTTTCTGAGAATGCTTCTGTTTAGTTTTTATGTGAAGATATTCCCGTTTCCAAAGACATCTTCGGAGAGGTCCACATATCCACTTGCAGGTTCCACAAAAAGAGAGTTTCAACACTGCTCTATCCATAGGAGGGTTCAACTCTGTGAGTTGAATGCAATCATCACAGAGAAGTTTCTGAGAAGGCTTCTCTCCAGTTTTTATGTGACCATAATTCGTTTTCCACCACAGGCCTGAAAGCGCTCCAAATGTCCACTTGCAGACACTACGAAAAGCATGTTTCAGAACTACTCTATGAAAAGCAACGTGAAACTCTGGGAGTTGAACACAAACATCACAGAGAAGTTTCTGAGAATGCTTCTGTTTTAGTTCTGTGCGTTTTATCCCGTTTCCAACGAAATCCTCAGAGAGGCCCAAATATCCACTTGCAGATTCCACAGAAAGAGTGATTGGAAACTGCTGTTTGAAAAGGAACCTTCAACTCTGTGAGTTGAATGCAATCATCACAAAGAAGTTTCTGACAATGCTTCTGTTTTAGTTCTGTGCGGTTTATCCCGTTTCCAACGAAATCCTCAGAGAGGACCAAACATCCACTTGCAGTTTCTACAAAAAGAGTGTTTCAAAGCTGCACTATCAAAGAAAGGTTCAGCACTGTGAGTTGAATGCAAACATCACGAAGAGGGCTCTGAGAATTCTTCTGTTTAGTTCTGTGCGGTTTATCCCGTTTCCAACGAAATCCTCAGAGAGGACCAAATATCCACTTGCAGTTTCTACAAGAAGAGTGTTTCAAAGCTGAACTATCAAAGAAAGGTTCAGCACTGTGAGTTGAATGCAAACATCACGAAGAGGGTTCTGAGAATGCTTCTGTCTTCTTTCTATAGGAAGTTATTTCCTTTACTACGGTAGGCCTCAAAGAAGTGCAATTATCCCCTTGCAGTTTCTACAAAAAGAGTGTTTCAAACCTGAACTATCAAAGAAAGGTTCCACACTGTGAGTTGAATGCAGACATCACGAAGAAGGTTCTGAGAATGCTTCTGTTTAGTCAGCTGAAATTATCCCGTTTCCAACGAATTCCTCAGAGAGGTCCAAATATGCACTTGCAGATTCTGCAGAAAGTGTGTTTCTAAACTGCTCCATCCAAAGGAATGTTCAGCTCTGTGAGTTAAACTCAGTCGTCACCAAGAGTTTTCTGTGAATGCTTCTGTCTAGATGTCATGTGAAGATATACCCGTTTCGAACGAAGGACACAGAGTGGTCCAAATATCCACTTGTAGACCCTGCAAAAAGAGTGTTTCAAACGTGAACTTTGAAAGGAAAGTTCAATTCTGGGATTTGAATGCAAACATCACAAAGAAGATTCTGAGACTGCTTCTGTATAGTTTTTATATGAAGATGATTCCGTTTCCAACGAAATCTTCAAAGAGGTCTACATGTCCCCTTGCAGATGCCACATAAAGAGAGTTTCAAAACTGTGCTCTCAAAAGGAGTGTTCAACTCCGTGAGTTGAATGCAGTCATCACAGAGAAGCTTCTGAGAATGCTTCTATCTAGTATTTAGGTGAAGATATTTCCTTTTAGACCACAAACCACAAAGCCCTCCAAACGTCCACTTGCAGATTCTAGAAAAAGCGTGTTTCATAGCTGCTCTTTCCAAAGGAAAGTTCAACTCTGGGAGTTGAATACAAACATCACCAAAAAGTTCCTGAGAATGCATCTGTTTAGTTTTTCTATGAAGCTATTCCCTTTACAACCATAGGCCTCAAAGCGCTCCAAATCTCCACTTGCACATTCCACAACAGGAGTGTTTCCAAACTGCTCTATCAATAGGAATGTTCAACTCTGTGAGGTGAATGCAATCATCACAAAGCAGTTTCTGAGAATGCTTCCGTTTAGTTAGGTGCAGTTATCCCGTTTCCAACGAAATCCTCAGAGAGGTCCAAATATCCACTTGTAGATACTACAAAAAGTGTGTCTCAAACCTGCTCCATCCAAAGGAATGTTCAGCTCTGTGAGTTAAACTCAATCATCACAAAGTATTTTCTGAGAATGCTTCTGTCTAGATTTTATGCGAAGATGTACCCGTTTCGAACGAAGGCCACAGAGTGGTCCAAATATCCACTTGCAGATCCTACAAAAAGAGTGTTTCAAACCTGAACTATCAAAGGAAGGTTCAACTCTGGGATTTGAATGCAAACATCACCAAGATGTTTCTGAGAATGCTTCTGTTTAGTTTTTATGTGAAGATAGTCCCGTTTCCAAAGACATCTTCGGAGAGGTCCACATATCCACTTGCAGATTCCACAAAAAGAGAGTTTCAACACTGCTCTATCCATAGGAGGGTTCAACTCTGTGAGTTGAATGCAATCATCACAGAGAAGTTTCTGAGAAGGCTTCTCTCCAGTTTTTATGTGACCATAATTCGTTTTCCACCACAGGCCTGAAAGCGCTCCAAATGTCCACTTGCAGACACTACGAAAAGCATGTTTCAGAACTACTCTATGAAAAGCAATGTGAAACTCTGGGAGTTGAACACAAACATCACAGAGAAGTTTCTGAGAATGCTTCTGTTTAGCTTTTCTGTGAAGATTCTCCCGTTTCCAACGAAATCTTCAAAATAGGTCCAAATATCCACTTGCAGATTCCACAGAAAGAGTGATTGGAAACTGCTGTTTGAAAAGGAACCTTCAACTCTGTGAGTTGAATGCAATCATCACAAAGAAGTTTCTGACAATGCTTCTATCTAGCTTTTACGGGAAGATAATTCCTTTTCCACCACAGGCCTCAAAGCCCTCCAAATGTCCACTTGCAGATTCTGGAGAAAGAGTGTTTCAAAGCTTCTCTCTCGAAAGGAAAGTTCAACTCTGTGAGTTGAATGCAAGCATCACAAAGAAGTTTCTGAGAATGCTACTGTCTAGCTTTTATATGAAGCTATTTCCTTTACTACCATAGGCCTCAAAGCGGTCCATATCTCCACTTGCAGATTCTACACAAAGAGAGTTTCCAAACTGCTCTGTCAAAGGGAATGTTCAACTCTGTGACTTGAATGCAATCATCACAAAGTAGTTTCTGAGAATGCTTCTGTTTAGTTCTGTGCGGTTTATCCCGTTTCCAACGAAATCCTCAGAGAGGCCTAAATATCCACTTGCACATTCTACAAATAGTGTGTTTCGAAACTGCTCCATCCAAAGGAATGTTCAGCTCTGTGAGTTAAACTCAGTCGTCACCAAGAGTTTTCTGTGAATGCTTCTGTTTTAGTTCTGTGCGGGTTATCCCGTTTCCAACGAAATCCTCAGAGAGGTCCAAATATCTACTTGCAGTTTCTACAGAAAGACCGTTTCAAACCTGAACTATCAAAGAAAGGTTCAACACTGTGAGTTGAATGCAAACATCACGAAGAAGGTTCTGAGAATGCTTCTGTTTAGTTCTGTGCAGTTTATCCCGTTTCCAACGAAATCCTCAGAGAGGACCAAATATCCACTTGCAGTTTCTACAAAAAGAGTGTTTCAAAGCTGAACTATCAAAGAAAGGTTCAGCACTGTGAGTTGAATGCAAACATCACGAAGAGGGTTCTGAGAATGCTTCTGTCTTCTTTTTATAGGAAGTTATTTCCTTTACTACGGTACTCCTCAAAGAGTGCAATTATCCCCTTGCAGTTTCTACAAAAAGAGTGTTTCAAACCTGAACTATCAAAGAAAGGTTCCACACTGTGAGTTGAATGCAGACATCACGAAGAAGGTTCTGAGAATGCTTCTGTTTAGTCAGCTGAAATTATCCCGTTTCCAACGAATTCCTCACAGAGGTCCAAATATGCACTTGCAGATTCTGCAGAAAGTGTGTTTCTAAACTGCTACATCGCAAGGAATGCTCAGCTCTGTGAGTTCAACTCAATCATCCCAAAGAATTTTCTGAGAAAGCTTCTGTCTAGATGTCATGTGAAGATATACCCGTTTCGAACGAAGGACACAGAGTGGTCCAAATATCCACTTGTAGATCCTGCAAAAAGAGTGTTTCAAACGTGAACTTTGAAAGGAAAGTTCAACTCGGGGATTTGAATGCAAACATCACAAAGAAGATTCTGAGACTGCTTCTGTATAGTTTTTATGTGAAGATGATTCCGTTTCCAACGAAATCTTCAAAGAGGTCTACATGTCCCCTTGCAGATGCCACAGAAAGAGAGTTTCAAAACTGCGCTCTCAAAAGGAGTGTTCAACTCCGTGAGTTGAATGCAGTCATCACAGAGAAGCTTCTGAGGATGCTTCTATCTAGTATTTAGGTGAAGATATTTCCTTTTCCACCACAAACCACAAAGCCCTCCAAACGTCCACTTGCAGATTCTAGAAAAAGAGTGTTTCATAGCTGCTCTTTCCAAAGGAAAGTTCAACTCTGGGAGTTGAATACAAACATCACCAAAAAGTTCCTGAGAATGCATCTGTCTAGTTTTTCTATGAAGCTATTCCCTTTACTACCATAGGCCTCAAAGCGCTCCAAATCTCCACTTGCACATTCCACAACAAGAGTGTTTCCAAACTGCTCTATCAATAGGAATGTTCAACTCTGTGAGGTGAATGCAATCATCACAAAGCAGTTTCTGAGAATGCTTCCGTTTAGTTAGGTGCAGTTATCCCGTTTCCAACGAAATCCTCAGAGAGGTCCAAATATCCACTTGTAGATTCTACAAAAGGTGTGTCTCAAACCTGCTCCATCCAAAGGAATGTTCAGCTCTGTGAGTTAAACTCAATCATCACAAAGTATTTTCTGAGAATGCTTCTGTCTAGATTTTATGCGAAGATATACCCGTTTCGAACGAAGGCCACAGAGTGGTCCAAATATCCACTTGCAGATCCTACAAAAAGAGTGTTTCAAACCTGAACTATCAAAGGAAGGTTCAACTCTGGGATTTGAATGCAAACATCACCAAGAAGTTTCTGAGAATGCTTCTGTTTAGTTTTTATGTGAAGATATTCCCGTTTCCAAAGACATCTTCGGAGAGGTCCACATATCCACTTGCAGATTCCACAAAAAGAGAGTTTCAACACTGCTCTATCCATAGGAGGGTTCAACTCTGTGAGTTGAATGCAATCATCACAGAGAAGTTTCTGAGAAGGCTTCTCTCCAGTTTTTATGGGACCATAATTCGTTTTCCACCACAGGCCTGAAAGCGCTCCAAATGTCCACTTGTAGACACTACGAAAAGCATGTTTCAGAACTACTCTATGAGAAGCAATGTGAAACTCTGGGAGTTGAACACAAACATCACAGAGAAGTTTCTGAGAATGCTTCTGTTTAGCTTTCCTGTGAAGATTCTCCCGTTTCCAACGAAATCTTCAAAGAGGTCCAAATATCCACTTGCAGATTCCACAGAAAGAGTGATTGGAAACTGCTCTTTGAAAAGGAACCTTCAACTCTGTGAGTTGAATGCAATCATCACAAAGAAGTTTCTGACAATGCTTCTATCTAGCTTTTACGGGAAGATAATTCCTTTTCCACCACAGGCCTCAAAGCCCTCCAAATGTCCACTTGCAGATTCTGGAAAAAGAGTGTTTCAAAGCTTCTCTCTCGAAAGGAAAGTTCAACTCTGTGAGTTGAATGCAAGCATCACAAAGAAGTTTCTGAGAATGCTACTGTCTAGCTTTTATATGAAGCTATTTCCTTTACTACCATAGGCCTCAAAGCGGTCCATATCTCCACTTGCAGATTCTACACAAAGAGAGTTTCCAAACTGCTCTGTCAAAGGGAATGTTCAACTCTGTGACTTGAATGCAATCATCACAAAGTAGTTTCTGAGAATGCTTCTGTTTAGTTCTGTGCGGTTTATCCCGTTTCCAACGAAATCCTCAGAGAGGCCTAAATATCCACTTGCACATTCTACAAATAGTGTGTTTCGAAACTGCTCCATCCAAAGGAATGTTCAGCTCTGTGAGTTAAACTCAGTCGTCACCAAGAGTTTTCTGTGAATGCTTCTGTTTTAGTTCTGTGCGGGTTATCCCGTTTCCAACGAAATCCTCAGAGAGGTCCAAATATCTACTTGCAGTTTCTACAGAAAGACCGTTTCAAACCTGAACTATCAAAGAAAGGTTCAACACTGTGAGTTGAATGCAAACATCACGAAGAAGGTTCTGAGAATGCTTCTGTTTAGTTCTGTGCAGTTTATCCCGTTTCCAACGAAATCCTCAGAGAGGACCAAATATCCACTTGCAGTTTCTACAAAAAGAGTGTTTCAAAGCTGAACTATCAAAGAAAGGTTCAGCACTGTGAGTTGAATGCAAACATCACGAAGAGGGTTCTGAGAATGCTTCTGTCTTCTTTTTATAGGAAGTTATTTCCTTTACTACGGTACTCCTCAAAGAGTGCAATTATCCCCTTGCAGTTTCTACAGAAAGAGTGTTTCAAACCTGAACTATCAAAGAAAGGTTCCACACTGTGAGTTGAATGCAGACATCACGAAGAAGGTTCTGAGAATGCTTCTGTTTAGTCAGCTGAAATTATCCCGTTTCCAACGAATTCCTCACAGAGGTCCAAATATGCACTTGCAGATTCTGCAGAAAGTGTGTTTCTAAACTGCTACATCGCAAGGAATGCTCAGCTCTGTGAGTTCAACTCAATCATCCCAAAGAATTTTCTGAGAAAGCTTCTGTCTAGATGTCATGTGAAGATATATCCGTTTCGAACGAAGGACACAGAGTGGTCCAAATATCCACTTGTAGATCCTGCAAAAAGAGTGTTTCAAACGTGAACTTTGAAAGGAAAGTTCAACTCGGGGATTTGAATGCAAACATCACAAAGAAGATTCTGAGACTGCTTCTGTATAGTTTTTATGTGAAGATGATTCCGTTTCCAACGAAATCTTCAAAGAGGTCTACATGTCCCCTTGCAGATGCCACAGAAAGAGAGTTTCAAAACTGCGCTCTCAAAAGGAGTGTTCAACTCCGTGAGTTGAATGCAGTCATCACAGAGAAGCTTCTGAGGATGCTTCTATCTAGTATTTAGGTGAAGATATTTCCTTTTCCACCACAAACCACAAAGCCCTCCAAACGTCCACTTGCAGATTCTAGAAAAACAGTGTTTCATAGCTGCTCTTTCCAAAGGAAAGTTCAACTCTGGGAGTTGAATACAAACATCACCAAAAAGTTCCTGAGAATGCATCTGTCTAGTTTTTCTATGAAGCTATTCCCTTTACTACCATAGGCCTCAAAGCGCTCCAAATCTCCACTTGCACATTCCACAACAAGAGTGTTTCCAAACTGCTCTATCAATAGGAATGTTCAACTCTGTGAGGTGAATGCAATCATCACAAAGCAGTTTCTGAGAATGCTTCCGTTTAGTTAGGTGCAGTTATCGCGTTTCCAACGAAATCCTCAGCAGAGGTCCAAATATCCACTTGTAGATTCTACAAAAAGTGTGTCTCAAACCTGCTCCATCCAAAGGAATGTTCAGCTCTGTGAGTTAAACTCAATCATCACAAAGTATTTTCTGAGAATGCTTCTGTCTAGATTTTATGCGAAGATATACCCGTTTCGAACGAAGGCCACAGAGTGGTCCAAATATCCACTTGCAGATCCTACAAAAAGAGTGTTTCAAACCTGAACTATCAAAGGAAGGTTCTACTCTGGGATTTGAATGCAAACATCACCAAGAAGTTTCTGAGAATGCTTCTGTTTAGCTTTCCTGTGAAGATTCTCCCGTTTCCAACGAAATCTTCAAAATAGGTCCAAATATCCACTTGCAGATTCCACAGAAAGAGTGATTGGAAACTGCTCTTTGAAAAGGAACCTTCAACTCTGTGAGTTGAATGCAATCATCACAGAGAAGTTTCTGAGAAGGCTTCTATCTAGCTTTTACGGGAAGATAATTCCTTTTCCACCACAGGCCTCAAAGCCCTCCAAATGTCCACTTGCAGATTCTGGAAAAAGAGTGTTTCAAAGCTTCTCTCTCGAAAGGAAAGTTCAACTCTGTGAGTTGAATGCAAGCATCACAAAGAAGTTTCTGAGAATGCTACTGTCTAGCTTTTATATGAAGCTATTTCCTTTACTACCATAGGCCTCAAAGCGGTCCATATCTCCACTTGCAGATTCTACACAAAGAGAGTTTCCAAACTGCTCTGTCAAAGGGAATGTTCAACTCTGTGACTTGAATGCAATCATCACAAAGTAGTTTCTGAGAATGCTTCTGTTTAGTTCTGTGCGGTTTATCCCGTTTCCAACGAAATCCTCAGAGAGGCCCAAATATCCACTTGCACATTCTACAATTAGTGTGTTTCGAAACTGCTCCATCCAAAGGAATGTTCAGCTCTGTGAGTTAAACTCAGTCGTCACCAAGGGTTTTCTGTGAATGCTTCTGTTTTAGTTCTGTGCGGGTTATCCCGTTTCCAACGAAATCCTCAGAGAGGTCCAAATATCTACTTGCAGTTTCTACAGAAAGACCGTTTCAAACCTGAACTATCAAAGAAAGGTTCAACACTGTGAGTTGAATGCAAACATCACGAAGAAGGTTCTGAGAATGCTTCTGTTTAGTTCTGTGCAGTTTATCCCGTTTCCAACGAAATGCTCAGAGAGGACCAAATATCCACTTGCAGTTTCTACAAAAAGAGTGTTTCAAAGCTGAACTATCAAAGAAAGGTTCAGCACTGTGAGTTGAATGCAAACATCACGAAGAGGGTTCTGAGAATGCTTCTGTCTTCTTTTTATAGGAAGTTATTTCCTTTACTACGGTACTCCTCAAAGAGTGCAATGATCCCCTTGCAGTTTCTACAAAAAGAGTGTTTCAAACCTGAACTATCAAAGAAAGGTTCCACACTGTGAGTTGAATGCAGACATCACGAAGAAGGTTCTGAGAATGCTTCTGTTTAGTCAGCTGAAATTATCCCGTTTCCAACGAATTCCTCACAGAGGTCCAAATATGCACTTGCAGATTCTGCAGAAAGTGTGTTTCTAAACTGCTACATCGCAAGGAATGCTCAGCTCTGTGAGTTCAACTCAATCATCCCAAAGAATTTTCTGAGAAAGCTTCTGTCTAGATGTCATGTGAAGATATACCCGTTTCGAACGAAGGACACAGAGTGGTCCAAATATCCACTTGTAGATCCTGCAAAAAGAGTGTTTCAAACGTGAACTTTGAAAGGAAAGTTCAACTCGGGGATTTGAATGCAAACATCACAAAGAAGATTCTGAGACTGCTTCTGTATAGTTTTTATGTGAAGATGATTCCGTTTCCAACGAAATCTTCAAAGAGGTCTACATGTCCCCTTGCAGATGCCACAGAAAGAGAGTTTCAAAACTGCGCTCTCAAAAGGAGTGTTCAACTCCGTGAGTTGAATGCAGTCATCACAGAGAAGCTTCTGAGAATGCTTCTATCTAGTATTTAGGTGAAGATATTTCCTTTTCCACCACAAACCACAAAGCCCTCCAAACGTCCACTTGCAGATTCTAGAAAAAGAGTGTTTCATAGCTGCTCTTTCCAAAGGAAAGTTCAACTCTGGGAGTTGAATACAAACATCACCAAAAAGTTCCTGAGAATGCATCTGTCTAGTTTTCTATGAAGCTATTCCCTTTACTACCATAGGCCTCAAAGCGCTCCAAATCTCCACTTGCACATTCCACAACAAGAGTGTTTCCAAACTGCTCTATCAATAGGAATGTTCAACTCTGTGAGGTGAATGCAATCATCACAAAGCAGTTTCTGAGAATGCTTCCGTTTAGTTAGGTGCAGTTATCCCGTTTCCAACGAAATCCTCAGAGAGGTCCAAATATCCACTTGTAGATTCTACAAGAAGTGTGTCTCAAAACTGCTCCATCCAAAGGAATGTTCAGCTCTGTGAGTTCAACTCAATCATCACAAAGTATTTTCTGAGAATGCTTCTGTCTAGATTTTATGCGAAGATATACCCGTTTCGAACGAAGGCCACAGAGTGGTCCAAATAGCCACTTGCAGATCCTACAGAAAGAGTGTTTCAAACCTGAACTATCAAAGGAAGGTTCAACTCTGGGATTTGAATGCAAACATCACCAAGAAGTTTCTGACAATGCTTCTGTTTAGTTTTTATGTGAAGATATTCCCGTTTCCAAAGACATCTTCGGAGAGGTCCACATATCCACTTGCAGATTCCACAAAAAGAGAGTTTCAACACTGCTCTATCCATAGGAGGGTTCAACTCTGTGAGTTGAATGCAATCATCACAGAGAAGTTTCTGAGAAGGCTTCTCTCCAGTTTTTATGTGACCATAATTCGTTTTCCACCACAGGCCTGAAAGCGCTCCAAATGTCCACTTGCAGACACTACGAAAAGCATGTTTCAGAACTACTCTATGAAAAGCAACGTGAAACTCTGGGAGTTGAACACAAACATCACAGAGAAGTTTCTGAGAATGCTTCTGTTTTAGTTCTGTGCGTTTTATCCCGTTTCCAACGAAATCCTCAGAGAGGCCCAAATATCCACTTGCAGATTCCACAGAAAGAGTGATTGGAAACTGCTGTTTGAAAAGGAACCTTCAACTCTGTGAGTTGAATGCAATCATCACAAAGAAGTTTCTGACAATGCTTCTGTTTTAGTTCTGTGCGGTTTATCCCGTTTCCAACGAAATCCTCAGAGAGGACCAAACATCCACTTGCAGTTTCTACAAAAAGAGTGTTTCAAAGCTGCACTATCAAAGAAAGGTTCAGCACTGTGAGTTGAATGCAAACATCACGAAGAGGGCTCTGAGAATTCTTCTGTTTAGTTCTGTGCGGTTTATCCCGTTTCCAACGAAATCCTCAGAGAGGACCAAATATCCACTTGCAGTTTCTACAAGAAGAGTGTTTCAAAGCTGAACTATCAAAGAAAGGTTCAGCACTGTGAGTTGAATGCAAACATCACGAAGAGGGTTCTGAGAATGCTTCTGTCTTCTTTCTATAGGAAGTTATTTCCTTTACTACGGTAGGCCTCAAAGAAGTGCAATTATCCCCTTGCAGTTTCTACAAAAAGAGTGTTTCAAACCTGAACTATCAAAGAAAGGTTCCACACTGTGAGTTGAATGCAGACATCACGAAGAAGGTTCTGAGAATGCTTCTGTTTAGTCAGCTGAAATTATCCCGTTTCCAACGAATTCCTCAGAGAGGTCCAAATATGCACTTGCAGATTCTGCAGAAAGTGTGTTTCTAAACTGCTACATCGCAAGGAATGTTCAGCTCTGTGAGTTCCACTCAATCATCCCAAAGAATTTTCTGAGAAAGCTTCTGTCTAGATGTCGTGTGAAGATATACCCGTTTCGAACGAAGGACACAGAGTGGTCCAAATATCCACTTGTAGATCCTGCAAAAAGAGTGTTTCAAACGTGAACTTTGAAAGGAAAGTTCAACTCTGGGATTTGAATGCAAACATCACAAAGAAGATTCTGAGACTGCTTCTGTATAGTTTTTATGTGAAGATGATTCCGTTTCCAACGAAATCTTCAAAGAGGTCTACATGTCCCCTTGCAGATGCCACAGAAAGAGAGTTTCAAAACTGCGCTCTCAAAAGGAGTGTTCAACTCCGTGAGTTGAATGCAGTCATCACAGAGAAGCTTCTGAGAATGCTTCTATCTAGTATTTAGGTGAAGATATTTCCTTTTCCACCACAAACCACAAAGCCCTCCAAACGTCCACTTGCAGATTCTAGAGAAACAGTGTCTCATAGCTGCTCTTTCCAAAGGAAAGTTCAACTCTGGGAGTTGAATACAAACATCACCAAAATGTTCCTGAGAATGCATCTGTCTAGTTTTTCTATGAAGCTATTCCCTTTACTACCATAGGCCTCAAAGCGCTCCAAATCTCCACTTGCACATTCCACAACAAGAGTGTTTCCAAACTGCTCTATCAATAGGAATGTTCAACTCTGTGAGGTGAATGCAATCATCACAAAGCAGTTTCTGAGAATGCTTCCGTTTAGTTAGGTGCAGTTATCCCGTTTCCAACGAAATCCTCAGAGAGGTCCAAATATCCACTTGTAGATTCTACAAAAAGTGTGTCTCAAACCTGCTCCATCCAAAGGAATGTTCAGCTCTGTGAGTTAAACTCAATCATCACAAAGTATTTTCTGAGAATGCTTCTGTCTAGATTTTATGCGAAGATATACCCGTTTCGAACGAAGGCCACAGAGTGGTCCAAATATCCACTTGCAGATCCTACAAAAAGAGTGTTTCAAACCTGAACTATCAAAGGAAGGTTCAACTCTGGGATTTGAATGCAAACATCACCAAGAAGTTTCTGAGAATGCTTCTGTTTAGTTTTTATGTGAAGATATTCCCGTTTCCAAAGACATCTTCGGAGAGGTCCACATATCCACTTGCAGATTCCACAAAAAGAGAGTTTCAACACTGCTCTATCCATAGGAGGGTTCAACTCTGTGAGTTGAATGCAATCACCACAGAAAAGTTTCTGAGAAGGCTTCTCTCCAGTTTTTATGTGACCATAATTCGTTTTCCACCACAGGCCTGAAAGCGCTCCAAATGTCCACTTGCAGACACTACGAAAAGCATGTTTCAGAACTACTCTATGAAAAGCAACGTGAAACTCTGGGAGTTGAACACAAACATCACAGAGAAGTTTCTGAGAATGCTTCTGTTTAGCTTTTCTGTGAAGATTCTCCCGTTTCCAACGAAATCTTCAAAGAGGTCGAAATATCCACTTGCAGATTCCACAGAAAGAGTGATTGGAAACTGCTGTTTGAAAAGGAACCTTCAACTCTGTGAGTTGAATGCAATCATCTCAAAGAAGTTTCTGACAATGCTTCTATCTAGCTTTTACGGGAAGATAATTCCTTTTCCACCACAGGCCTCAAAGCTCCCCAAATGTCCACTTGCACATTCTGGAAAAAGAGTGTTTCAAAGCTTCTCTCTCGAAAGGAAAGTTCAACTCTGTGAGTTGAATGCAAGCATCACAAAGAAGTTTCTGAGAATGCTACTGTCTAGCTTTTATATGAAGCTATTTCCTTTACTACCATAGGCCTCAAAGCGGTCCATATCTCCACTTGCAGATTCTACACAAAGAGAGTTTCCAAACTGCTCTGTCAAAGGGAATGTTCAACTCTGTGACTTGAATGCAATCATCACAAAGTAGTTTCTGAGAATGCTTCTGTTTTAGTTCTGTGCGTTTTATCCCGTTTCCAACGAAATCCTCAGAGAGGCCCAAATATCCACTTGCAGATTCTACAAATAGTGTGTTTCGAAACTGCTCCATCCAAAGGAATGTTCAGCTCTGTGAGTTAAACTCAGTCGTCACCAAGTGTTTTCTGTGAATGCTTCTGTTTTTGTTCTGTGCGGTTTATTCCGTTTCCAACGAAATCCTCAGAGAGGACCAAATATCCACTTGCAGTTTCTACAAAAAGAGTGTTTTAAAGCTGCACTATCAAAGAAAGGTTCAGCACTGTGAGTTGAATGCAAACATCACGAAGAGGGCTCTGAGAAATCTTCTGTTTAGTTCTGTGCGGTTTATCCCGTTTCCAACGAAATCCTCAGAGAGGACCAAATATCCACTTGCAGTTTCTACAAGAAGAGTGTTTCAAAGCTGAACTATCAAAGAAAGGTTCAGCACTGTGAGTTGAATGCAAACATCACGAAGAGGGTTCTGAGAAATCTTCTGTCTTCTTTCTATAGGAAGTTATTTCCTTTACTACGGTAGGCCTCAAAGAAGTGCAATTATCCCCTTGCAGTTTCTACAAAAAGAGTGTTTCAAACCTGAACTATCAAAGAAAGGTTCCACACTGTGAGTTGAATGGAGACATTACGAAGAAGGTTCTGAGAATGCTTCTGTTTAGTCAGCTGAAATTATCCCGTTTCCAACGAATTCCTCAGAGAGGTCCAAATATGCACTTGCAGATTCTGCAGAAAGTGTGTTTCTAAACTGCTACATCGCAAGGAATGTTCAGCTCTGTGAGTTCCACTCAATCATCCCAAAGAATTTTCTGAGAAAGCTTCTGTCTAGATGTCATGTGAAGATATACCCGTTTCGAACGAAGGACACAGAGTGGTCCAAATATCCACTTGTAGATCCTGCAAAAAGAGTGTTTCAAACGTGAACTTTGAAAGGGAAGTTCAACTCTGGGATTTGAATGCAAACATCACAAAGAAGATTCTGAGACTGCTTCTGTATAGTTTTTATGTGAAGATGATTCCGTTTCCAACGAAATCTTCAAAGAGGTCTACATGTCCCCTTGCAGATGCCACAGAAAGAGAGTTTCAAAACTGCGCTCTCAAAAGGAGTGTTCAACTCCGTGAGTTGAATGCAGTCATCACAGAGAAGCTTCTGAGAATGCTTCTATCTAGTATTTAGGTGAAGATATTTCCTTGTCCACCACAAACCACAAAGCCCTCCAAACGTCCACTTGCAGATTCTAGAAAAAGAGTGTTTCATAGCTGCTCTTTCCAAAGGAAAGTTCAACTCTGGGAGTTGAATACAAACATCACCAAAAAGTTCCTGAGAATGCATCTGTCAATTTTTTCTATGAAGCTATTCCCTTTACTACCATAGGCCTCAAAGCGCTCCAAATCTCCACTTGCACATTCCACAACAAGAGTGTTTCCAAACTGCTCTATCAATAGGAATGTTCAACTCTGTGAGGTGAATGCAATCATCACAAAGCAGTTTCTGAGAATGCTTCCGTTTAGTTAGGTGCAGTTATCCCGTTTCCAACGAAATCCTCAGAGAGGTCCAAATATCCACTTGTAGATTCTACAAAAAGTGTGTCTCAAACCTGCTCCATCCAAAGGAATGGTCAGCTCTGTGATTTAAACTCAATCATCACAAAGTATTTTCTGAGAATGCTTCTGTCTAGATTTTATGCGAAGATATACCCGTTTCGAACGAAGGCCACAGAGTGGTCCAAATAGCCACTTGCAGATCCTACAAAAAGAGTGTTTCAAACCTGAACTATCAAAGGAAGGTTCAACTCTGGGATTTGAATGCAAACATCACCAAGAAGTTTCTGAGAATGCTTCTGTTTAGTTTTTATGTGAAGATATTCCCGTTTCCAAAGACATCTTCGGAGAGGTCCACATATCCACTTGCAGATTCCACAAAAAGAGAGTTTCAACACTGCTCTATCCAATAGGAGGGTTCAACTCAGTGAGTTGAATGCAATCATCACAGAGAAGTTTCTGAGAAGGCTTCTCTCCAGTTTTTATGTGACCATAATTCGTTTTCCACCACAGGCCTGAAAGCGCTCCAAATGTCCACTTGCAGACACTACGAAAAGCATGTTTCAGAACTACTCTATGAAAAGCAACGTGAAACTCTGGGAGTTGAACACAAACATCACAGAGAAGTTTCTGAGAATGCTTCTGTTTTAGTTCTGTGCGTTTTATCCCGTTTCCAACGAAATCCTCAGAGAGGCCCAAATATCCACTTGCAGATTCCACAGAAAGAGTGATTGGAAACTGCTGTTTGAAAAGGAACCTTCAACTCTGTGAGTTGAATGCAATCATCACAAAGAAGTTTCTGACAATGCTTCTGTTTTAGTTCTGTGCGGTTTATCCCGTTTCCAACGAAATCCTCAGAGAGGACCAAACATCCACTTGCAGTTTCTACAAAAAGAGTGTTTCAAAGCTGCACTATCAAAGAAAGGTTCAGCACTGTGAGTTGAATGCAAACATCACGAAGAGGGCTCTGAGAATTCTTCTGTTTAGTTCTGTGCGGTTTATCCCGTTTCCAACGAAATCCTCAGAGAGGACCAAATATCCACTTGCAGTTTCTACAAGAAGAGTGTTTCAAAGCTGAACTATCAAAGAAAGGTTCAGCACTGTGAGTTGAATGCAAACATCACGAAGAGGGTTCTGAGAATGCTTCTGTCTTCTTTCTATAGGAAGTTATTTCCTTTACTACGGTAGGCCTCAAAGAAGTGCAATTATCCCCTTGCAGTTTCTACAAAAAGAGTGTTTCAAACCTGAACTATCAAAGAAAGGTTCCACACTGTGAGTTGAATGCAGACATCACGAAGAAGGTTCTGAGAATGCTTCTGTTTAGTCAGCTGAAATTATCCCGTTTCCAACGGAATTCCTCAGAGAGGTCCAAATATGCACTTGCAGATTCTGCAGAAAGTGTGTTTCTAAACTGCTACATCGCAAGGAATGTTCAGCTCTGTGAGTTCCACTCAATCATCCCAAAGAATTTTCTGAGAAAGCTTCTGTCTAGATGTCGTGTGAAGATATACCCGTTTCGAACGAAGGACACAGAGTGGTCCAAATATCCACTTGTAGATCCTGCAAAAAGAGTGTTTCAAACGTGAACTTTGAAAGGAAAGTTCAACTCTGGGATTTGAATGCAAACATCACAAAGAAGATTCTGAGACTGCTTCTGTATAGTTTTTATGTGAAGATGATTCCGTTTCCAACGAAATCTTCAAAGAGGTCTACATGTCCCCTTGCAGATGCCACAGAAAGAGAGTTTCAAAACTACGCTCTCAAAAGGAGTGTTCAACTCCGTGAGTTGAATGCAGTCATCACAGAGAAGCTTCTGAGAATGCTTCTATCTAGTATTTAGGTGAAGATATTTCCTTTTCCACCACAAACCACAAAGCCCTCCAAACGTCCACTTGCAGATTCTAGAAAAAGAGTGTTTCATAGCTGCTCTTTCCAAAGGAAAGTTCAACTCTGGGAGTTGAATACAAACATCACCAAAAGGTTCCTGAGAATGCATCTGTCTAGTTTTTCTATGAAGCTATTCCCTTTACTACCATAGGCCTCAAAGCGCTCCAAATCTCCACTTGCACATTCCACAACAAGAGTGTTTCCAAACTGCTCTATCAATAGGAATGTTCAACTCTGTGAGGTGAATGCAACCATCACAAAGCAGTTTCTGAGAATGCTTCCGTTTAGTTAGGTGCAGTTATCCCGTTTCCAACGAAATCCTCAGAGAGGTCCAAATATCCACTTGTAGATTCTACAAAAAGTGTGTCTCAAACCTGCTCCATCCAAAGGAATGGTCAGCTCTGTGATTTAAACTCAATCATCACAAAGTATTTTCTGAGAATGCTTCTGTCTAGATTTTATGCGAAGATATACCCGTTTCGAACGAAGGCCACAGAGTGGTCCAAATAGCCACTTGCAGATCCTACAGAAAGAGTGTTTCAAACCTGAACTATCAAAGGAAAGTTCAACTCTGGGATTTGAATGCAAACATCACCAAGAAGTTTCTGAGAATGCTTCTGTTTAGTTTTTATGTGAAGATATTCCCGTTTCCAAAGACATCTTCGGAGAGGTCCACATATCCACTTGCAGATTCCACAAAAAGAGAGTTTCAACACTGCTCTATCCATAGGAGGGTTCAACTCTGTGAGTTGAATGCAATCATCACAGAGAAGTTTCTGAGAAGGCTTCTCTCCAGTTTTTATGTGACCATAATTCGTTTTCCACCACAGGCCTGAAAGCGCTCCAAATGTCCACTTGCAGACACTACGAAAAGCATGTTTCAGAACTACTCTATGAAAAGCAACGTGAAACTCTGGGAGTTGAACACAAACATCACAGAGAAGTTTCTGAGAATGCTTCTGTTTTAGTTCTGTGCGTTTTATCCCGTTTCCAACGAAATCCTCAGAGAGGCCCAAATATCCACTTGCAGATTCCACAGAAAGAGTGATTGGAAACTGCTGTTTGAAAAGGAACCTTCAACTCTGTGAGTTGAATGCAATCATCACAAAGAAGTTTCTGACAATGCTTCTGTTTTAGTTCTGTGCGGTTTATCCCGTTTCCAACGAAATCCTCAGAGAGGTCCAAATATCTACTTGCAGTTTCTACAGAAAGACCGTTTCAAACCTGAACTATCAAAGAAAGGTTCAACACTGTGAGTTGAATGCAAACATCACGAAGAAGGTTCTGAGAATGCTCTGTTTAGTTCTGTGCGGTTTATCCCGTTTCCAACGAAATCCTCAGAGAGGACCAAATATCCACTTGCAGTTTCTACAAGAAGAGTGTTTCAAAGCTGAACTATCAAAGAAAGGTTCAGCACTGTGAGTTGAATGCAAACATCACGAAGAGGGTTCTGAGAATGCTTCTGTCTTCTTTCTATAGGAAGTTATTTCCTTTACTACGGTAGGCCTCAAAGAAGTGCAATTATCCCCTTGCAGTTTCTACAAAAAGAGTGTTTCAAACCTGAACTATCAAAGAAAGGTTCCACACTGTGAGTTGAATGCAGACATCACGAAGAAGGTTCTGAGAATGCTTCTGTTTAGTCAGCTGAAATTATCCCGTTTCCAACGAATTCCTCAGAGAGGTCCAAATATGCACTTGCAGATTCTGCAGAAAGTGTGTTTCTAAACTGCTACATCGCAAGGAATGTTCAGCTCTGTGAGTTCCACTCAATCATCCCAAAGAATTTTCTGAGAAAGCTTCTGTCTAGATGTCGTGTGAAGATATACCCGTTTCGAACGAAGGACACAGAGTGGTCCAAATATCCACTTGTAGATCCTGCAAAAAGAGTGTTTCAAACGTGAACTTTGAAAGGAAAGTTCAACTCTGGGATTTGAATGCAAACATCACAAAGAAGATTCTGAGACTGCTTCTGTATAGTTTTTATGTGAAGATGATTCCGTTTCCAACGAAATCTTCAAAGAGGTCTACATGTCCCCTTGCAGATGCCACAGAAAGAGAGTTTCAAAACTGCGCTCTCAAAAGGAGTGTTCAACTCCGTGAGTTGAATGCAGTCATCACAGAGAAGCTTCTGAGAATGCTTCTATCTAGTATTTAGGTGAAGATATTTCCTTTTCCACCACAAACCACAAAGCCCTCCAAACGTCCACTTGCAGATTCTAGAAAAAGAGTGTTTCATAGCTGCTCTTTCCAAAGGAAAGTTCAACTCTGGGAGTTGAATACAAACATCACCAAAAAGTTCCTGAGAATGCATCTGTCTAGTTTTTCTATGAAGCTATTCCCTTTACTACCATAGGCCTCAAAGCGCTCCAAATCTCCACTTGCACATTCCACAACAAGAGTGTTTCCAAACTGCTCTATCAATAGGAATGTTCAACTCTGTGAGGTGAATGCAATCATCACAAAGCAGTTTCTGAGAATGCTTCCGTTTAGTTAGGTGCAGTTATCCCGTTTCCAACGAAATCCTCAGAGAGGTCCAAATATCCACTTGTAGATTCTACAAAAAGTGTGTCTCAAACCTGCTCCATCCAAAGGAATGTTCAGCTCTGTGAGTTCAACTCAATCATCACAAAGTAGTTTCTGAGAATGCTTCTGTCTAGATTTTATGCGAAGATATACCCGTTTCGAACGAAGGCCACAGAGTGGTCCAAATAGCCACTTGCAGATCCTACAGAAAGAGTGTTTCAAACCTGAACTATCAAAGGAAGGTTCAACTCTGGGATTTGAATGCAAACATCACCAAGAAGTTTCTGAGAATGCTTCTGTTTAGTTTTTATGTGAAGATATTCCCGTTTCCAAAGACATCTTCGGAGAGGTCCACATATCCACTTGCAGATTCCACAAAAAGAGAGTTTCAACACTGCTCTATCCATAGGAGGGTTCAACTCTGTGAGTTGAATGCAATCATCACAGAGAAGTTTCTGAGAAGGCTTCTCTCCAGTTTTTATGTGACCATAATTCGTTTTCCACCACAGGCCTGAAAGCGCTCCAAATGTCCACTTGCAGACACTACGAAAAGCATGTTTCAGAACTACTCTATGAAAAGCAACGTGAAACTCTGGGAGTTGAACACAAACATCACAGAGAAGTTTCTGAGAATGCTTCTGTTTTAGTTCTGTGCGTTTTATCCCGTTTCCAACGAAATCCTCAGAGAGGCCCAAATATCCACTTGCAGATTCCACAGAAAGAGTGATTGGAAACTGCTGTTTGAAAAGGAACCTTCAACTCTGTGAGTTGAATGCAATCATCACAAAGAAGTTTCTGACAATGCTTCTGTTTTAGTTCTGTGCGGTTTATCCCGTTTCCAACGAAATCCTCAGAGAGGACCAAACATCCACTTGCAGTTTCTACAAAAAGAGTGTTTCAAAGCTGCACTATCAAAGAAAGGTTCAGCACTGTGAGTTGAATGCAAACATCACGAAGAGGGCTCTGAGAATTCTTCTGTTTAGTTCTGTGCGGTTTATCCCGTTTCCAACGAAATCCTCAGAGAGGACCAAATATCCACTTGCAGTTTCTACAAGAAGAGTGTTTCAAAGCTGAACTATCAAAGAAAGGTTCAGCACTGTGAGTTGAATGCAAACATCACGAAGAGGGTTCTGAGAATGCTTCTGTCTTCTTTCTATAGGAAGTTATTTCCTTTACTACGGTAGGCCTCAAAGAAGTGCAATTATCCCCTTGCAGTTTCTACAAAAAGAGTGTTTCAAACCTGAACTATCAAAGAAAGGTTCCACACTGTGAGTTGAATGCAGACATCACGAAGAAGGTTCTGAGAATGCTTCTGTTTAGTCAGCTGAAATTATCCCGTTTCCAACGAATTCCTCAGAGAGGTCCAAATATGCACTTGCAGATTCTGCAGAAAGTGTGTTTCTAAACTGCTACATCGCAAGGAATGTTCAGCTCTGTGAGTTCCACTCAATCATCCCAAAGAATTTTCTGAGAAAGCTTCTGTCTAGATGTCGTGTGAAGATATACCCGTTTCGAACGAAGGACACAGAGTGGTCCAAATATCCACTTGTAGATCCTGCAAAAAGAGTGTTTCAAACGTGAACTTTGAAAGGAAAGTTCAACTCTGGGATTTGAATGCAAACATCACAAAGAAGATTCTGAGACTGCTTCTGTATAGTTTTTATGTGAAGATGATTCCGTTTCCAACGAAATCTTCAAAGAGGTCTACATGTCCCCTTGCAGATGCCACAGAAAGAGAGTTTCAAAACTGCGCTCTCAAAAGGAGTGTTCAACTCCGTGAGTTGAATGCAGTCATCACAGAGAAGCTTCTGAGAATGCTTCTATCTAGTATTTAGGTGAAGATATTTCCTTTTCCACCACAAACCACAAAGCCCTCCAAACGTCCACTTGCAGATTCTAGAAAAAGAGTGTTTCATAGCTGCTCTTTCCAAAGGAAAGTTCAACTCTGGGAGTTGAATACAAACATCACCAAAAGGTTCCTGAGAATGCATCTGTCTAGTTTTTCTATGAAGCTATTCCCTTTACTACCACAGGCCTCAAAGCGCTCCAAATCTCCACTTGCACATTCCACAACAAGAGTGTTTCCAAACTGCTCTATCAATAGGAATGTTCAACTCTGTGAGGTGAATGCAATCATCACAAAGCAGTTTCTGAGAATGCTTCCGTTTAGTTAGGTGCAGTTATCCCGTTTCCAACGAAATCCTCAGAGAGGTCCAAATATCCACTTGTAGATTCTACAAAAAGTGTGTCTCAAACCTGCTCCATCCAAAGGAATGGTCAGCTCTGTGATTTAAACTCAATCATCACAAAGTATTTTCTGAGAATGCTTCTGTCTAGATTTTATGCGAAGATATAGCCGTTTCGAACGAAGGCCACAGAGTGGTCCAAATATCCACTTGCAGATCCTACAAAAAGAGTGTTTCAAACCTGAACTATCAAAGGAAGGTTCAACTCTGGGATTTCAATGCAAACATCACCAAGAAGTTTCTGAGAATGCTTCTGTTTAGTTTTTATGTGAAGATATTCCCGTTTCCAAAGACATCTTCGGAGAGGTCCACATATCCACTTGCAGATTCCACAAAAAGAGAGTTTCAACACTGCTCTATCCATAGGAGGGTTCAACTCTGTGAGTTGAATGCAATCATCACAGAGAAGTTTCTGAGAAGGCTTCTCTCCAGTTTTTATGTGACCATAATTCGTTTTCCACCTCAGGCCTGAAAGTGCTCCAAATGTCCACTTGCAGACACTACGAAAAGCATGTTTCAGAACTACTCTATGAAAAGCAATGTGAAACTCTGGGAGTTGAACACAAACATCACAGAGAAGTTTCTGAGAATGCTTCTGTTTAGCTTTTCTGTGAAGGTTATCCCGTTTCCAACGAAATCTTCAAAGAGGTCCAAATATCCACTTGCAGATTCCACAGAAATAGTGTTTGGAAACTGCTGTTTGAAAAGGAACCTTCAACTCTGTGAGTTGAATGCAATCATCACAAAGAAGTTTCTGACAATGCTTCTATCCAGCTTTTACGGGAAGATAATTCCTTTTCCACCACAGGCCTCAAAGCCCTCCAAATGTCCACTTGCAGATTCTGGAAAAAGAGTGTTTCAAAGCTTCTCTCGCGAAAGGAAAGTTCAACTCTGTGAGTTGAATGCAAGCATCACAAAGAAGTTTCTGAGAATGCTACTGTCTAGCTTTTATATGGAGCTATTTCCTTTACTACCATAGTCCTCAAAGCATTCCATATCTCCACTTGCAGATTCTACACAAAGAGAGTTTCCAAACTGCTCTGTCAAAGGGAATGTTCAGCTCTGTGACTTGAATGCAATCATCACAAAGTAGTTTCTCAGAATGCTTCTGTTTAGTTCTGTGCGGTTTATCCCGTTTCCAACGAAATCCTCAGAGAGGCCCAAATATCCACTTGCACATTCTACAAATAGTGTGTTTCGAAACTGCTCCATCCAAAGGAATGTTCAGCTCTGTGAGTTAAACTCAGTCGTCACCAAGAGTTTTCTGTGAATGCTATCTGTTTTAGTTCTGTGCGGGTTATCCCGTTTCCAACGAAATCCTCAGAGAGGTCCAAATATCTACTTGCAGTTTCTACAGAAAGACCGTTTCAAACCTGAACTATCAAAGAAAGGTTCAACACTGTGAGTTGAATGCAAACATCACGAAGAAGGTTCTGAGAATGCTTCTGTTTAGTTCTGTGCGGTTTATCCCGTTTCCAACGAAATCCTCAGAGAGGACCAAATATCCACTTGCAGTTTCTACAAGAAGAGTGTTTCAAAGCTGAACTATCAAAGAAAGGTTCAGCACTGTGTGTTGAATGCAAACATCACGAAGAGGGTTCTGAGAATGCTTCTGTCTTCTTTCTATAGGAAGTTATTTCCTTTACTACGGTAGGCCTCAAAGAAGCGCAATTATCCCCTTGCAGTTTCTACAAAAAGAGTGTTTCAAACCTGAACTATCAAAGAAAGGTTCCACACTGTGAGTTGAATGCAGACATCACGAAGAAGGTTCTGAGAATGCTTCTGTTTAGTCAGCTGAAATTATCCCGTTTCCAACGAATTCCTCGGAGAGGTCCAAATATGCACTTGCAGATTCTGCAGAAAGTGTGTTTCTAAACTGCTACATCGCAAGGAATGTTCAGCTCTGTGAGTTCCACTCAATCATCCCAAAGAATTTTCTGAGAAAGCTTCTGTCTAGATGTCATGTGAAGATATACCCGTTTCGAACGAAGGACACAGAGTGGTCCAAATATCCACTTGTAGATCCTGCAAAAAGAGTGTTTCAAACGTGAACTTTGAAAGGAAAGTTCAACTCTGGGATTTGAATGCAAACATCACAAAGAAGATTCTGAGACTGCTTCTGTATAGTTTTTATGTGAAGATGATTCCGTTTCCAACGAAATCTTCAAAGAGGTCTACATGTCCCCTTGCAGATGCCACAGAAAGAGAGTTTCAAAACTGCGCTCTCAAAAGGAGTGTTCAACTCCGTGAGTTGAATGCAGTCATCACAGAGAAGCTTCTGAGGATGCTTCTATCTAGTATTTAGGTGAAGATATTTCCTTTTCCACCACAAACCACAAAGCCCTCCAAACGTCCACTTGCAGATTCTAGAAAAACAGTGTTTCATAGCTGCTCTTTCCAAAGGAAAGTTCAACTCTGGGAGTTGAATACAAACATCACCAAAAAGTTCCTGAGAATGCATCTGTCTAGTTTTTCTATGAAGCTATTCCCTTTACTACCCATAGGCCTCAAAGCGCTCCAAATCTCCACTTGCACATTCCACAAGAAGAGTGTTTCCAAACTGCTCTATCAATAGGAATGTTCAACTCTGTGAGGTGAATGCAATCATCACAAAGCAGTTTCTGAGAATGCTTCCGTTTAGTTAGGTGCAGTTATCCCGTTTCCAACGAAATCCTCAGAGAGGTCCAAATATCCACTTGTAGATTCTACAAAAAGTGTGTCTCAAACCTGCTCCATCCAAAGGAATGTTCAGCTCTGTGAGTTAAACTCAATCATCACAAAGTATTTTCTGAGAATGCTTCTGTCTAGATTTTATGCGAAGATATACCCGTTTCGAACGAAGGCCACAGAGTGGTCCAAATATCCACTTGCAGATCCTACAAAAAGAGTGTTTCAAACCTGAACTATCAAAGGAAGGTTCAACTCTGGGATTTGAATGCAAACATCACCAAGAAGTTTCTGAGAATGCTTCTGTTTAGTTTTTATGTGAAGATATTCCCGTTTCCAAAGACATCTTCGGAGAGGTCCACATATCCACTTGCAGATTCCACAAAAAGAGAGTTTCAACACTGCTCTATCCATAGGAGGGTTCAACTCTGTGAGTTGAATGCAATCATCACAGAGAAGTTTCTGAGAAGGCTTCTCTCCAGTTTTTATGTGACCATAATTCGTTTTCCACCACAGGCCTGAAAGCGCTCCAAATGTCCACTTGCAGACACTACGAAAAGCATGTTTCAGAACTACTCTATGAAAAGCAACGTGAAACTCTGGGAGTTGAACACAAACATCACAGAGAAGTTTCTGAGAATGCTTCTGTTTTAGTTCTGTGCGTTTTATCCCGTTTCCAACGAAATCCTCAGAGAGGCCCAAATATCCACTTGCAGATTCCACAGAAAGAGTGATTGGAAACTGCTGTTTGAAAAGGAACCTTCAACTCTGTGAGTTGAATGCAATCATCACAAAGAAGTTTCTGACAATGCTTCTGTTTTAGTTCTGTGCGGTTTATCCCGTTTCCAACGAAATCCTCAGAGAGGACCAAACATCCACTTGCAGTTTCTACAAAAAGAGTGTTTCAAAGCTGCACTATCAAAGAAAGGTTCAGCACTGTGAGTTGAATGCAAACATCACGAAGAGGGCTCTGAGAATTCTTCTGTTTAGTTCTGTGCGGTTTATCCCGTTTCCAACGAAATCCTCAGAGAGGACCAAATATCCACTTGCAGTTTCTACAAGAAGAGTGTTTCAAAGCTGAACTATCAAAGAAAGGTTCAGCACTGTGAGTTGAATGCAAACATCACGAAGAGGGTTCTGAGAATGCTTCTGTCTTCTTTCTATAGGAAGTTATTTCCTTTACTACGGTAGGCCTCAAAGAAGTGCAATTATCCCCTTGCAGTTTCTACAAAAAGAGTGTTTCAAACCTGAACTATCAAAGAAAGGTTCCACACTGTGAGTTGAATGCAGACATCACGAAGAAGGTTCTGAGAATGCTTATATTTAGTCAGCTGAAATTATCCCGTTTCCAACGAATTCCTCAGAGAGGTCCAAATATGCACTTGCAGATTCTGCAGAAAGTGTGTTTCTAAACTGCTACATCGCAAGGAATGTTCAGCTCTGTGAGTTCCACTCAATCATCCCAAAGAATTTTCTGAGAAAGCTTCTGTCTAGATGTCCTGTGAAGATATACCCGTTTCGAACGAAGGACACAGAGTGGTCCAAATATCCACTTGTAGATCCTGCAAAAAGAGTGTTTCAAACGTGAACTTTGAAAGGAAAGTTCAACTCTGGGATTTGAATGCAAACATCACAAAGAAGATTCTGAGACTGCTTCTGTATAGTTTTTATGTGAAGATGATTCCGTTTCCAACGAAATCTTCAAAGAGGTCTACATGTCCCCTTGCAGATGCCACAGAAAGAGAGTTTCAAAACTACGCTCTCAAAAGGAGTGTTCAACTCCGTGAGTTGAATGCAGTCATCACAGAGAAGCTTCTGAGAATGCTTCTATCTAGTATTTAGGTGAAGATATTTCCTTTTCCACCACAAACCACAAAGCCCTCCAAACGTCCACTTGCAGATTCTAGAAAAAGAGTGTTTCATAGCTGCTCTTTCCAAAGGAAAGTTCAACTCTGGGAGTTGAATACAAACATCACCAAAAGGTTCCTGAGAATGCATCTGTCTAGTTTTTCTATGAAGCTATTCCCTTTACTACCATAGGCCTCAAAGCGCTCCAAATCTCCACTTGCACATTCCACAACAAGAGTGTTTCCAAACTGCTCTATCAATAGGAATGTTCAACTCTGTGAGGTGAATGCAATCATCACAAAGCAGTTTCTGAGAATGCTTCCGTTTAGTTAGGTGCAGTTATCCCGTTTCCAACGAAATCCTCAGAGAGGTCCAAATATCCACTTGTAGATTCTACAAAAAGTGTGTCTCAAACCTGCTCCATCCAAAGGAATGGTCAGCTCTGTGATTTAAACTCAATCATCACAAAGTATTTTCTGAGAATGCTTCTCTCCAGTTTTTATGTGACCATAATTCGTTTTCCACCACAGGCCTGAAAGCGCTCCAAATGTCCACTTGCAGACACTACGAAAAGCATGTTTCAGAACTACTCTATGAAAAGCAACGTGAAACTCTGGGAGTTGAACACAAACATCACAGAGAAGTTTCTGAGAATGCTTCTGTTTTAGTTCTGTGCGTTTTATCCCGTTTCCAACGAAATCCTCAGAGAGGCCCAAATATCCACTTGCAGATTCCACAGAAAGAGTGATTGGAAACTGCTGTTTGAAAAGGAACCTTCAACTCTGTGAGTTGAATGCAATCATCACAAAGAAGTTTCTGACAATGCTTCTGTTTTAGTTCTGTGCGGTTTATCCCGTTTCCAACGAAATCCTCAGAGAGGACCAAACATCCACTTGCAGTTTCTACAAAAAGAGTGTTTCAAAGCTGCACTATCAAAGAAAGGTTCAGCACTGTGAGTTGAATGCAAACATCACGAAGAGGGCTCTGAGAATTCTTCTGTTTAGTTCTGTGCGGTTTATCCCGTTTCCAACGAAATCCTCAGAGAGGACCAAATATCCACTTGCAGTTTCTACAAGAAGAGTGTTTCAAAGCTGAACTATCAAAGAAAGGTTCAGCACTGTGAGTTGAATGCAAACATCACGAAGAGGGTTCTGAGAATGCTTCTGTCTTCTTTCTATAGGAAGTTATTTCCTTTACTACGGTAGGCCTCAAAGAAGTGCAATTATCCCCTTGCAGTTTCTACAAAAAGAGTGTTTCAAACCTGAACTATCAAAGAAAGGTTCCACACTGTGAGTTGAATGCAGACATCACGAAGAAGGTTCTGAGAATGCTTCTGTTTAGTCAGCTGAAATTATCCCGTTTCCAACGAATTCCTCAGAGAGGTCCAAATATGCACTTGCAGATTCTGCAGAAAGTGTGTTTCTAAACTGCTACATCGCAAGGAATGTTCAGCTCTGTGAGTTCCACTCAATCATCCCAAAGAATTTTCTGAGAAAGCTTCTGTCTAGATGTCGTGTGAAGATATACCCGTTTCGAACGAAGGACACAGAGTGGTCCAAATATCCACTTGTAGATCCTGCAAAAAGAGTGTTTCAAACGTGAACTTTGAAAGGAAAGTTCAACTCTGGGATTTGAATGCAAACATCACAAAGAAGATTCTGAGACTGCTTCTGTATAGTTTTTATGTGAAGATGATTCCGTTTCCAACGAAATCTTCAAAGAGGTCTACATGTCCCCTTGCAGATGCCACAGAAAGAGAGTTTCAAAACTGCGCTCTCAAAAGGAGTGTTCAACTCCGTGAGTTGAATGCAGTCATCACAGAGAAGCTTCTGAGAATGCTTCTATCTAGTATTTAGGTGAAGATATTTCCTTTTCCACCACAAACCACAAAGCCCTCCAAACGTCCACTTGCAGATTCTAGAAAAAGAGTGTTTCATAGCTGCTCTTTCCAAAGGAAAGTTCAACTCTGGGAGTTGAATACAAACATCACGAAAAGGTTCCTGAGAATGCATCTGTCTAGTTTTTCTATGAAGCTATTCCCTTTACTACCACAGGCCTCAAAGCGCTCCAAATCTCCACTTGCACATTCCACAACAAGAGTGTTTCCAAACTGCTCTATCAATAGGAATGTTCAACTCTGTGAGGTGAATGCAATCATCACAAAGCAGTTTCTGAGAATGCTTCCGTTTAGTTAGGTGCAGTTATCCCGTTTCCAACGAAATCCTCAGAGAGGTCCAAATATCCACTTGTAGATTCTACAAAAAGTGTGTCTCAAACCTGCTCCATCCAAAGGAATGGTCAGCTCTGTGATTTAAACTCAATCATCACAAAGTATTTTCTGAGAATGCTTCTGTCTAGATTTTATGCGAAGATATACCCGTTTCGAACGAAGGCCACAGAGTGGTCCAAATAGCCACTTGCAGATCCTACAGAAAGAGTGTTTCAAACCTGAACTATCAAAGGAAGGTTCAACTCTGGGATTTGAATGCAAACATCACCAAGAAGTTTCTGAGAATGCTTCTGTTTAGTTTTTATGTGAAGATATTCCCGTTTCCAAAGACATCTTCGGAGAGGTCCACATATCCACTTGCAGATTCCACAAAAAGAGAGTTTCAACACTGCTCTATCCATAGGAGGGTTCAACTCTGTGAGTTGAATGCAATCATCACAGAGAAGTTTCTGAGAAGGCTTCTCTCCAGTTTTTATGTGACCATAATTCGTTTTCCACCACAGGCCTGAAAGCGCTCCAAATGTCCACTTGCAGACACTACGAAAAGCATGTTTCAGAACTACTCTATGAAAAGCAACGTGAAACTCTGGGAGTTGAACACAAACATCACAGAGAAGTTTCTGAGAATGCTTCTGTTTTAGTTCTGTGCGTTTTATCCCGTTTCCAACGAAATCCTCAGAGAGGCCCAAATATCCACTTGCAGATTCCACAGAAAGAGTGATTGGAAACTGCTGTTTGAAAAGGAACCTTCAACTCTGTGAGTTGAATGCAATCATCACAAAGAAGTTTCTGACAATGCTTCTGTTTTAGTTCTGTGCGGTTTATCCCGTTTCCAACGAAATCCTCAGAGAGGACCAAACATCCACTTGCAGTTTCTACAAAAAGAGTGTTTCAAAGCTGCACTATCAAAGAAAGGTTCAGCACTGTGAGTTGAATGCAAACATCACGAAGAGGGCTCTGAGAATTCTTCTGTTTAGTTCTGTGCGGTTTATCCCGTTTCCAACGAAATCCTCAGAGAGGACCAAATATCCACTTGCAGTTTCTACAAGAAGAGTGTTTCAAAGCTGAACTATCAAAGAAAGGTTCAGCACTGTGAGTTGAATGCAAACATCACGAAGAGGGTTCTGAGAATGCTTCTGTCTTCTTTCTATAGGAAGTTATTTCCTTTACTACGGTAGGCCTCAAAGAAGTGCAATTATCCCCTTGCAGTTTCTACAAAAAGAGTGTTTCAAACCTGAACTATCAAAGAAAGGTTCCACACTGTGAGTTGAATGCAGACATCACGAAGAAGGTTCTGAGAATGCTTCTGTTTAGTCAGCTGAAATTATCCCGTTTCCAACGAATTCCTCAGAGAGGTCCAAATATGCACTTGCAGATTCTGCAGAAAGTGTGTTTCTAAACTGCTCCATCGCAAGGAATGTTCAGCTCTGTGAGTTCCACTCAATCATCCCAAAGAATTTTCTGAGAAAGCTTCTGTCTAGATGTCGTGTGAAGATATACCCGTTTCGAACGAAGGACACAGAGTGGTCCAAATATCCACTTGTAGATCCTGCAAAAAGAGTGTTTCAAACGTGAACTTTGAAAGGAAAGTTCAACTCTGGGATTTGAATGCAAACATCACAAAGAAGATTCTGAGACTGCTTCTGTCTAGTTTTTCTATGAAGCTATTCCCTTTACTACCATAGGCCTCAAAGCGCTCCAAATCTCCACTTGCACATTCCACAACAAGAGTGTTTCCAAACTGCTCTATCAATAGGAATGTTCAACTCTGTGAGGTGAATGCAATCATCACAAAGCAGTTTCTGAGAATGCTTCCGTTTAGTTAGGTGCAGTTATCCCGTTTCCAACGAAATCCTCAGAGAGGTCCAAATATCCACTTGTAGATTCTACAAAAAGTGTGTCTCAAACCTGCTCCATCCAAAGGAATGGTCAGCTCTGTGATTTAAACTCAATCATCACAAAGTATTTTCTGAGAATGCTTCTGTCTAGATTTTATGCGAAGATATACCCGTTTCGAACGAAGGCCACAGAGTGGTCCAAATAGCCACTTGCAGATCCTACAGAAAGAGTGTTTCAAACCTGAACTATCAAAGGAAGGTTCAACTCTGGGATTTGAATGCAAACATCACCAAGAAGTTTCTGAGAATGCTTCTGTTTAGTTTTTATGTGAAGATATTCCCGTTTCCAAAGACATCTTCGGAGAGGTCCACATATCCACTTGCAGATTCCACAAAAAGAGAGTTTCAACACTGCTCTATCCATAGGAGGGTTCAACTCTGTGAGTTGAATGCAATCATCACAGAGAAGTTTCTGAGAAGGCTTCTCTCCAGTTTTTATGTGACCATAATTCGTTTTCCACCACAGGCCTGAAAGCGCTCCAAATGTCCACTTGCAGACACTACGAAAAGCATGTTTCAGAACTACTCTATGAAAAGCAACGTGAAACTCTGGGAGTTGAACACAAACATCACAGAGAAGTTTCTGAGAATGCTTCTGTTTTAGTTCTGTGCGTTTTATCCCGTTTCCAACGAAATCCTCAGAGAGGCCCAAATATCCACTTGCAGATTCCACAGAAAGAGTGATTGGAAACTGCTGTTTGAAAAGGAACCTTCAACTCTGTGAGTTGAATGCAATCATCACAAAGAAGTTTCTGACAATGCTTCTGTTTTAGTTCTGTGCGGTTTATCCCGTTTCCAACGAAATCCTCAGAGAGGACCAAACATCCACTTGCAGTTTCTACAAAAAGAGTGTTTCAAAGCTGCACTATCAAAGAAAGGTTCAGCACTGTGAGTTGAATGCAAACATCACGAAGAGGGCTCTGAGAATTCTTCTGTTTAGTTCTGTGCGGTTTATCCCGTTTCCAACGAAATCCTCAGAGAGGACCAAATATCCACTTGCAGTTTCTACAAGAAGAGTGTTTCAAAGCTGAACTATCAAAGAAAGGTTCAGCACTGTGAGTTGAATGCAAACATCACGAAGAGGGTTCTGAGAATGCTTCTGTCTTCTTTCTATAGGAAGTTATTTCCTTTACTACGGTAGGCCTCAAAGAAGTGCAATTATCCCCTTGCAGTTTCTACAAAAAGAGTGTTTCAAACCTGAACTATCAAAGAAAGGTTCCACACTGTGAGTTGAATGCAGACATCACGAAGAAGGTTCTGAGAATGCTTCTGTTTAGTCAGCTGAAATTATCCCGTTTCCAACGAATTCCTCAGAGAGGTCCAAATATGCACTTGCAGATTCTGCAGAAAGTGTGTTTCTAAACTGCTACATCGCAAGGAATGTTCAGCTCTGTGAGTTCCACTCAATCATCCCAAAGAATTTTCTGAGAAAGCTTCTGTCTAGATGTCGTGTGAAGATATACCCGTTTCGAACGAAGGACACAGAGTGGTCCAAATATCCACTTGTAGATCCTGCAAAAAGAGTGTTTCAAACGTGAACTTTGAAAGGAAAGTTCAACTCTGGGATTTGAATGCAAACATCACAAAGAAGATTCTGAGACTGCTTCTGTATAGTTTTTATGTGAAGATGATTCCGTTTCCAACGAAATCTTCAAAGAGGTCTACATGTCCCCTTGCAGATGCCACAGAAAGAGAGTTTCAAAACTGCGCTCTCAAAAGGAGTGTTCAACTCCGTGAGTTGAATGCAGTCATCACAGAGAAGCTTCTGAGAATGCTTCTATCTAGTATTTAGGTGAAGATATTTCCTTTTCCACCACAAACCACAAAGCCCTCCAAACGTCCACTTGCAGATTCTAGAAAAAGAGTGTTTCATAGCTGCTCTTTCCAAAGGAAAGTTCAACTCTGGGAGTTGAATACAAACATCACCAAAAAGTTCCTGAGAATGCATCTGTCTAGTTTTTCTATGAAGCTATTCCCTTTACTACCATAGGCCTCAAAGCGCTCCAAATCTCCACTTGCACATTCCACAACAAGAGTGTTTCCAAACTGCTCTATCAATAGGAATGTTCAACTCTGTGAGGTGAATGCAATCATCACAAAGCAGTTTCTGAGAATGCTTCCGTTTAGTTAGGTGCAGTTATCCCGTTTCCAACGAAATCCTCAGAGAGGTCCAAATATCCACTTGTAGATTCTACAAAAGGTGTGTCTCAAACCTGCTCCATCCAAAGAAATGTTCAGCTCTGTGAGTTAAACTCAATCATCACAAAGTATTTTCTGAGAATGCTTCTGTCTAGATTTTATGCGAAGATATACCCGTTTCGAACGAAGGCCACAGAGTGGTCCAAATATCCACTTGCAGATCCTACAAAAAGAGTGTTTCAAACCTGAACTATCAAAGGAAGGTTCAACTCTGGGATTTGAATGCAAACATCACCAAGAAGTTTCTGAGAATGCTTCTGTTTAGTTTTTATGTGAAGATATTCCCGTTTCCAAAGACATCTTCGGAGAGGTCCACATAGCCACTTGCAGGTTCCACAAAAAGAGAGTTTCAACACTGCTCTATCCATAGGAGGGTTCAACTCTGTGAGTTGAATGCAATCATCACAGAGAAGTTTCTGAGAAGGCTTCTCTCCAGTTTTTATGTGACCATAATTCGTTTTCCACCACAGGCCTGAAAGCGCTCCAAATGTCCACTTGTAGACACTACGAAAAGCATGTTTCAGAACTACTCTATGAAAAGCAATGTGAAACTCTGGGAGTTGAACACAAACATCACAGAGAAGTTTCTGAGAATGCTTCTGTTTAGCTTTCCTGTGAAGATTCTCCCGTTTCCAACGAAATCTTCAAAATAGGTCCAAATATCCACTTGCAGATTCCACAGAAAGAGTGATTGGAAACTGCTCTTTGAAAAGGAACCTTCAACTCTGTGAGTTGAATGCAATCATCACAAAGAAGTTTCTGACAATGCTTCTATCTAGCTTTTACGGGAAGATAATTCCTTTTCCACCACAGGCCTCAAAGCCCTCCAAATGTCCACTTGCAGATTCTGGAAAAAGAGTGTTTCAAAGCTTCTCTCTCGAAAGGAAAGTTCAACTCTGTGAGTTGAATGCAAGCATCACAAAGAAGTTTCTGAGAATGCTACTGTCTAGCTTTTATATGAAGCTATTTCCTTTACTACCATAGGCCTCAAAGCGGTCCATATCTCCACTTGCAGATTCTACACAAAGAGAGTTTCCAAACTGCTCTGTCAAAGGGAATGTTCAACTCTGTGACTTGAATGCAATCATCACAAAGTAGTTTCTGAGAATGCTTCTGTTTAGTTCTGTGCGGTTTATCCCGTTTCCAACGAAATCCTCAGAGAGGCCCACATATCCACTTGCACATTCTACAAATAGTGTGTTTCGAAACTGCTCCATCCAAAGGAATGTTCAGCTCTGTGAGTTAAACTCAGTCGTCACCAAGTGTTTTCTGTGAATGCTTCTGTTTTAGTTCTGTGCGGTTTATCCCGTTTCCAACGAAATCCTCAGAGAGGTCCAAATATCTACTTGCAGTCTCTACACAAAGACCGTTTCAAACCTGAACTATCAAAGAAAGGTTCAACACTGTGAGTTGAATGCAAACATCACGAAGAAGGTTCTGAGAATGCTTCTGTTTAGTTCTGTGCTGTTTATGCCGTTTCCAAAGAAATCCTCAGAGAGGATCAAATATCCACTTGCAGTTTCTACAAAAAGAGTGTTTCAAAGCTGAACTATCAAAGAAAGGTTCAGCACTGTGAGTTGAATGCAAACATCACGAAGAAGGTTCTGAGAATGCGTCTGTCTTCTTTTTATAGGAAGTTATTTCCATTACTACGGTAGGCCTCAAAGAAGTGCAATTATCCCCTTGCAGTTTCCACAAATAGAGTGTTTCAAACCTGAACTATCAAAGAAAGGTTCCACACTGTGAGTTGAATGCAGACATCACGAAGAAGGTTCTGAGAATGCTTCTGTTTAGTCAGCTGTAATTATCCCGTTTCCAACGAATTCCTCACAGAGGTCCAAATATGCACTTGCAGATTCTGCAGAAAGTGTGTTTCTAAACTGCTCCATCGCAAGGAATGTTCAGCTCTGTGAGTTCAACTCAATCATCCCAAAGAATTTTCTGAGAAAGCTTCTGTCTAGATGTCATGTGAAGATATACCCGTTTCGAACGAAGGACACAGAGTGGTCCAAATATCCACTTGTAGATCCTGCAAAAAGAGTGTTTCAAACGTGAACTTTGAAAGGAAAGTTCAACTCTGGGATTTGAATGCAAACATCACAAAGAAGATTCTGAGACTGCTTCTGTATAGTTTTTATGTGAAGATGATTCCGTTTCCAATGAAATCTTCAAAGAGGTCTACATGTCCCCTTGCAGATGCCACAGAAAGAGAGTTTCAAAACTGCGCTCTCAAAAGGAGTGTTCAACTCCGTGAGTTGAATGCAGTCATCACAGAGAAGCTTCTGAGAATGCTTCTATCTAGTATTTAGGTGAAGATATTTCCTTTTCCACCACAAACCACAAAGCCCTCCAAACGTCCACTTGCAGATTCTAGAAAAAGAGTGTTTCATAGCTGCTCTTTCCAAAGGAAAGTTCAACTCTGGGAGTTGAATACAAACATCACCAAAAGGTTCCTGAGAATGCATCTGTCTAGTTTTTCTATGAAGCTATTCCCTTTACTACCATAGGCCTCAAAGCGCTCCAAATCTCCACTTGCACATTCCACAACAAGAGTGTTTCCAAACTGCTCTATCAATAGGAATGTTCAACTCTGTGAGGTGAATGCAATCATCACAAAGCAGTTTCTGAGAATGCTTCCGTTTAGTTAGGTGCAGTTATCCCGTTTCCAACGAAATCCTCAGAGAGGTCCAAATATCCACTTGTAGATTCTACAAAAAGTGTGTCTCAAACCTGCTCCATCCAAAGGAATGGTCAGCTCTGTGATTTAAACTCAATCATCACAAAGTATTTTCTGAGAATGCTTCTGTCTAGATTTTATGCGAAGATATACCCGTTTCGAACGAAGGCCACAGAGTGGTCCAAATAGCCACTTGCAGATCCTACAAAAAGAGTGTTTCAAACCTGAACTATCAAAGGAAGGTTCAACTCTGGGATTTGAATGCAAACATCACCAAGAAGTTTCTGAGAATGCTTCTGTTTAGTTTTTATGTGAAGATATTCCCGTTTCCAAAGACATCTTCAGAGAGGTCCACATATCCACTTGCAGATTCCACAAAAAGAGAGTTTCAACACTGCTCTATCCATAGGAGGGTTCAACTCTGTGAGTTGAATGCAATCATCACAGAGAAGTTTCTGAGAAGGCTTCTCTCCAGTTTTTATGTGACCATAATTCGTTTTCCACCACAGGCCTGAAAGCGCTCCAAATGTCCACTTGCAGACACTACGAAAAGCATGTTTCAGAACTACTCTATGAAAAGCAACGTGAAACTCTGGGAGTTGAACACAAACATCACAGAGAAGTTTCTGAGAATGCTTCTGTTTTAGTTCTGTGCGTTTTATCCCGTTTCCAACGAAATCCTCAGAGAGGCCCAAATATCCACTTGCAGATTCCACAGAAAGAGTGATTGGAAACTGCTGTTTGAAAAGGAACCTTCAACTCTGTGAGTTGAATGCAATCATCACAAAGAAGTTTCTGACAATGCTTCTGTTTTAGTTCTGTGCGGTTTATCCCGTTTCCAACGAAATCCTCAGAGAGGACCAAACATCCACTTGCAGTTTCTACAAAAAGAGTGTTTCAAAGCTGCACTATCAAAGAAAGGTTCAGCACTGTGAGTTGAATGCAAACATCACGAAGAGGGCTCTGAGAATTCTTCTGTTTAGTTCTGTGCGGTTTATCCCGTTTCCAACGAAATCCTCAGAGAGGACCAAATATCCACTTGCAGTTTCTACAAGAAGAGTGTTTCAAAGCTGAACTATCAAAGAAAGGTTCAGCACTGTGAGTTGAATGCAAACATCACGAAGAGGGTTCTGAGAATGCTTCTGTCTTCTTTCTATAGGAAGTTATTTCCTTTACTACGGTAGGCCTCAAAGAAGTGCAATTATCCCCTTGCAGTTTCTACAAAAAGAGTGTTTCAAACCTGAACTATCAAAGAAAGGTTCCACACTGTGAGTTGAATGCAGACATCACGAAGAAGGTTCTGAGAATGCTTCTGTTTAGTCAGCTGAAATTATCCCATTTCCAACGAATTCCTCAGAGAGGTCCACATATGCACTTGCAGATTCTGCAGAAAGTGTGTTTCTAAACTGCTACATCGCAAGGAATGTTCAGCTCTGTTTGCTCAACTCAATCATCCCAAAGAATTTTCTGAGAAAGCTTCTGTCTAGATGTCATGTGAAGGTATACCCGTTTCGAACGAAGGACACAGAGTGGTCCAAATATCCACTTGTAGATCCTGCAAAAAGAGTGTTTCAAACGTGAACTTTGAAAGGAAAGTTCAACTCTGGGATTTGAATGCAAACATCACAAAGAAGATTCTGAGACTGCTTCTGTATAGTTTTGATGTGAAGATGATTCCGTTTCCAACGAAATCTTCAAAGAGGTCTACATGTCCCCTTGCAGATGCCACAGAAAGAGAGTTTCAAAACTGCGCTCTCAAAAGGAGTGTTCAACTCCGTGAGTTGAATGCAGTCATCACAGAGAAGCTTCTGAGAATGCTTCTATCTAGTATTTAGGTGAAGATATTTCCTTTTCCACCACAAACCACAAAGCCCTCCAAACGTCCACTTGCAGATTCTAGACAAAGAGTGTTTCATAGCTGCTCTTTCCAAAGGAAAGTTCAACTCTGGGAGTTGAATACAAACATCACCAAAAAGTTCCTGAGAATGCATCTGTCTAGGTTTTCTATGAAGCTATTCCCTTTACTACCATAGGCCTCAAAGCGCTCCAAATCTCCACTTGCACATTCCACAACAAGAGTGTTTCCAAACTGCTCTATCAATAGGAATGTTCAACTCTGTGAGGTGAATGCAATCATCACAAAGCAGTTTCTGAGAATGCTTCCGTTTAGTTAGGTGCAGTTATCCCGTTTCCAACGAAATCCTCAGAGAGGTCCAAATATCCACTTGTAGATTCTACAAAAAGTGTGTCTCAAACCTGCTCCATCCAAAGGAATGGTCAGCTCTGTGATTTAAACTCAATCATCACAAAGTATTTTCTGAGAATGCTTCTGTCTAGATTTTATGCGAGGATATACCCGTTTCGAACGAAGGCCACAGAGTGGTCCAAATAGCCACTTGCAGATCCTACAAAAAGAGTGTTTCAAACCTGAACTATCAAAGGAAGGTTCAACTCTGGGATTTGAATGCAAACATCACCAAGAAGTTTCTGAGAATGCTTCTGTTTAGTTTTTATGTGAAGATATTCCCGTTTCCAAAGACATCTTCGGAGAGGTCCACATATCCACTTGCAGATTCCACAAAAAGAGAGTTTCAACACTGCTCTATCCATAGGAGGGTTCAACTCTGTGAGTTGAATGCAATCATCACAGAGAAGTTTCTGAGAAGGCTTCTCTCCAGTTTTTATGTGACCATAATTCGTTTTCCACCACAGGCCTGAAAGCGCTCCAAATGTCCACTTGCAGACACTACGAAAAGCATGTTTCAGAACTACTCTATGAAAAGCAACGTGAAACTCTGGGAGTTGAACACAAACATCACAGAGAAGTTTCTGAGAATGCTTCTGTTTTAGTTCTGTGCGTTTTATCCCGTTTCCAACGAAATCCTCAGAGAGGCCCAAATATCCACTTGCAGATTCCACAGAAAGAGTGATTGGAAACTGCTGTTTGAAAAGGAACCTTCAACTCTGTGAGTTGAATGCAATCATCACAAAGAAGTTTCTGACAATGCTTCTGTTTTAGTTCTGTGCGGTTTATCCCGTTTCCAACGAAATCCTCAGAGAGGACCAAACATCCACTTGCAGTTTCTACAAAAAGAGTGTTTCAAAGCTGCACTATCAAAGAAAGGTTCAGCACTGTGAGTTGAATGCAAACATCACGAAGAGGGCTCTGAGAATTCTTCTGTTTAGTTCTGTGAGGTTTATCCCGTTTCCAACGAAATCCTCAGAGAGGACCAAATATCCACTTGCAGTTTCTACAAGAAGAGTGTTTCAAAGCTGAACTATCAAAGAAAGGTTCAGCACTGTGAGTTGAATGCAAACATCACGAAGAGGGTTCTGAGAATGCTTCTGTCTTCTTTCTATAGGAAGTTATTTCCTTTACTACGGTAGGCCTCAAAGAAGTGCAATTATCCCCTTGCAGTTTCTACAAAAAGAGTGTTTCAAACCTGAACTATCAAAGAAAGGTTCCACACTGTGAGTTGAATGCAGACATCACGAAGAAGGTTCTGAGAATGCTTCTGTTTAGTCAGCTGAAATTATCCCGTTTCCAACGAATTCCTCAGAGAGGTCCAAATATGCACTTGCAGATTCTGCAGAAAGTGTGTTTCTAAACTGCTACATCGCAAGGAATGTTCAGCTCTGTGAGTTCCACTCAATCATCCCAAAGAATTTTCTGAGAAAGCTTCTGTCTAGATGTCATGTGAAGATATACCCGTTTCCAACGAAGGACACAGAGTGGTCCAAATATCCACTTGTAGATCCTGCAAAAAGAGTGTTTCAAACGTGAACTTTGAAAGGAAAGTTCAACTCTGGGATTTGAATGCAAACATCACAAAGAAGATTCTGAGACTGCTTCTGTATAGTTTTTATGTGAAGATGAATTCCGTTTCCAACGAAATCTTCAAAGAGGTCTACATGTCCCCTTGCAGATGCCACAGAAAGAGAGTTTCAAAACTGCGCTCTCAAAAGGAGTGTTCAACTCCGTGAGTTGAATGCAGTCATCACAGAGAAGCTTCTGAGAATGCTTCTATCTAGTATTTAGGTGAAGATATTTCCTTTTCCACCACAAACCACAAAGCCCTCCAAACGTCCACTTGCAGATTCTAGAAAAAGAGTGTTTCATAGCTGCTCTTTCCAAAGGAAAGTTCAACTCTGGGAGTTGAATACAAACATCACCAAAAAGTTCCTGAGAATGCATCTGTCTAGTTTTTCTATGAAACTATTCCCTTTACTACCATAGGCCTCAAAGCGCTCCAAATCTCCACTTGCACATTCCACAACAGGAGTGTTTCCAAACTGCTCTATCAATAGGAATGTTCAACTCTGTGAGGTGAATGCAATCATCACAAAGCAGTTTCTGAGAATGCTTCCGTTTAGTTAGGTGCAGTTATCTCGTTTCCAACGAAATCCTCAGAGAGGTCCAAATATCCACTTGTAGATTCTACAAAAAGTGTGTCTCAAGCCTGCTCCATCCAAAGGAATGTTCAGCTCTGTGAGTTAAACTCAATCATCACAAAGTATTTTCTGAGAATGCTTCTGTCTAGATTTTATGCGAAGATGTACCCGTTTCGAACGAAGGCCACAGAGTGGTCCAAATATCCACTTGCAGATCCTACAAAAAGAGTGTTTCAAACCTGAACTATCAAAGGAAGGTTCAACTCTGGGATTTGAATGCAAACATCACCAAGAAGTTTCTGAGAATGCTTCTGTTTAGTTTTTATGTGAAGATAGTCCCCTTTCCAAAGACATCTTCGGAGAGGTCCACATATCCACTTGCAGATTCCACAAAAAGAGAGTTTCAACACTGCTCTATCCATAGTAGGGTTCAACTCTGTGAGTTGAATGCAATCATCACAGAGAAGTTTCTGAGAAGGCTTCTCTCCCAGTTTTTATGTGACCATAATTCGTTTTCCACCACAGGCCTGAAAGCGCTCCAAATGTCCACTTGTAGACACTACGAAAAGCATGTTTCAGAACTACTCTATGAAAAGCAATGTGAAACTCTGGGAGTTGAACACAAACATCACAGAGAAGTTTCTGAGAATGCTTCTGTTTAGCTTTTCTGTGAAGATTCTCCCGTTTCCAACGAAATCTTCAAAGAGGTCGAAATATCCACTTGCAGATTCCACAGAAAGAGTGATTGGAAACTGCTGTTTGAAAAGGAACCTTCAACTCTGTGAGTTGAATGCAATCATCACAAAGAAGTTTCTGACAATGCTCTATCTAGCTTTTACGGGAAGATAATTCCTTTTCCACCACAGGCCTCAAAGCTCCCCAAATGTCCACTTGCACATTCTGGAAAAAGAGTGTTTCAAAGCTTCTCTCTCGAAAGGAAAGTTCAACTCTGTGAGTTGAATGCAAGCATCACAAAGAAGTTTCTGAGAATGCTACTGTCTAGCTTTTATATGAAGCTATTTCCTTTACTACCATAGGCCTCAAAGCGGTCCATATCTCCACTTGCAGATTCTACACAAAGAGAGTTTCCAAACTGCTCTGTCAAAGGGAATGTTCAACTCTGTGACTTGAATGCAATCATCACAAAGTAGTTTCTGAGAATGCTTCTGTTTAGTTCTGTGCGGTTTATCCCGTTTCCAACGAAATCCTCAGAGAGGCCCAAATATCCACTTGCACATTCTACAAATAGTGTGTTTCGAAACTGCTCCATCCAAAGGAATGTTCAGCTCTGTGAGTTAAACTCATTCGTCACCAAGAGTTTTCTGTGAATGCTTCTGTTTTAGTTCTGTGCGGTTTATCCCGTTTCCAACGAAATCCTCAGAGAGGTCCAAATATCTACTTGCAGTTTCTACAGAAAGACCGTTTCAAACCTGAACTATCAAAGAAAGGTTCAACACTGTGAGTTGAATGCAAACATCACGAAGAAGGTTCTGAGAATGCTTCTGTTTAGTTCTGTGCGGTTTATCCCGTTTCCAACGAAATCCTCAGAGAGGACCAAATATCCACTTGCAGTTTCTACAAGAAGAGTGTTTCAAAGCTGAACTATCAAAGAAAGGTTCAGCACTTGTGAGTTGAATGCAAACATCACGAAGAGGGTTCTGAGAATGCTTCTGTCTTCTTTCTATAGGAAGTTATTTCCTTTACTACGGTAGGCCTCAAAGAAGTGCAATTATCCCCTTGCAGTTTCTACAAAAAGAGTGTTTCAAACCTGAGCTATCAAAGAAAGGTTCCACAATGTGAGTTGAATGCAGACATCACGAAGAAGGTTCTGAGAATGCTTCTGTTTAGTCAGCTGAAATTATCCCGTTTCCAACGAATTCCTCAGAGAGGTCCAAATATGCACTTGCAGATTCTGCAGAAAGTGTGTTTCTAAACTGCTACATCGCAAGGAATGTTCAGCTCTGTGAGTTCCACTCAATCATCCCAAAGAATTTTCTGAGAAAGCTTCTGTCTAGATGTCATGTGAAGATATACCCGTTTCGCACGAAGGACACAGAGTGGTCCAAATATCCACTTGTAGATCCTGCAAAAAGAGTGTTTCAAACGTGAACTTTGAAAGGAAAGTTCAACTCTGGGATTTGAATGCAAACATCACAAAGAAGATTCTGAGACTGCTTCTGTATAGTTTTTATGTGAAGATGATTCCGTTTCCAACGAAATCTTCAAAGAGGTCTACATGTCCCCTTGCAGATGCCACAGAAAGAGAGTTTCAAAACTACGCTCTCAAAAGGAGTGTTCAACTCCGTGAGTTGAATGCAGTCATCACAGAGAAGCTTCTGAGAATGCTTCTATCTAGTATTTAGGTGAAGATATTTCCTTTTCCACCACAAACCACAAAGCCCTCCAAACGTCCACTTGCAGATTCTAGAAAAAGAGTGTTTCATAGCTGCTCTTTCCAAAGGAAAGTTCAACTCTGGGAGTTGAATACAAACATCACCAAAAAGTTCCTGAGAATGCATCTGTCTAGTTTTTCTATGAAGCTATTCCCTTTACTACCATAGGCCTCAAAGCGCTCCAAATCTCCACTTGCACATTCCACAACAAGAGTGTTTCCAAACTGCTCTATCAATAGGAATGTTCAACTCTGTGAGGTGAATGCAATCATCACAAAGCAGTTTCTGAGAATGCTTCCGTTTAGTTAGGTGCAGTTATCCCGTTTCCAACGAAATCCTCAGAGAGGTCCAAATATCCACTTGTAGATTCTACAAAAAGTGTGTCTCAAACCTGCTCCATCCAAAGGAATGGTCAGCTCTGTGATTTAAACTCAATCATCACAAAGTATTTTCTGAGAATGCTTCTGTCTAGATTTTATGCGAAGATATACCCGTTTCGAACGAAGGCCACAGAGTGGTCCAAATAGCCACTTGCAGATCCTACAGAAAGAGTGTTTCAAACCTGAACTATCAAAGGAAGGTTCAACTCTGGGATTTGAATGCAAACATCACCAAGAAGTTTCTGAGAATGCTTCTGTTTAGTTTTTATGTGAAGATATTCCCGTTTCCAAAGACATCTTCGGAGAGGTCCACATATCCACTTGCAGATTCCACAAAAAGAGAGTTTCAACACTGCTCTATCCATAGGAGGGTTCAACTCTGTGAGTTGAATGCAATCATCACAGAGAAGTTTCTGAGAAGGCTTCTCTCCAGTTTTTATGTGACCATAATTCGTTTTCCACCACAGGCCTGAAAGCGCTCCAAATGTCCACTTGTAGACACTACGAAAAGCATGTTTCAGAACTACTCTATGAAAAGCAATGTGAAACTCTGGGAGTTGAACACAAACATCACAGAGAAGTTTCTGAGAATGCTTCTGTTTAGCTTTTCTGTGAAGATTCTCCCGTTTCCAACGAAATCTTCAAAGAGGTCCAAATATCCACTTGCAGATTCCACAGAAAGAGTGATTGGAAACTGCTCTTTGAAAAGGAACCTTCAACTCTGTGAGTTGAATGCAATCATCACAAAGAAGTTTCTGACAATGCTTCTATCTAGCTTTTACGGGAAGATAATTCCTTTTCCACCACAGGCCTCAAAGCCCTCCAAATGTCCACTTGCAGATTCTGGAAAAAGAGTGTTTCAAAGCTTCTCTCTCGAAAGGAAAGTTCAACTCTGTGAGTTGAATGCAAGCATCACAAAGAAGTTTCTGAGAATGCTACTGTCTAGCTTTTATATGAAGCTATTTCCTTTACTACCATAGGCCTCAAAGCGGTCCATATCTCCACTTGCAGATTCTACACAAAGAGAGTTTCCAAACTGCTCTGTCAAAGGGAATGTTCAGCTCTGTGACTTGAATGCAATCATCACAACGTAGTTTCTGAGAATGCTTCTGTTTAGTTCTGTGCGGTTTATCCCGTTTCCAACGAAATCCTCAGAGAGGCCCACATATCCACTTGCACATTCTACAAATAGTGTGTTTCGAAACTGCTCCATCCAAAGGAATGTTCAGTTCTGTGAGTTAAACTCAGTCGTCACCAAGAGTTTTCTGTGAATGCTTCTGTTTTAGTTGTGTGCGGTTTATCCCGTTTCCAACGAAATCCTCAGAGAGGTCCAAATATCTACTTGCAGTTTCTACAGAAAGACCGTTTCAAACCTGAACTATCAAAGAAAGGTTCAACACTGTGAGTTGAATGCAAACATCACGAAGAAGGTTCTGAGAATGCTTCTGTTTTAGTTCTGTGCAGTTTATCCCGTTTCCAACGAAATCCTCAGAGAGGTCCAAATATCCACTTGCAGTTTCTACAAAAAGAGTGTTTCAAAGCTGAACTATCAAAGAAAGGTTCAGCACTGTGAGTTGAATGCAAACATCACGAAGAAGGTTCTGAGAATGCTTCTGTTTAGTTCTGTGCAGTTTATCCCGTTTCCAACGAAATGCTCAGAGAGGACCAAATATCCACTTGCAGTTTCTACAAAAAGAGTGTTTCAAAGCTGAACTATCAAAGAAAGGTTCAGCACTGTGAGTTGAATGCAAACATCACGAAGGAGGGTTCTGAGAATGCTTCTGTCTTCTTTTTATAGGAAGTTATTTCTTTTGCTACAGTAGGCCTCAAAGAAGTGCAATTATCCCCTGCAGTTTCAACAAAAAGAGTGTTTCAAACCTGAACTATCAAAGAAAGGTTCCACACTGTGAGTTGAATGCAGACATCATGAAGAAGGTTCTGAGAATGCTTCTGTTTAGTCAGCTGAAATTATCCCGTTTCCAACGAATTCCTCACAGAGGTCCAAATATGCACTTGCAGATTCTGCAGAAAGTGTGTTTCTAAACTGCTACATCGCAAGGAATGCTCAGCTCTGTGAGTTCAACTCAATCATCCCAAAGAATTTTCTGAGAAAGCTTCTGTCTAGATGTCATGTGAAGATATACCCGTTTCGAACGAAGGACACAGAGTGGTCCAAATATCCACTTGTAGATCCTGCAAAAAGAGTGTTTCAAACGTGAACTTTGAAAGGAAAGTTCAACTCGGGGATTTGAATGCAAACATCACAAAGAAGATTCTGAGACTGCTTCTGTATAGTTTTTATGTGAAGATGATTCCGTTTCCAACGAAATCTTCAAAGAGGTCTACATGTCCCCTTGCAGATGCCACAGAAAGAGAGTTTCAAAACTGCGCTCTCAAAAGGAGTGTTCAACTCCGTGAGTTGAATGCAGTCATCACAGAGAAGCTTCTGAGGATGCTTCTATCTAGTATTTAGGTGAAGATATTTCCTTTTCCACCACAAACCACAAAGCCCTCCAAACGTCCACTTGCAGATTCTAGAAAAAGAGTGTTTCATAGCTGCTCTTTCCAAAGGAAAGTTCAACTCTGGGAGTTGAATACAAACATCACCAAAAAGTTCCTGAGAATGCATCTGTCTAGTTTTTCTATGAAGCTATTCCCTTTACTACCATAGGCCTCAAAGCGCTCCAAATCTCCACTTGCACATTCCACAACAAGAGTGTTTCCAAACTGCTCTATCAATAGGAATGTTCAACTCTGTGAGGTGAATGCAATCATCACAAAGCAGTTTCTGAGAATGCTTCCGTTTAGTTAGGTGCAGTTATCCCGTTTCCAACGAAATCCTCAGAGAGGTCCAAATATCCACTTGTAGATTCTACAAAAAGTGTGTCTCAAACCTGCTCCATCCAAAGGAATGTTCAGCTCTGTGATTTAAACTCAATCGTCACAAAGTATTTTCTGAGAATGCTTCTGTCTAGATTTTATGCGAAGATATACCCGTTTCGAACGAAGGCCACAGAGTGGTCCAAATAGCCACTTGCAGATCCTACAAAAAGAGTGTTTCAAACCTGAACTATCAAAGGAAGGTTCAACTCTGGGATTTGAATGCAAACATCACCAAGAAGTTTCTGAGAATGCTTCTGTTTAGTTTTTATGTGAAGATATTCCCGTTTCCAAAGACATCTTCGGAGAGGTCCACATATCCACTTGCAGATTCCACAAAAAGAGAGTTTCAACACTGCTCTATCCATAGGAGGGTTCAACTCTGTGAGTTGAATGCAATCATCACAGAGAAGTTTCTGAGAAGGCTTCTCTCCAGTTTTTATGTGACCATAATTCGTTTTCCACCACAGGCCTGAAAGCGCTCCAAATGTCCACTTGCAGACACTACGAAAAGCATGTTTCAGAACTACTCTATGAAAAGCAACGTGAAACTCTGGGAGTTGAACACAAACATCACAGAGAAGTTTCTGAGAATGCTTCTGTTTTAGTTCTGTGCGTTTTATCCCGTTTCCAACGAAATCCTCAGAGAGGCCCAAATATCCACTTGCAGATTCCACAGAAAGAGTGATTGGAAACTGCTGTTTGAAAAGGAACCTTCAACTCTGTGAGTTGAATGCAATCATCACAAAGAAGTTTCTGACAATGCTTTTCTGTTTTAGTTCTGTGCGGTTTATCCCGTTTCCAACGAAATCCTCAGAGAGGACCAAACATCCACTTGCAGTTTCTACAAAAAGAGTGTTTCAAAGCTGCACTATCAAAGAAAGGTTCAGCACTGTGAGTTGAATGCAAACATCACGAAGAGGGCTCTGAGAATTCTTCTGTTTAGTTCTGTGCGGTTTATCCCGTTTCCAACGAAATCCTCAGAGAGGACCAAATATCCACTTGCAGTTTCTACAAGAAGAGTGTTTCAAAGCTGAACTATCAAAGAAAGGTTCAGCACTGTGAGTTGAATGCAAACATCACGAAGAGGGTTCTGAGAATGCTTCTGTCTTCTTTCTATAGGAAGTTATTTCCTTTACTACGGTAGGCCTCAAAGAAGTGAAATTATCCCCTTGCAGTTTCTACAAAAAGAGTGTTTCAAACCTGAACTATCAAAGAAAGGTTCCACACTGTGAGTTGAATGCAGACATCACGAAGAAGGTTCTGAGAATGCTTCTGTTTAGTCAGCTGAAATTATCCCGTTTCCAACGAATTCCTCAGAGAGGTCCAAATATGCACTTGCAGATTCTGCAGAAAGTGTGTTTCTAAACTGCTACATCGCAAGGAATGTTCAGCTCTGTGAGTTCCACTCAATCATCCCAAAGAATTTTGCTGAGAAAGCTTCTGTCTAGATGTCGTGTGAAGATATACCCGTTTCGAACGAAGGACACAGAGTGGTCCAAATATCCACTTGTAGATCCTGCAAAAAGAGTGTTTCAAACGTGAACTTTGAAAGGAAAGTTCAACTCTGGGATTTGAATGCAAACATCACAAAGAAGATTCTGAGACTGCTTCTGTATAGTTTTTATGTGAAGATGATTCCGTTTCCAACGAAATCTTCAAAGAGGTCTACATGTCCCCTTGCAGATGCCACAGAAAGAGAGTTTCAAAACTGCGCTCTCAAAAGGAGTGTTCAACTCCGTGAGTTGAATGCAGTCATCACAGAGAAGCTTCTGAGAATGCTTCTATCTAGTATTTAGGTGAAGATATTTCCTTTTCCACCACAAACCACAAAGCCCTCCAAACGTCCACTTGCAGATTCTAGAAAAAGAGTGTTTCATAGCTGCTCTTTCCAAAGGAAAGTTCAACTCTGGGAGTTGAATACAAACATCACCAAAAAGTTCCTGAGAATGCATCTGTCTAGTTTTTCTATGAAGCTATTCCCTTTACTACCATAGGCCTCAAAGCGCTCCAAATCTCCACTTGCACATTCCACAACAAGAGTGTTTCCAAACTGCTCTATCAATAGGAATGTTCAACTCTGTGAGGTGAATGCAATCATCACAAAGCAGTTTCTGAGAATGCTTCCGTTTAGTTAGGTGCAGTTATCCCGTTTCCAACGAAATCCTCAGAGAGGTCCAAATATCCACTTGTAGATTCTACAAAAAGTGTGTCTCAAACCTGCTCCATCCAAAGGAATGTTCAGCTCTGTGATTTTAACTCAATCATCACAAAGTATTTTCTGAGAATGCTTCTGTCTAGATTTTATGCGAAGATATACCCGTTTCGAACGAAGGCCACAGAGTGGTCCAAATATCCACTTGCAGATCCTACAAAAAGAGTGTTTCAAACCTGAACTATCAAAGGAAGGTTCAACTCTGGGATTTGAATGCAAACATCACCAAGAAGTTTCTGAGAATGCTTCTGTTTAGTTTTTATGTGAAGATATTCCCGTTTCCAAAGACATCTTCGGAGAGGTCCACGTATCCACTTGCAGATTCCACAAAAAGAGAGTTTCAACACTGCTCTATCCATAGGAGGGTTCAACTCTGTGAGTTGAATGCAATCATCACAGAGAAGTTTCTGAGAAGGCTTCTCTCCAGTTTTTATGTGACCATAATTCGTTTTCCACCACAGGCCTGAAAGCGCTCCAAATGTCCACTTGTAGACACTACGAAAAGCATGTTTCAGAACTACTCTATGAAAAGCAATGTGAAACTCTGGGAGTTGAACACAAACATCACAGAGAAGTTTCTGAGAATGCTTCTGTTTAGCTTTCCTGTGAAGATTCTCCCGTTTCCAACGAAATCTTCAAAATAGGTCCAAATATCCACTTGCAGATTCCACACAAAGAGTGATTGGAAACTGCTCTTTGAAAAGGAACTTTCAACTCTGTGAGTTGAATGCAATCATCACAAAGAAGTTTCTGACAATGCTTCTATCTAGCTTTTACGGGAAGATAATTCCTTTTCCACCACAGGCCTCAAAGCCCTCCAAATGTCCACTTGCAGATTCTGGAAAAAGAGTGTTTCAAAGCTTCTCTCTCGAAAGGAAAGTTCAACATCTGTGAGTTGAATGCAAGCATCACAAAGAAGTTTCTGAGAATGCTACTGTCTAGCTTTTATATGAAGCTATTTCCTTTACTACCATAGGCCTCAAAGCGGTCCATATCTCCACTTGCAGATTCTACACAAAGAGAGTTTCCAAACTGCTCTGTCAAAGGGAATGTTCAACTCTGTGACTTGAATGCAATCATCACAAAGTAGTTTCTGAGAATGCTTCTGTTTAGTTCTGTGCGGTTTATCCCGTTTCCAACGAAATCCTCAGAGAGGCCCAAATATCCACTTGCACATTCTACAAATAGTGTGTTTCGAAACTGCTCCATCCAAAGGAATGTTCAGCTCTGTGAGTTAAACTCAGTCGTCACCAAGAGTTTTCTGTGAATGCTTCTGTTTTAGTTCTGTGCGGGTTATCCCGTTTCCAACGAAATCCTCAGAGAGGTCCAAATATCTACTTGCAGTTTCTACAGAAAGACCGTTTCAAACCTGAACTATCAAAGAAAGGTTCAACACTGTGAGTTGAATGCAAACATCACGAAGAAGGTTCTGAGAATGCTTCTGTTTTAGTTCTGTGCGGTTTATCCCGTTTCCAACGAAATCCTCAGAGAGGACCAAATATCCACTTGCAGTTTCTACAAAAAGAGTGTTTCAAAGCTGCACTATCAAAGAAAGGTTCAGCACTGTGAGTTGAATGCAAACATCACGAAGAGGGCTACTGAGAGTTCTTCTGTTTAGTTCTGTGCGGTTTATCCCGTTTCCAACGAAATCCTCAGAGAGGACCAAATATCCACTTGCAGTTTCTACAAGAAGAGTGTTTCAAAGCTGAACTATCAAAGAAAGGTTCAGCACTGTGAGTTGAATGCAAACATCACGAAGAGGGTTCTGAGAATGCTTCTGTCTTCTTTCTATAGGAAGTTATTTCCTTTACTACGGTAGGCCTCAAAGAAGTGCAATTATCCCCTTGCAGTTTCTACAAAAAGAGTGTTTCAAACCTGAACTATCAAAGAAAGGTTCCACACTGTGAGTTGAATGCAGACATCACGAAGAAGGTTCTGAGAATGCTTCTGTTTAGTCAGCTGAAATTATCCCGTTTCCAACGAATTCCTCAGAGAGGTCCAAATATGCACTTGCAGATTCTGCAGAAAGTGTGTTTCTAAACTGCTCCATCGCAAGGAATGTTCAGCTCTGTGAGTTCCACTCAATCATCCCAAAGAATTTTCTGAGAAAGCTTCTGTCTAGATGTCGTGTGAAGATATACCCGTTTCGAACGAAGGACACAGAGTGGTCCAAATATCCACTTGTAGATCCTGCAAAAAGAGTGTTTCAAACGTGAACTTTGAAAGGAAAGTTCAACTCTGGGATTTGAATGCAAACATCACAAAGAAGATTCTGAGACTGCTTCTGTATAGTTTTTATGTGAAGATGATTCCGTTTCCAACGAAATCTTCAAAGAGGTCTACATGTCCCCTTGCAGATGCCACAGAAAGAGAGTTTCAAAACTGCGCTCTCAAAAGGAGTGTTCAACTCCGTGAGTTGAATGCAGTCATCACAGAGAAGCTTCTGAGAATGCTTCTATCTAGTATTTAGGTGAAGATATTTCCTTTTCCACCACAAACCACAAAGCCCTCCAAACGTCCACTTGCAGATTCTAGAAAAAGAGTGTTTCATAGCTGCTCTTTCCAAAGGAAAGTTCAACTCTGGGAGTTGAATACAAACATCACCAAAAAGTTCCTGAGAATGCATCTGTCTAGTTTTTCTATGAAGCTATTCCCTTTACTACCATAGGCCTCAAAGCGCTCCAAATCTCCACTTGCACATTCCACAACAAGAGTGTTTCCAAACTGCTCTATCAATAGGAATGTTCAACTCTGTGAGGTGAATGCAATCATCACAAAGCAGTTTCTGAGAATGCTTCCGTTTAGTTAGGTGCAGTTATCCCGTTTCCAACGAAATCCTCAGAGAGGTCCAAATATCCACTTGTAGATTCTACAAAAAGTGTGTCTCAAACCTGCTCCATCCAAAGGAATGGTCAGCTCTGTGATTTAAACTCAATCATCACAAAGTATTTTCTGAGAATGCTTCTGTCTAGATTTTATGCGAAGATATACCAGTTTCGAACGAAGGCCACAGAGTGGTCCAAATAGCCACTTGCAGATCCTACAAAAAGAGTGTTTCAAACCTGAACTATCAAAGGAAGGTTCAACTCTGGGATTTGAATGCAAACATCACCAAGAAGTTTCTGAGAATGCTTCTGTTTAGTTTTTATGTGAAGATATTCCCGTTTCCAAAGACATCTTCGGAGAGGTCCACATATCCACTTGCAGATTCCACAAAAAGAGAGTTTCAACACTGCTCTATCCATAGGAGGGTTCAACTCTGTGAGTTGAATGCAATCATCACAGAGAAGTTTCTGAGAAGGCTTCTCTCCAGTTTTTATGTGACCATAATTCGTTTTCCACCACAGGCCTGAAAGCGCTCCAAATGTCCACTTGCAGACACTACGAAAAGCATGTTTCAGAACTACTCTATGAAAAGCAACGTGAAACTCTGGGAGTTGAACACAAACATCACAGAGAAGTTTCTGAGAATGCTTCTGTTTTAGTTCTGTGCGTTTTATCCCGTTTCCAACGAAATCCTCAGAGAGGCCCAAATATCCACTTGCAGATTCCACAGAAAGAGTGATTGGAAACTGCTGTTTGAAAAGGAACCTTCAACTACTGTGAGTTGAATGCAATCATCACAAAGAAGTTTCTGACAATGCTTCTGTTTTAGTTCTGTGCGGTTTATCCCGTTTCCAACGAAATCCTCAGAGAGGACCAAACATCCACTTGCAGTTTCTACAAAAAGAGTGTTTCAAAGCTGCACTATCAAAGAAAGGTTCAGCACTGTGAGTTGAATGCAAACATCACGAAGAGGGCTCTGAGAATTCTTCTGTTTAGTTCTGTGCGGTTTATCCCGTTTCCAACGAAATCCTCAGAGAGGACCAAATATCCACTTGCAGTTTCTACAAGAAGAGTGTTTCAAAGCTGAACTATCAAAGAAAGGTTCAGCACTGTGAGTTGAATGCAAACATCACGAAGAGGGTTCTGAGAATGCTTCTGTCTTCTTTCTATAGGAAGTTATTTCCTTTACTACGGTAGGCCTCAAAGAAGTGCAATTATCCCCTTGCAGTTTCTACAAAAAGAGTGTTTCAAACCTGAACTATCAAAGAAAGGTTCCACACTGTGAGTTGAATGCAGACATCACGAAGAAGGTTCTGAGAATGCTTCTGTTTAGTCAGCTGAAATTATCCCGTTTCCAACGAATTCCTCAGAGAGGTCCAAATATGCACTTGCAGATTCTGCAGAAAGTGTGTTTCTAAACTGCTACATCGCAAGGAATGTTCAGCTCTGTGAGTTCAACTCAATCATCCCAAAGAATTTTCTGAGAAAGCTTCTGTCTAGATGTCATGTGAAGATATACCCGTTTCGAACGAAGGACACAGAGTGGTCCAAATATCCACTTGTAGATCCTGCAAAAAGAGGGTTTCAAACGTGAACTTTGAAAGGAAAGTTCAACTCTGGGATTTGAATGCAAACATCACAAAGAAGATTCTGAGACTGCTTCTGTATAGTTTTTATGTGAAGATGATTCCGTTTCCAACGAAATCTTCAAAGAGGTCTACATGTCCCCTTGCAGATGCCACAGAAAGAGAGTTTCAAAACTGCGCTCTCAAAAGGAGTGTTCAACTCCGTGAGTTGAATGCAGTCATCACAGAGAAGCTTCTGAGAATGCTTCTATCTAGTATTTAGGTGAAGATATTTCCTTTTCCACCACAAACCACAAAGCCCTCCAAACGTCCACTTGCAGATTCTAGAAAAAGAGTGTTTCATAGCTGCTCTTTCCAAAGGAAAGTTCAACTCTGGGAGTTGAATACAAACATCACCAAAAAGTTCCTGAGAATGCATCTGTCTAGTTTTTCTATGAAGCTATTCCCTTTACTACCATAGACCTCAAAGCGCTCCAAATCTCCACTTGCACATTCCACAACAAGAGTGTTTCCAAACTGCTCTATCAATAGGAATGTTCAACTCTGTGAGGTGAATGCAATCATCACAAAGCAGTTTCTGAGAATGCTTCCGTTTAGTTAGGTGCAGTTATCGCGTTTCCAACGAAATCCTCAGAGAGGTCCCAATATCCACTTGTAGATTCTACAAAAAGTGTGTCTCAAACCTGCTCCATCCAAAGGAATGTTCAGCTCCGTGAGTTAAACTCAATCATCACAAAGTATTTTCTGAGAATGCTTCTGTCTAGATTTTATGCGAAGATATACCCGTTTCGAACGAAGGCCACAGAGTGGTCCAAATATCCACTTGCAGATCCTACAAAAAGAGTGTTTCAAACCTGAACTATCAAAGGAAGGTTCGACTCTGGGATTTGAATGCAAACATCACCAAGAAGTTTCTGAGAATGCTTCTGTTTAGTTTTTATGTGAAGATATTCCCGTTTCCAAAGACATCTTCGGAGAGGTCCACATATCCACTTGCAGATTCCACAAAAAGAGAGTTTCAACACTGCTCTATCCATAGGAGGGTTCAACTCTGTGAGTTGAATGCAATCATCACAGAGAAGTTTCTGAGAAGGCTTCTCTCCAGTTTTTATGTGACCATAATTCGTTTTCCACCACAGGCCTGAAAGCGCTCCAAATGTCCACTTGTAGACACTACGAAAAGCATGTTTCAGAACTACTCTATGAAAAGCAATGTGAAACTCTGGGAGTTGAACACAAACATCACAGAGAAGTTTCTGAGAATGCTTCTGTTTAGCTTTCCTGTGAAGATTCTCCCGTTTCCAACGAAATCTTCAAAATAGGTCCGAATATCCACTTGCAGATTCCACAGAAAGAGTGATTGGAAACTGCTCTTTGAAAAGGAACCTTCAACTCTGTGAGTTGAATGCAATCATCACAAAGAAGTTTCTGACAATGCTTCTATCTAGCTTTTACGGGAAGATAATTCCTTTTCCACCACAGGCCTCAAAGCCCTCCAAATGTCCACTTGCAGATTCTGGAAAAAGAGTGTTTCAAAGCTTCTCTCTCGAAAGGAAAGTTCAACTCTGTGAGTTGAATGCAAGCATCACAAAGAAGTTTCTGAGAATGCTACTGTCTAACTTTTATATGAAGCTATTTCCTTTACTACCATAGGCCTCAAAGCGGTCCATATCTCCACTTGCAGATTCTACACAAAGAGAGTTTCCAAACTGCTCTGTCAAAGGGAATGTTCAACTCTGTGACTTGAATGCAATCATCACAAAGTAGTTTCTGAGAATGCTTCTGTTTTAGTTCTGTGCGGTTTATCCCGTTTCCAACGAAATCCTTAGAGAGGCCCAAATATCCACTTGCAGATTCTACAAATAGTGTGTTTCGAAACTGCTCCATCCAAAGGAATGTTCAGCTCTGTGAGTTAAACTCAGTCGTCACCAAGAGTTTTCTGTGAATGCTTCTGTTTAGTTCTGTGCGGTTTATCCCGTTTCCAACGAAATCCTCAGAGAGGACCAAATATCCACTTGCAGTTTCTACAAGAAGAGTGTTTCAAAGCTGAACTATCAAAGAAAGGTTCAGCACTGTGAGTTGAATGCAAACATCACGAAGAGGGTTCTGAGAATGCTTCTGTCTTCTTTCTATAGGAAGTTATTTCCTTTACTACGGTAGGCCTCAAAGAAGTGCAATTATCCCCTTGCAGTTTCTACAAAAAGAGTGTTTCAAACCTGAACTATCAAAGAAAGGTTCCACACTGTGAGTTGAATGCAGACATCACGAAGAAGGTTCTGAGAATGCTTCTGTTTAGTCAGCTGAAATTATCCCGTTTCCAACGAATTCCTCAGAGAGGTCCAAATATGCACTTGCAGATTCTGCAGAAAGTGTGTTTCTAAACTGCTACATCGCAAGGAATGTTCAGCTCTGTGAGTTCCACTCAATCATCCCAAAGAATTTTCTGAGAAAGCTTCTGTCTAGATGTCGTGTGAAGATATACCCGTTTCGAACGAAGGACACAGAGTGGTCCAAATATCCACTTGTAGATCCTGCAAAAAGAGTGTTTCAAACGTGAACTTTGAAAGGAAAGTTCAACTCTGGGATTTGAATGCAAACATCACAAAGAAGATTCTGAGACTGCTTCTGTATAGTTTTTATGTGAAGATGATTCCGTTTCCAACGAAATCTTCAAAGAGGTCTACATGTCCCCTTGCAGATGCCACAGAAAGAGAGTTTCAAAACTGCGCTCTCAAAAGGAGTGTTCAACTCCGTGAGTTGAATGCAGTCATCACAGAGAAGCTTCTGAGAATGCTTCTATCTAGTATTTAGGTGAAGATATTTCCTTTTCCACCACAAACCACAAAGCCCTCCAAACGTCCACTTGCAGATTCTAGAAAAAGAGTGTTTCATAGCTGCTCTTTCCAAAGGAAAGTTCAACTCTGGGAGTTGAATACAAACATCACCAAAAAGTTCCTGAGAATGCATCTGTCTAGTTTTTCTATGAAGCTATTCCCTTTACTACCATAGGCCTCAAAGCGCTCCAAATCTCCACTTGCACATTCCACAACAAGAGTGTTTCCAAACTGCTCTATCAATAGGAATGTTCAACTCTGTGAGGTGAATGCAATCATCACAAAGCAGTTTCTGAGAATGCTTCCGTTTAGTTAGGTGCAGTTATCCCGTTTCCAACGAAATCCTCAGAGAGGTCCAAATATCCACTTGTAGATTCTACAAAAAGTGTGTCTCAAACCTGCTCCATCCAAAGGAATGTTCAGCTCTGTGAGTTCAACTCAATCATCACAAAGTATTTTCTGAGAATGCTTCTGTCTAGATTTTATGCGAAGATGTACCCGTTTCGAACGAAGGCCACAGAGTGGTCCAAATATCCACTTGCAGATCCTACAAAAAGAGTGTTTCAAACCTGAACTACCAAAGGAAGGTTCAACTCTGGGATTTGAATGCAAACATCACCAAGAAGTTTCTGAGAATGCTTCTGTTTAGTTTTTATGTGAAGATATTCCCGTTTCCAAAGACATCTTCGGAGAGGTCCACATATCCACTTGCAGATTCCACAAAAAGAGAGTTTCAACACTGCTCTATCCATAGGAGGGTTCAACTCTGTGAGTTGAATGCAATCATCACAGAGAAGTTTCTGAGAAGGCTTCTCTCCAGTTTTTATGTGACCATAATTCGTTTTCCACCACAGGCCTGAAAGCGCTCCAAATGTCCACTTGCAGACACTACGAAAAGCATGTTTCAGAACTACTCTATGAAAAGCAATGTGAAACTCTGGGAGTTGAACACAAACATCACAGAGAAGTTTCTGAGAATGCTTCTGTTTAGCTTTTCTGTGAAGATTATCCCGTTTCCAACGAAATCTTCAAAATAGGTCCAAATATCCACTTGCAGATTCCACAGAAAGAGTGATTGGAAACTGCTGTTTGAAAAGGAACCTTCAACTCTGTGAGTTGAATGCAATCATCACAAAGAAGTTTCTGACAATGCTTCTATCTAGCTTTTACGGGAAGATAATTCCTTTTCCACCACAGGCCTCAAAGCCCTCCAAATCTCCACTTGCACATTCTGGAAAAAGAGTGTTTCAAAGCTTCTCTCTCGAAAGGAAAGTTCAACTCTGTGAGTTGAATGCAAGCATCACAAAGAAGTTTCTGAGAATGCTACTGTCTAGCTTTTATATGAAGCTCTTTCCTTTACTACCATAGGCCTCAAAGCGGTCCATATCTCCACTTGCAGATTCTACACAAAGAGAGTTTCCAAACTGCTCTGTCAAAGGGAATGTTCAACTCTGTGACTTGAATGCAATCATCACAAATTAGTTTCTGAGAATGCTTCTGTTTTAGTTCTGTGCGGTTTATCCCGTTTCCAACGAAATCCTCAGAGAGGCCCACATATCCACTTGCACATTCTACAAATAGTGTGTTTTGAAACTGCTCCATCCAAAGGAATGTTCAGCTCTGTGAGTTAAACTCAGTCGTCACCAAGAGTTTTGCTGTGAATGCTTCTGTTTTAGTTCTGTGCGGTTTATCCCGTTTCCAACGAAATCCTCAGAGAGGTCCAAATATCTTCTTGCAGTTTCTACAGAAAGACCGTTTCAAACCTGAACTATCAAAGAAAGGTTCAACACTGTGAGTTGAATGCAAACATCACGAAGAAGGTTCTGAGAATGCTTCTGTTTAGTTCTGTGCGGTTTATCCCGTTTCCAACGAAATCCTCAGATAGGACCAAATATCCACTTGCAGTTTCTACAAGAAGAGTGTTTCAAAGCTGAACTATCAAAGAAAGGTTCAGCACTGTGAGTTGAATGCAAACATCACGAAGAGGGTTCTGAGAATGCTTCTGTCTTCTTTTTATAGGAAGTTATTTCCTTTACTACGGTAGGCCTCAAAGAAGTGCAATTATCCCCTTGCAGTTTCTACAAAAAGAGTGTTTCAAACCTGAAGTATTAAAGAAAGGTTCCACACTGTGAGTTGAATGCAGACATCACGATGAATGTTCTGAGAATGCTTCTGTTTAGTCAGCTGAAATTATCCCGTTTCCAACGAATTCCTCAGAGAGGTCCAAATATGCACTTGCAGATTCTGCAGAAAGTGTGTTTCTAAACTGCTACATCGCAAGGAATGTTCAGCTCTGTTGAGTTCCACTCAATCATCCCAAAGAATTTTCTGAGAAAGCTTCTGTCTAGATGTCGTGTGAAGATATACCCGTTTCGAACGAAGGACACAGAGTGGTCCAAATATCCACTTGTAGATCCTGCAAAAAGAGTGTTTCAAACGTGAACTTTGAAAGGAAAGTTCAACTCTGGGATTTGAATGCAAACATCACAAAGAAGATTCTGAGACTGCTTCTGTATAGTTTTTATGTGAAGATGATTCCGTTTCCAACGAAATCTTCAAAGAGGTCTACATGTCCCCTTGCAGATGCCACAGAAAGAGAGTTTCAAAACTGCGCTCTCAAAAGGAGTGTTCAACTCCGTGAGTTGAATGCAGTCATCACAGAGAAGCTTCTGAGAATGCTTCTATCTAGTATTTAGGTGAAGATATTTCCTTTTCCACCACAAACCACAAAGCCCTCCAAACGTCCACTTGCAGATTCTAGAAAAAGAGTGTTTCATAGCTGCTCTTTCCAAAGGAAAGTTCAACTCTGGGAGTTGAATACAAACATCACCAAAAAGTTCCTGAGAATGCATCTGTCTAGTTTTTCTATGAAGCTATTCCCTTTACTACCATAGGCCTCAAAACGCTCCAAGTCTCCACTTGCACATTCCACAACAAGAGTGTTTCCAAAGTGCTCTATCAATAGGAATGTTCAACTCTGTGAGGTGAATGCAATCATCACAAAGCAGTTTCTGAGAATGCTTCCGTTTAATTAGGTGCAGTTATCGCGTTTCCAACGAAATCCTCAGAGAGGTCCAAATATCCACTTGTAGTTTCTACAAAAAGTGTGTCTCAAACCTGCTCCATCCAAAGGAATGTTCAGCTCTGTGAGTTAAACTCAATCATCACAAAGTATTTTCTGAGAATGCTTCTGTCTAGATTTTATGGGAAGATGTACCCGTTTCGAACGAAGGCCACAGAGTGGTCCAAATATCCACTTGCAGATCCTACAAAAAGAGTGTTTCAAACCTGAACTATCAAAGGAAGGTTCAACTCTGGGATTTGAATGCAAACATCACCAAGAAGTTTCTGAGAATGCTTCTGTTTAGTTTTTATGTGAAGATATTCCCGTTTCCAAAGACATCTTCGGAGAGGTCCACATATCCACTTGCAGATTCCACAAAAAGAGAGTTTCAACAATGCTCTATCCATAGGAGGGTTCAACTCTGTGAGTTGAATGCAATCATCACAGAGAAGTTTCTGAGAAGGCTTCTCTCCAGTTTTTATGGGACCATAATTCGTTTTCCACCACAGGCCTGAAAGCGCTCCAAATGTCCACTTGCAGACACTACGAAAAGCATGTTTCAGAACTACTCTATGTAAAGCAATGTGAAACTCTGGGAGTTGAACACAAACATCACAGAGAAGTTTCTGAGAATGCTTCTGTTTAGCTTTTCTGTGAAGATTCTCCCGTTTCCAACGAAATCTTCAAAGAGGTCCAAATATCCACTTGCAGATTCCACAGAAAGGGTGTTTGGAAACTGCTGTATGTAAAGGAACCTTCATCTCTGTGAGTTGAATGCAATCATCACAAAGAAGTTTCTGACAATGCTTCTATCTAGCTTTTACGGGAAGTTAATTCCTTTTCCACCACAGGCCTCAAAGCCCTCCAAATGTCCACTTGCAGATTCTGGAAAAAGAGTGTTTCAAAGCTTCTCTCTCGAAAGGAAAGTTCAACTCTGTGAGTTGAATGCAAGCATCACAAAGAAGTTTCTGAGAATGCTACTGTCTAGCTTTTATATGAAGCTATTTCCTTTACTACCATAGTCCTCAAAGCATTCCATATCTCCACTTGCAGATTCTACACAAAGAGAGTTTCCAAACTTCTCTGTCAAAGGGAATGTTCAGCTCTGTGACTTGAATGCAATCATCACAAAGTAGTTTCTGAGAATGCTTCTCTTTAGTTCTGTGCGGTTTATCCCGTTTCCAACGAAATCCTCAGAGAGGCCCAAATATCCACTTGCAGATTCTACAAATAGTGTGTTTCGAAACTGCTCCATCCAAAGGAATGTTCAGCTCTGTGAGTTAAACTCAGTCGTCACCAAGAGTTTTCTGTGAATGCTTCTGTTTTAGTTCTGTGCGGTTTATCCCGTTTCCAACGAAATCCTCAGAGAGGTCCAAATATCTACTTGCAGTTTCTACATAAAGACCGTTTCCAACCTGAACTATCAAAGAAAGGTTCAACACTGTGAGTTGAATGCAAACATCACGAAGAAGGTTCTGAGAATGCTTCTGTTTAGTTCTGTGCGGTTTATCCCGTTTCCAACGAAATCCTCAGAGAGGACCAAATATCCACTTGCAGTTTCTACAAGAAGAGTGTTTCAAAGCTGAACTATCAAAGAAAGGTTCAGCACTGTGAGTTGAATGCAAACATCACGAAGAGGGTTCTGAGAATGCTTCTGTCTTCTTTCTATAGGAAGTTATTTCCTTTACTACGGTAGGCCTCAAAGAAGTGCAATTATCCCCTTGCAGTTTCTACAAAAAGAGTGTTTCAAACCTGAACTATCAAAGAAAGGTTCCACACTGTGAGTTGAATGCAGACATCACGAAGAAGGTTCTGAGAATGCTTCTGTTTAGTCAGCTGAAATTATCCCGTTTCCAACGAATTCCTCAGAGAGGTCCAAATATGCACTTGCAGATTCTGCAGAAAGTGTGTTTCTAAACTGCTACATCGCAAGGAATGTTCAGCTCTGTGAGTTCCACTCAATCATCCCAAAGAATTTTCTGAGAAAGCTTCTGTCTAGATGTCGTGTGAAGATATACCCGTTTCGAACGAAGGACACAGAGTGGTCCAAATATCCACTTGTAGATCCTGCAAAAAGAGTGTTTCAAACGTGAACTTTGAAAGGAAAGTTCAACTCTGGGATTTGAATGCAAACATCACAAAGAAGATTCTGAGACTGCTTCTGTATAGTTTTTATGTGAAGATGATTCCGTTTCCAACGAAATCTTCAAAGAGGTCTACATGTCCCCTTGCAGATGCCACAGAAAGAGAGTTTCAAAACTGCGCTCTCAAAAGGAGTGTTCAACTCCGTGAGTTGAATGCAGTCATCACAGAGAAGCTTCTGAGAATGCTTCTATCTAGTATTTAGGTGAAGATATTTCCTTTTCCACCACAAACCACAAAGCCCTCCAAACGTCCACTTGCAGATTCTAGAAAAAGAGTGTTTCATAGCTGCTCTTTTCTAAGGAAAGTTCAACTCTGGGAGTTGAATACAAACATCACCAAAAAGTTCCTGAGAATGCATCTGTCTAGTTTTTCTATGAAGCTATTCCCTTTACTACCATAGGCCTCAAAGCGCTCCAAATCTCCACTTGCACATTCCACAACAAGAGTGTTTCCAAACTGCTCTATCAATAGGAATGGTCAACTCTGTGAGGTGAATGCAATCATCACAAAGCAGTTTCTGAGAATGCTCCGTTTAGTTAGGTGCAGTTATCCCGTTTCCAACGAAATCCTCAGAGAGGTCCAAATATCCACTTGTAGATTCTACAAAAAGTGTGTCTCAAACCTGCTCCATCCAAAGGAATGGTCAGCTCTGTGATTTAAACTCAATCATCACAAAGTATTTTCTGAGAATGCTTTCTGTCTAGATTTTATGCGAAGATATACCCGTTTCGAACGAAGGCCACAGAGTGGTCCAAATAGCCACTTGCAGATCCTACAGAAAGAGTGTTTCAAACCTGAACTATCAAAGGAAGGTTCAACTCTGGGATTTGAATGCAAACATCACCAAGAAGTTTCTGAGAATGCTTCTGTTTAGTTTTTATGTGAAGATATTCCCGTTTCCAAAGACATCTTCGGAGAGGTCCACATATCCACTTGCAGATTCCACAAAAAGAGAGTTTCAACACTGCTCTATCCATAGGAGGGTTCAACTCTGTGAGTTGAATGCAATCATCACAGAGAAGTTTCTGAGAAGGCTTCTCTCCAGTTTTTATGTGACCATAATTCGTTTTCCACCACAGGCCTGAAAGCGCTCCAAATGTCCACTTGCAGACACTACGAAAAGCATGTTTCAGAACTACTCTATGAAAAGCAACGTGAAACTCTGGGAGTTGAACACAAACATCACAGAGAAGTTTCTGAGAATGCTTCTGTTTTAGTTCTGTGCGTTTTATCCCGTTTCCAACGAAATCCTCAGAGAGGCCCAAATATCCACTTGCAGATTCCACAGAAAGAGTGATTGGAAACTGCTGTTTGAAAAGGAACCTTCAACTCTGTGAGTTGAATGCAATCATCACAAAGAAGTTTCTGACAATGCTTCTGTTTTAGTTCTGTGCGGTTTATCCCGTTTCCAACGAAATCCTCAGAGAGGACCAAACATCCACTTGCAGTTTCTACAAAAAGAGTGTTTCAAAGCTGCACTATCAAAGAAAGGTTCAGCACTGTGAGTTGAATGCAAACATCACGAAGAGGGCTCTGAGAATTCTTCTGTTTAGTTCTGTGCGGTTTATCCCGTTTCCAACGAAATCCTCAGAGAGGACCAAATATCCACTTGCAGTTTCTACAAGAAGAGTGTTTCAAAGCTGAACTATCAAAGAAAGGTTCAGCACTGTGAGTTGAATGCAAACATCACGAAGAGGGTTCTGAGAATGCTTCTGTCTTCTTTCTATAGGAAGTTATTTCCTTTACTACGGTAGGCCTCAAAGAAGTGCAATTATCCCCTTGCAGTTTCTACAAAAAGAGTGTTTCAAACCTGAACTATCAAAGAAAGGTTCCACACTGTGAGTTGAATGCAGACATCACGAAGAAGGTTCTGAGAATGCTTCTGTTTAGTCAGCTGAAATTATCCCGTTTCCAACGAATTCCTCAGAGAGGTCCAAATATGCACTTGCAGATTCTGCAGAAAGTGTGTTTCTAAACTGCTACATCGCAAGGAATGTTCAGCTCTGTGAGTTCCACTCAATCATCCCAAAGAATTTTCTGAGAAAGCTTCTGTCTAGATGTCGTGTGAAGATATACCCGTTTCGAACGAAGGACACAGAGTGGTCCAAATATCCACTTGTAGATCCTGCAAAAAGAGTGTTTCAAACGTGAACTTTGAAAGGAAAGTTCAACTCTGGGATTTGAATGCAAACATCACAAAGAAGATTCTGAGACTGCTTCTGTATAGTTTTTATGTGAAGATGATTCCGTTTCCAACGAAATCTTCAAAGAGGTCTACATGTCCCCTTGCAGATGCCACAGAAAGAGAGTTTCAAAACTGCGCTCTCAAAAGGAGTGTTCAACTCCGTGAGTTGAATGCAGTCATCACAGAGAAGCTTCTGAGAATGCTTCTATCTAGTATTTAGGTGAAGATATTTCCTTTTCCACCACAAACCACAAAGCCCTCCAAACGTCCACTTGCAGATTCTAGAAAAAGAGTGTTTCATAGCTGCTCTTTCCAAAGGAAAGTTCAACTCTGGGAGTTGAATACAAACATCACCAAAAAGTTCCTGAGAATGCATCTGTCTAGTTTTTCTATGAAGCTATTCCCTTTACTACCATAGGCCTCAAAGCGCTCCAAATCTCCACTTGCACATTCCACAACAGGAGTGTTTCCAAACTGCTCTATCAATAGGAATGTTCAACTCTGTGAGGTGAATGCAATCATCACAAAGCAGTTTCTGAGAATGCTTCCGTTTAGTTAGGTGCAGTTATCCCGTTTCCAACGAAATCCTCAGAGAGGTCCAAATATCCACTTGTAGATTCTACAAAAAGTGTGTCTCAAACCTGCTCCATCCAAAGGAATGTTCAGCTCTGTGAGTTCAACTCAATCATCACAAAGTATTTTCTGAGAATGCTTCTGTCTAGATTTTATGCGAAGATGTACGCGTTTCGAACGAAGGCCACAGAGTGGTCCAAATATCCACTTGCAGATCCTACAAAAAGAGTGTTTCAAACCTGAACTATCAAAGGAAGGTTCAACTCTGGGATTTGAATGCAAACATCACCAAGAAGTTTCTGAGAATGCTTCTGTTTAGTTTTTATGTGAAGATATTCCCGTTTCCAAAGACATCTTCGGAGAGGTCCACATATCCGCTTGCAGATTCCACAAAAAGAGAGTTTCAACACTGCTCTATCCATAGGAGGGTTCAACTCTGTGAGTTGAATGCAATCGTCACAGAGAAGTTTCTGAGAATGCTTCTCTCCAGTTTTTATGTGACCATAATTCGTTTTCCACCACAGGCCTGAAAGCGCTCCAAATGTCCACTTGCAGACACTACGAAAAGCATGTTTCAGAACTACTCTATGAGAAGCAATGTGAAACTCTGGGAGTTGAACACAAACATCACAGAGAAGTTTCTGAGAATGCTTCTGTTTAGCTTTTCTGTGAAGATTCTCCCGTTTCCAACGAAATCTTCAAAGAGGTCCAAATATCCACTTGCAGATTCCACAGAAAGAGTGATTGGAAACTGCTCTTTGAAAAGGAACCTTCAACTCTGTGACTTGAATGCAATCATCACAAAGAAGTTTCTGACAAAGCTTCTATCTAGCTTTTACGGGAAGATAATTCCTTTTCCACCACAGGCCTCAACGCCCTCCAAATGTCCACTTGCAGATTCTGGAAAAAGAGTGTTTCAAAGCTTCTCTCTCGAAAGGAAAGTTCAACTCTGTGAGTTGAATGCAAGCATCACAAAGAAGTTTCTGAGAATGCTACTGTCTAGCTTTTATATGAAGCTATTTCCTTTACTACCATAGGCCTCAAAGCGGTCCATATCTCCACTTGCAGATTCTACACAAAGAGAGTTTCCAAACTGCTCTGTCAAAGGGAATGTTCAACTCTGTGACTTGAATGCAATCATCACAAAGTAGTTTCTGAGAATGCTTCTGTTTAGTTCTGTGCGGTTTATCCCGTTTCCAACGAAATCCTCAGAGAGGCCCACATATCCACTTGCACCTTCTAGAAATAGTGTGTTTCGAAACTGCTCCATCCAAAGGAATGTTCAGCTCTGTGAGTTAAACTCAGTCGTCACCAAGAGTTTTCTGTGAATGCTTCTGTTTTAGTTCTGTGCGGTTTAACCCGTTTCCAACGAAATCCTCAGAGAGGTCCAAATATCTACTTGCAGTTTCTACAGAAAGACCGTTTCAAACCTGAACTATCAAAGAAAGGTTCAACACTGTGAGTTGAATGCAAACATCACGAAGAAGGTTCTGAGAATGCTTCTGTTTAGTTCTGTGCGGTTTATCCCGTTTCCAACGAAATCCTCAGAGAGGACCAAATATCCACTTGCAGTTTCTACAAAAAGAGTGTTTCAAAGCTGAACTATCAAAGAAAGGTTCAGCACCGTGAGTTGAATGCAAACATCACGAAGAGGGTTCTGAGAATGCTTCTGTCTTCTTTTTATAGGAAGTTATCTCCTTTACTACGGTAGGCCTCAAAGAAGTGCAATTATCCCCTTGCAGTTACTACAAAAAGAGTGTTTCAAACCTGAACTATCAAAGAAAGGTTCCACACTGTGAGTTGAATGCAGACATCACGAAGAAGGTTCTGAGAATGCTTCTGTTTAGTCAGCTGAAATTATCCCGTTTCCAACGAATTCCTCAGAGAGGTCCACATATGCACTTGCAGATTCTGCAGAAAGTGTGTTTCTAAACTGCTACATCGCAAGGAGTGTTCAGCTCTGTTTGCTCAACTCAATCATCCCAAAGAATTTTCTGAGAAAGCTTCTGTCTAGATGTCATGTGAAGATATACCCGTTTCGAACGAAGGACACAGAGTGGTCCAAATATCCACTTGTAGATCCTGCAAAAAGAGTGTTTCAAACGTGAACTTGGAAAGGAAAGTTCAACTCAGGGATTTGAATGCAAACATCACAAAGAAGATTCTGAGACTACTTCTGTATAGTTTTGATGTGAAGATGATTCCGTTTCCAACGAAATCTTCAAAGAGGTCTACATGTCCCCTTGCAGATGCCACAGAAAGAGAGTTTCAAAACTGCGCTCTCAAAAGGAGTGTTCAACTCCGTGAGTTGAATGCAGTCATCACAGAGAAGCTTCTGAGAATGCTTCTATCTAGTATTTAGGTGAAGATATTTCCTTTTCCACCACAAACCACAAAGCCCTCCAAACGTCCACTTGCAGATTCTAGAAAAAGAGTGTTTCATAGCTGCTCTTTCCAAAGGAAAGTTCAACTCTGGGAGTTGAATACAAACATCACCAAAAAGTTCCTGAGAATGCATCTGTCTAGTTTTTCTATGAAGCTATTCCCTTTACTACCATAGACCTCAAAGCGCTCCAAATCTCCACTTGCACATTCCACAACAAGAGTGTTTCCAAACTGCTCTATCAATAGGAATGTTCAACTCTGTGAGGTGAATGCAATCATCACAAAGCAGTTTCTGAGAATGCTTCCGTTTAGTTAGGTGCAGTTATCCCGTTTCCAACGAAATCCTCAGAGAGGTCCAAATATCCACTTGTAGATTCTACAAAAAGTGTGTCTCAAACCTGCTCCATCCAAAGGAATGGTCAGCTCTGTGATTTAAACTCAATCATCACAAAGTATTTTCTGAGAATGCTTCTGTCTAGATTTTATGCGAAGATATACCCGTTTCGAACGAAGGCCACAGAGTGGTCCAAATATCCACTTGCAGATCCTACAAAAAGAGTGTTTCAAACCTGAACTATCAAAGGAAGGTTCAACTCTGGGATTTGAATGCAAACATCACCAAGAAGTTTCTGAGAATGCTTCTGTTTAGTTTTTATGTGAAGATATTCCCGTTTCCAAAGACATCTTCGGAGAGGTCCACATATCCACTTGCAGATTCCACAAAAAGAGAGTTTCAACACTGCTCTATCCATAGGAGGGTTCAACTCTGTGAGTTGAATGCAATCATCACGGAGAAGTTTCTGAGAAGGCTTCTCTCCAGTTTTTATGTGACCATAATTCGTTTTCCACCACAGGCCTGAAAGCGCTCCAAATGTCCACTTGCAGACACTACGAAAAGCATGTTTCAGAACTACTCTATGAGAAGCAATGTGAAACTCTGGGAGTTGCACACAAACATCACAGAGAAGTTTCTGAGAATGCTTCTGTTTTAGTTCTGTGCGTTTTATCCCGTTTCCAACGAAATCCTCAGAGAGGCCCAAATATCCACTTGCAGATTCCACAGAAAGAGTGATTGGAAACTGCTGTTTGAAAAGGAACCTTCAACTCTGTGAGTTGAATGCAATCATCACAAAGAAGTTTCTGACAATGCTTCTGTTTTAGTTCTGTGCGGTTTATCCCGTTTCCAACGAAATCCTCAGAGAGGACCAAACATCCACTTGCAGTTTCTACAAAAAGAGTGTTTCAAAGCTGCACTATCAAAGAAAGGTTCAGCACTGTGAGTTGAATGCAAACATCACGAAGAGGGCTCTGAGAATTCTTCTGTTTAGTTCTGTGCGGTTTATCCCGTTTCCAACGAAATCCTCAGAGAGGACCAAATATCCACTTGCAGTTTCTACAAGAAGAGTGTTTCAAAGCTGAACTATCAAAGAAAGGTTCAGCACTGTGAGTTGAATGCAAACATCACGAAGAGGGTTCTGAGAATGCTTCTGTCTTCTTTTTATAGGAAGTTATTTCCTTTACTACGGTAGGCCTCAAAGAAGTGCAATGATCCCCTTGCAGTTTCTACAAAAAGAGTGTTTCAAACCTGAACTATCAAAGAAAAGTTCCACACTGTGAGTTGAATGCAGACATCACGAAGAAGGTTCTGAGAATGCTTCTGTTTAGTCAGCTGAAATTATCCCGTTTCCAACGAATTCCTCAGAGAGGTCCACATATGCACTTGCAGATTCTGCAGAAAGGGTGTTTCTAAACTGCTACATCGCAAGGAGTGTTCAGCTCTGTTTGCTCAACTCAATCATCCCAAAGAATTTTCTGAGAAAGCTTCTGTCTAGATGTCATGTGAAGATATACCCGTTTCGAACGAAGGACACAGAGTGGTCCAAATATCCACTTGTAGATCCTGCAAAAAGAGTGTTTCAAACGTGAACTTTGAAAGGAAAGTTCAACTCTGGGATTTGAATGCAAACATCACAAAGAAGATTCTGAGACTGCTTCTGTATAGTTTTTATGTGAAGATGATTCCGTTTCCAACGAAATCTTCAAAGAGGTCTACATGTCCCCTTGCAGATGCCACAGAAAGAGAGTTCCAAAACTGCGCTCTCAAAAGGAGTGTTCAACTCCGTGAGTTGAATGCAGTCATCACAGAGAAGCTTCTGAGAATGCTTCTATCTAGTATTTAGGTGAAGATATTTCCTTTTCCACCACAAACCACAAAGCCCTCCAAACGTCCACTTGCAGATTCTAGAAAAAGAGTGTTTCATAGCTGCTCTTTCCAAAGGAAAGTTCAACTCTGGGAGTTGAATACAAACATCACCAAAAAGTTCCTGAGAATGCATCTGTCTAGTTTTTCTATGAAGCTATTCCCTTTACTACCATAGGCCTCAAAGCGCTCCAAATCTCCACTTGCACATTCCACAACAAGAGTGTTTCCAAACTGCTCTATCAATAGGAATGTTCAACTCTGTGAGGTGAATGCAGTCATCACAAAGCAGTTTCTGAGAATGCTTCCGTTTAGTTAGGTGCAGTTATCCCGTTTCCAACGAAATCCTCAGAGAGGTCCAAATATCCACTTGTAGATTCTACAAAAGGTGTGTCTCAAACCTGCTCCATCCAAAGGAATGTTCAGCTCTGTGAGTTAAACTCAATCATCACAAAGTATTTTCTGAGAATGCTTCTGTCTAGATTTTATGTGAAGATGTACCCGTTTCGAACGAAGGCCACAGAGTGGTCCAAATATCCACTTGCAGATCCTACAAAAAGAGTGTTTCAAACCTGAACTATCACAGGAAGGTTCAACTCTGGGATTTGAATGCAAACATCACCAAGAAGTTTCTGAGAATGCTTCTGTTTAGTTTTTATGTGAAGATATTCCCGTTTCCAAAGACATCTTCGGAGAGGTCCACATATCCACTTGCAGATTCCACAAAAAGAGAGTTTCAACACTGCTCTATCCATAGGAGGGTTCAACTCTGTGAGTTGAATGCAATCATCACAGAGAAGTTTCTGAGAAGGCTTCTCTCCAGTTTTTATGGGACCATAATTCGTTTTCCACCACAGGCCTGAAAGCGCTCCAAATGTCCACTTGCAGACACTACGAAAAGCATGTTTCAGAACTACTCTATGAAAAGCAATGTGAAACTCTGGGAGTTGAACACAAACATCACAGAGAAGTTTCTGAGAATGCTTCTGTTTAGCTTTTCTGTGAAGATTCTCCCGTTTCCAATGAAATCTTCAAAGAGGTCCAAATATCCACTTGCAGATTCCACAGAAAGAGTGTTTGGAAACTGCTGTTTGTAAAGGAACCTTCATCTCTGTGAGTTGAATGCAATCATCACAAAGAAGTTTCTGACAATGCTTCTATCTAGCTTTTACGGGAAGATAATTCCTTTTCCACCACAGGCCTCAAAGCCCTCCAAATGTCCACTTGCAGATTCTGGAAAAAGAGTGTTTCAAAGCTTCTCTCTCGAAAGGAAAGTTCAACTCTGTGAGTTGAATGCAAGCATCACAAAGAAGTTTCTGAGAATGCTACTGTCTAGCTTTTATATGAAGCTATTTCCTTTACTACCATAGGCCTCAAAGCGGTCCATATCTCCACTTGCAGATTCTACACAAAGAGAGTTTCCAAACTGCTCTGTCAAAGGGAATGTTCAACTCTGTGACTTGAATGCAATCATCACAAAGTAGTTTCTGAGAATGCTTCTGTTTAGTTCTGTGCGGTTTATCCCGTTTCCAACGAAATCCTCAGAGAGGCCTAAATATCCACTTGCACATTCTACAAATAGTGTGTTTCGAAACTGCTCCATCCAAAGGAATGTTCAGCTCTGTGAGTTAAACTCAGTCGTCACCAAGAGTTTTCTGTGAATGCTTCTGTTTTAGTTCTGTGCGGGTTATCCCGTTTCCAACGAAATCCTCAGAGAGGTCCAAATATCTACTTGCAGTTTCTACAGAAAGACCGTTTCAAACCTGAACTATCAAAGAAAGGTTCAACACTGTGAGTTGAATGCAAACATCACGAAGAAGGTTCTGAGAATGCTTCTGTTTTAGTTCTGTGCGGTTTATCCCGTTTCCAACGAAATCCTCAGAGAGGACCAAACATCCACTTGCAGTTTCTACAAAAAGAGTGTTTCAAAGCTGCACTATCAAAGAAAGGTTCAGCACTGTGAGTTGAATGCAAACATCACGAAGAGGGCTCCTGAGAATTCTTCTGTTTAGTTCTGTGCGGTTTATCCCATTTCCAACGAAATCCTCAGAGAGGACCAAATATCCACTTGCAGTTTCTACAAGAAGAGTGTTTCAAAGCTGAACTATCAAAGAAAGATTCAGCACTGTGAGTTGAATGCAAACATCACGAAGAGGGTTCTGAGAATGCTTCTGTCTTCTTTCTATAGGAAGTTATTTCCTTTACTACGGTAGGCCTCAAAGAAGTGCAATTATCCCCTTGCAGTTTCTACAAAAAGAGTGTTTCAAACCTGAACTATCAAAGAAAGGTTCCACACTGTGAGTTGAATGCAGACATCACGAAGAAGGTTCTGAGAATGCTTCTGTTTAGTCAGCTGAAATTATCCCGTTTCCAACGAATTCCTCAGAGAGGTCCAAATATGCACTTGCAGATTCTGCAGAAAGTGTGTTTCTAAACTGCTACATCGCAAGGAATGTTCAGCTCTGTGAGTTCCACTCAATCATCCCAAAGAATTTTCTGAGAAAGCTTCTGTCTAGATGTCGTGTGAAGATATACCCGTTTCGAACGAAGGACACAGAGTGGTCCAAATATCCACTTGTAGATCCTGCAAAAAGAGTGTTTCAAACGTGAACTTTGAAAGGAAAGTTCAACTCTGGGATTTGAATGCAAACATCACAAAGAAGATTCTGAGACTGCTTCTGTATAGTTTTTATGTGAAGATGATTCCGTTTCCAACGAAATCTTCAAAGAGGTCTACATGTCCCCTTGCAGATGCCACAGAAAGAGAGTTTCAAAACTGCGCTCTCAAAAGGAGTGTTCAACTCCGTGAGTTGAATGCAGTCATCACAGAGAAGCTTCTGAGAATGCTTCTATCTAGTATTTAGGTGAAGATATTTCCTTTTCCACCACAAACCACAAAGCCCTCCAAACGTCCACTTGCAGATTCTAGAAAAAGAGTGTTTCATAGCTGCTCTTTCCAAAGGAAAGTTCAACTCTGGGAGTTGAATACAAACATCACCAAAAAGTTCCTGAGAATGCATCTGTCTAGTTTTTCTATGAAGCTATTCCCTTTACTACCATAGGCCTCAAAGCGCTCCAAATCTCCACTTGCACATTCCACAACAAGAGTGTTTCCAAACTGCTCTATCAATAGGAATGTTCAACTCTGTGAGGTGAATGCAATCATCACAAAGCAGTTTCTGAGAATGCTTCCGTTTAGTTAGGTGCAGTTATCCCGTTTCCAACGAAATCCTCAGAGAGGTCCAAATATCCACTTGTAGATTCTACAAAAAGTGTGTCTCAAACCTGCTCCATCCAAAGGAATGGTCAGCTCTGTGATTTAAACTCAATCATCACAAAGTATTTTCTGAGAATGCTTCTGTCTAGATTTTATGCGAAGATATACCCGTTTCGAACGAAGGCCACAGAGTGGTCCAAATAGCCACTTGCAGATCCTACAAAAAGAGTGTTTCAAACCTGAACTATCAAAGGACGGTTCAACTCTGGGATTTGAATGCAAACATCACCAAGAAGTTTCTGAGAATGCTTCTGTTTAGTTTTTATGTGAAGATATTCCCGTTTCCAAAGACATCTTCGGAGAGGTCCACATATCCACTTGCAGATTCCACAAAAAGAGAGTTTCAACACTGCTCTATCCATAGGAGGGTTCAACTCTGTGAGTTGAATGCAATCATCACAGAGAAGTTTCTGAGAAGGCTTCTCTCCAGTTTTTATGTGACCATAATTCGTTTTCCACCACAGGCCTGAAAGCGCTCCAAATGTCCACTTGCAGACACTACGAAAAGCATGTTTCAGAACTACTCTATGAAAAGCAACGTGAAACTCTGGGAGTTGAACACAAACATCACAGAGAAGTTTCTGAGAATGCTTCTGTTTTAGTTCTGTGCGTTTTATCCCGTTTCCAACGAAATCCTCAGAGAGGCCCAAATATCCACTTGCAGATTCCACAGAAAGAGTGATTGGAAACTGCTGTTTGAAAAGGAACCTTCAACTACTGTGAGTTGAATGCAATCATCACAAAGAAGTTTCTGACAATGCTTCTGTTTTAGTTCTGTGCGGTTTATCCCGTTTCCAACGAAATCCTCAGAGAGGACCAAACATCCACTTGCAGTTTCTACAAAAAGAGTGTTTCAAAGCTGCACTATCAAAGAAAGGTTCAGCACTGTGAGTTGAATGCAAACATCACGAAGAGGGCTCTGAGAATTCTTCTGTTTAGTTCTGTGCGGTTTATCCCGTTTCCAACGAAATCCTCAGAGAGGACCAAATATCCACTTGCAGTTTCTACAAGAAGAGTGTTTCAAAGCTGAACTATCAAAGAAAGGTTCAGCACTGTGAGTTGAATGCAAACATCACGAAGAGGGTTCTGAGAATGCTTCTGTCTTCTTTCTATAGGAAGTTATTTCCTTTACTACGGTAGGCCTCAAAGAAGTGCAATTATCCCCTTGCAGTTTCTACAAAAAGAGTGTTTCAAACCTGAACTATCAAAGAAAGGTTCCACACTGTGAGTTGAATGCAGACATCACGAAGAAGGTTCTGAGAATGCTTCTGTTTAGTCAGCTGAAATTATCCCGTTTCCAACGAATTCCTCAGAGAGGTCCAAATATGCACTTGCAGATTCTGCAGAAAGTGTGTTTCTAAACTGCTACATCGCAAGGAATGTTCAGCTCTGTGAGTTCCACTCAATCATCCCAAAGAATTTTCTGAGAAAGCTTCTGTCTAGATGTCGTGTGAAGATATACCCGTTTCGAACGAAGGACACAGAGTGGTCCAAATATCCACTTGTAGATCCTGCAAAAAGAGTGTTTCAAACGTGAACTTTGAAAGGAAAGTTCAACTCTGGGATTTGAATGCAAACATCACAAAGAAGATTCTGAGACTGCTTCTGTATAGTTTTTATGTGAAGATGATTCCGTTTCCAACGAAATCTTCAAAGAGGTCTACATGTCCCCTTGCAGATGCCACAGAAAGAGAGTTTCAAAACTGCGCTCTCAAAAGGAGTGTTCAACTCCGTGAGTTGAATGCAGTCATCACAGAGAAGCTTCTGAGAATGCTTCTATCTAGTATTTAGGTGAAGATATTTCCTTTTCCACCACAAACCACAAAGCCCTCCAAACGTCCACTTGCAGATTCTAGAAAAAGAGTGTTTCATAGCTGCTCTTTCCAAAGGAAAGTTCAACTCTGGGAGTTGAATACAAACATCACCAAAAAGTTCCTGAGAATGCATCTGTCTAGTTTTTCTATGAAGCTATTCCCTTTACTACCACAGGCCTCAAAGCGCTCCAAATCTCCACTTGCACATTCCACAACAAGAGTGTTTCCAAACTGCTCTATCAATAGGAATGTTCAACTCTGTGAGGTGAATGCAATCATCACAAAGCAGTTTCTGAGAATGCTTCCGTTTAGTTAGGTGCAGTTATCCCGTTTCCAACGAAATCCTCAGAGAGGTCCAAATATCCACTTGTAGATTCTACAAAAAGTGTGTCTCAAACCTGCTCCATCCAAAGGAATGGTCAGCTCTGTGATTTAAACTCAATCATCACAAAGTATTTTCTGAGAATGCTTCTGTCTAGATTTTATGCGAAGATATACCCGTTTCGAACGAAGGCCACAGAGTGGTCCAAATAGCCACTTGCAGATCCTACAGAAAGAGTGTTTCAAACCTGAACTATCAAAGGAAGGTTCAACTCTGGGATTTGAATGCAAACATCACCAAGAAGTTTCTGAGAATGCTTCTGTTTAGTTTTTATGTGAAGATATTCCCGTTTCCAAAGACATCTTCGGAGAGGTCCACATATCCACTTGCAGATTCCACAAAAAGAGAGTTTCAACACTGCTCTATCCATAGGAGGGTTCAACTCTGTGAGTTGAATGCAATCATCACAGAGAAGTTTCTGAGAAGGCTTCTCTCCAGTTTTTATGTGACCATAATTCGTTTTCCACCACAGGCCTGAAAGCGCTCCAAATGTCCACTTGCAGACACTACGAAAAGCATGTTTCAGAACTACTCTATGAAAAGCAACGTGAAACTCTGGGAGTTGAACACAAACATCACAGAGAAGTTTCTGAGAATGCTTCTGTTTATTTCTGTGCGGTTTATCCCGTTTCCAGCGAAATCCTCAGAGAGGCCCAAATATCCACTGGCAGATTCTACAAGTAGTGTGTTTCGAAACTGCTCCATCCAAAGGAATGTTCAGCCCTGTGAGTTAAACTCAGTCGTCACAAAGAGTTTTCTGAGAATGCTTCTGTTTTAGTTCTGTGCGGTTTATCCCGTTTCCAATGAAATCCTCAGAGAGGTCCAAATATCTACTTGCAGTTTCTACAGAAAGACCGTTTCAAACCTGAACTATCAAAGAAAGGTTCAACACTGTGAGTTGAATGCAAACATCACGAAGAAGGTTCTGAGAATGCTTCTGTTTAGTTCTGTGCGGTTTATCCCGTTTCCAACGAAATCCTCAGAGAGGACCAAATATCCACTTGCAGTTTCTACAAGAAGAGTGTTTCAAAGCTGAACTATCAAAGAAAGGTTCAGCACTGTGAGTTGAATGCAAACATCACGAAGAGGGTTCTGAGAATGCTTCTGTCTTCTTTCTATAGGAAGTTATTTCCTTTACTACGGTAGGCCTCAAAGAAGTGCAATTATCCCCTTGCAGTTTCTACAAAAAGAGTGTTTCAAACCTGAACTATCAAAGAAAGGTTCCACACTGTGAGTTGAATGCAGACATCACGAAGAAGTTCTGAGAATGCTTCTGTTTAGTCAGCTGAAATTATCCCGTTTCCAACGAATTCCTCAGAGAGGTCCAAATATGCACTTGCAGATTCTGCAGAAAGTGTGTTTCTAAACTGCTACATCGCAAGGAATGTTCAGCTCTGTGAGTTCCACTCAATCATCCCAAAGAATTTTCTGAGAAAGCTTCTGTCTAGATGTCGTGTGAAGATATACCCGTTTCGAACGAAGGACACAGAGTGGTCCAAATATCCACTTGTAGATCCTGCAAAAAGAGTGTTTCAAACGTGAACTTTGAAAGGAAAGTTCAACTCTGGGATTTGAATGCAAACATCACAAAGAAGATTCTGAGACTGCTTCTGTATAGTTTTTATGTGAAGATGATTCCGTTTCCAACGAAATCTTCAAAGAGGTCTACATGTCCCCTTGCAGATGCCACAGAAAGAGAGTTTCAAAACTGCGCTCTCAAAAGGAGTGTTCAACTCCGTGAGTTGAATGCAGTCATCACAGAGAAGCTTCTGAGAATGCTTCTATCTAGTATTTAGGTGAAGATATTTCCTTTTCCACCACAAACCACAAAGCCCTCCAAACGTCCACTTGCAGATTCTAGAAAAAGAGTGTTTCATAGCTGCTCTTTCCAAAGGAAAGTTCAACTCTGGGAGTTGAATACAAACATCACCAAAAAGTTCCTGAGAATGCATCTGTCTAGTTTTTCTATGAAGCTATTCCCTTTACTACCATAGGCCTCAAAGCGCTCCAAATCTCCACTTGCACATTCCACAACAAGAGTGTTTCCAAACTGCTCTATCAATAGGAATGTTCAACTCTGTGAGGTGAATGCAATCATCACAAAGCAGTTTCTGAGAATGCTTCCGTTTAGTTAGGTGCAGTTATCCCGTTTCCAACGAAATCCTCAGAGAGGTCCAAATATCCACTTGTAGATTCTACAAAAAGTGTGTCTCAAACCTGCTCCATCCAAAGGAATGGTCAGCTCTGTGATTTAAACTCAATCATCACAAAGTATTTTCTGAGAATGCTTCTGTCTAGATTTTATGCGAAGATATACCCGTTTCGAACGAAGGCCACAGAGTGGTCCAAATAGCCACTTGCAGATCCTACAGAAAGAGTGTTTCAAACCTGAACTATCAAAGGAAGGTTCAACTCTGGGATTTGAATGCAAACATCACCAAGAAGTTTCTGAGAATGCTTCTGTTTAGTTTTTATGTGAAGATATTCCCGTTTCCAAAGACATCTTCGGAGAGGTCCACATATCCACTTGCAGGTTCCACAAAAAGAGAGTTTCAACACTGCTCTATCCATAGGAGGGTTCAACTCTGTGAGTTGAATGCAATCATCACAGAGAAGTTTCTGAGAAGGCTTCTCTCCAGTTTTTATGTGACCATAATTCGTTTTCCACCACAGGCCTGAAAGCGCTCCAAATGTCCACTTGCAGACACTACGAAAAGCATGTTTCAGAACTACTCTATGAAAAGCAACGTGAAACTCTGGGAGTTGAACACAAACATCACAGAGAAGTTTCTGAGAATGCTTCTGTTTTAGTTCTGTGCGTTTTATCCCGTTTCCAACGAAATCCTCAGAGAGGCCCAAATATCCACTTGCAGATTCCACAGAAAGAGTGATTGGAAACTGCTGTTTGAAAAGGAACCTTCAACTCTGTGAGTTGAATGCAATCATCACAAAGAAGTTTCTGACAATGCTTCTGTTTTAGTTCTGTGCGGTTTATCCCGTTTCCAACGAAATCCTCAGAGAGGACCAAACATCCACTTGCAGTTTCTACAAAAAGAGTGTTTCAAAGCTGCACTATCAAAGAAAGGTTCAGCACTGTGAGTTGAATGCAAACATCACGAAGAGGGCTCTGAGAATGCTTCTGTTTAGTTCTGTGCGGTTTATCCCGTTTCCAACGAAATCCTCAGAGAGGACCAAATATCCACTTGCAGTTTCTACAAGAAGAGTGTTTCAAAGCTGAACTATCAAAGAAAGGTTCAGCACTGTGAGTTGAATGCAAACATCACGAAGAGGGTTCTGAGAATGCTTCTGTCTTCTTTCTATAGGAAGTTATTTCCTTTACTACGGTAGGCCTCAAAGAAGTGCAATTATCCCCTTGCAGTTTCTACAAAAAGAGTGTTTCAAACCTGAACTATCAAAGAAAGGTTCCACACTGTGAGTTGAATGCAGACATCACGAAGAAGGTTCTGAGAATGCTTCTGTTTAGTCAGCTGAAATTATCCCGTTTCCAACGAATTCCTCAGAGAGGTCCAAATATGCACTTGCAGATTCTGCAGAAAGTGTGTTTCTAAACTGCTACATCGCAAGGAATGTTCAGCTCTGTGAGTTCCACTCAATCATCCCAAAGAATTTTCTGAGAAAGCTTCTGTCTAGATGTCGTGTGAAGATATACCCGTTTCGAACGAAGGACACAGAGTGGTCCAAATATCCACTTGTAGATCCTGCAAAAAGAGTGTTTCAAACGTGAACTTTGAAAGGAAAGTTCAACTCTGGGATTTGAATGCAAACATCACAAAGAAGATTCTGAGACTGCTTCTGTATAGTTTTTATGTGAAGATGATTCCGTTTCCAACGAAATCTTCAAAGAGGTCTACATGTCCCCTTGCAGATGCCACAGAAAGAGAGTTTCAAAACTGCGCTCCCAAAAGGAGTGTTCAACTCCGTGAGTTCAATGCAGTCATCACAGAGAAGCTTCTGAGAATGCTTCTATCTAGTATTTAGGTGAAGATATTTCCTTTTCCACCACAAACCACAAAGCCCTCCAAACGTCCACTTGCAGATTCTAGAAAAACAGTGTTTCATAGATGCTCTTTCCAAAGGAAAGTTCAACTCTGGGAGTTGAATACAAACATCACCAAAAAGTTCCTGAGAATGCATCTGTCTAGTTTTTCTATGAAGCTATTCCCTTTACTACCATAGGCCTCAAAGCGCTCCAAATCTCCACTTGCACATTCCACAACAAGAGTGTTTCCAAACTGCTCTATCAATAGGAATGTTCAACTCTGTGAGGTGAATGCAATCATCACAAAGCAGTTTCTGAGAATGCTTCCGTTTAGTTAGGTGCAGTTATCGCGTTTCCAACGAAATCCTCAGAGAGGTCCCAATATCCACTTGTAGATTCTACAAAAAGTGTGTCTCAAACCTGCTCCATCCAAAGGAATGTTCAGCTCTGTGAGTTAAACTCAATCATCACAAAGTATTTTCTGAGAATGCTTCTGTCTAGATTTTATGTGAAGATGTACCCGTTTCGAACGAAGGCCACAGAGTGGTCCAAATATCCACTTGCAGATCCTACAAAAAGAGTGTTTCAAACCTGAACTATCACAGGAAGGTTCAACTCTGGGATTTGAATGCAAACATCACCAAGAAGTTTCTGAGAATGCTTCTGTTTTGTTTTTATGTGAAGATATTCCCGTTTCCAAAGACATCTTCGGAGAGGTCCACATATCCACTTGCAGATTCCACAAAAAGAGAGTTTCAAGAATGCTCTATCCATAGGAGGGTTCAAATCTGTGAGTTGAATGCAATCATCACAGAGAAGTTTCTGAGAAGGCTTCTCTCCAGTTTTTATGGGACCATAATTCGTTTTCCACCACAGGCCTGAAAGCGCTCCAAATGTCCACTTGCAGACACTACGAAAAGCATGTTTCAGAACTACTCTATGAAAAGCAATGTGAAACTCTGGGAGTTGAACACAAACATCACAGAGAAGTTTCTGAGAATGCTTCTGTTTAGCTTTTCTGTGAAGATTCTCCCGTTTCCAACGAAATCTTCAAAGAGGTCCAAATATCCACTTGCAGATTCCACAGAAAGAGTGTTTGGAAACTGCTGTTTGTAAAGGAACCTTCATCTCTGTGAGTTGAATGCAATCATCACAAAGAAGTTTCTGACAATGCTTCTATCTAGCTTTTACGGGAAGTTAATTCCTTTTCCACCACAGGCCTCAAAGCCCTCCAAATGTCCACTTGCAGATTCTGGAAAAAGAGTGTTTCAAAGCTTCTCTCTCGAAAGGAAAGTTCAACTCTGTGAGTTGAATGCAAGCATCACAAAGAAGTTTCTGAGAATGCTACTGTCTAGCTTTTATATGAAGCTATTTCCTTTACTACCATAGGCCTCAAAGCGGTCCATATCTCCACTTGCAGATTCTACAGAAAGAGAGTTTCCAAACTGCTCTGTCAAAGGGAATGTTCAACTCTGTGACTTGAATGCAATCATCACAAAGTAGTTTCTGAGAATGCTTCTGTTTATTTCTGTGCGGTTTATCCCGTTTCCAACGAAATCCTCAGAGAGGCCCAAATATCCACTTGCACATTCTACAAATAGTGTGTTTCGAAACTGCTCCATCCAAAGGAATGTTCAGCTCTGTGAGTTAAACTCAGTCGTCACCAAGAGTTTTCTGTGAATGCTTCTGTTTTAGTTCTGTGCGGGTTATCCCGTTTCCAACGAAATCCTCAGAGAGGTCCAAATATCTACTTGCAGTTTCTACAGAAAGACCGTTTCAAACCTGAACTATCAAAGAAAGGTTCAACACTGTGAGTTGAATGCAAACATCACGAAGAAGGTTCTGAGAATGCTTCTGTTTAGTTCTGTGCGGTTTATCCCGTTTCCAACGAAATCCTCAGAGAGGACCAAATATCCACTTGCAGTTTCTACAAGAAGAGTGTTTCAAAGCTGAACTATCAAAGAAAGATTCAGCACTGTGAGTTGAATGCAAACATCACGAAGAGGGTTCTGAGAATGCTTCTGTCTTCTTTCTATAGGAAGTTATTTCCTTTACTACGGTAGGCCTCAAAGAAGTGCAATTATCCCCTTGCAGTTTCTACAAAAAGAGTGTTTCAAACCTGAACTATCAAAGAAAGGTTCCACACTGTGCGTTGAATGCAGACATCACGAAGAAGGTTCTGAGAATGCTTCTGTTTAGTCAGCTGAAATTATCCCGTTTCCAACGAATTCCTCAGAGAGGTCCAAATATGCACTTGCAGATTCTGCAGAAAGTGTGTTTCTAAACTGCTACATCGCAAGGAATGTTCAGCTCTGTGAGTTCCACTCAATCATCCCAAAGAATTTTCTGAGAAAGCTTCTGTCTAGATGTCATGTGAAGATATACCCGTTTCGAACGAAGGACACAGAGTGGTCCAAATATCCACTTGTAGATCCTGCAAAAAGAGTGTTTCAAACGTGAACTTGGAAAGGAAAGTTCAACTCTGGGATTTGAATGCAAACATCACAAAGAAGATTCTGAGACTGCTTCTGTATAGTTTTTATGTGAAGATGATTCCGTTTCCAACGAAATCTTCAAAGAGGTCTACATGTCCCCTTGCGGATGCCACAGAAAGAGAGTTTCAAAACTGCGCTCTCAAAAGGAGTGTTCAACTCCGTGAGTTGAATGCAGTCATCACAGAGAAGCTTCTGAGAATGCTTCTATCTAGTATTTAGGTGAAGATATTTCCTTTTCCACCACAAACCACAAAGCCCTCCAAACGTCCACTTGCAGATTCTAGAAAAACAGTGTTTCATAGCTGCTCTTTCCAAAGGAAAGTTCAACTCTGGGAGTTGAATACAAACATCACCAAAAAGTTCCTGAGAATGCATCTGTCTAGTTTTTCTATGAAGCTATTCCCTTTACTACCATAGGCCTCAAAGCGCTCCAAATCTCCACTTGCACATTCCACAACAAGAGTGTTTCCAAACTGCTCTATCAATAGGAATGTTCAACTCTGTGAGGTGAATGCAATCATCACAAAGCAGTTTCTGAGAATGCTTCCGTTTAGTTAGGTGCAGTTATCCCGTTTCCAACGAAATCCTCAGAGAGGTCCAAATATCCACTTGTAGATTCTACAAAAAGTGTGTCTCAAACCTGCTCCATCCAAAGGAATGTTCAGCTCTGTGAGTTCAACTCAATCATCACAAAGTATTTTCTGAGAATGCTTCTGTCTAGATTTTATGCGAAGATGTACCCGTTTCGAACGAAGGCCACAGAGTGGTCCAAATATCCACTTGCAGATCCTACAAAAAGAGTGTTTCAAACCTGAACTATCAAAGGAAGGTTCAACTCTGGGATTTGAATGCAAACATCACCAAGAAGTTTCTGAGAATGCTTCTGTTTAGTTTTTATGTGAAGATATTCCCGTTTCCAAAGACATCTTCGGAGAGGTCCACATATCCGCTTGCAGATTCCACAAAAAGAGAGTTTCAACACTGCTCTATCCATAGGAGGGTTCAACTCTGTGAGTTGAATGCAATCATCACAGAGAAGTTTCTGAGAAGGCTTCTCTCCAGTTTTTATGTGACCATAATTCGTTTTCCACCACAGGCCTGAAAGCGCTCCAAATGTCCACTTGCAGACACTACGAAAAGCATGTTTCAGAACTACTCTATGAGAAGCAATGTGAAACTCTGGGAGTTGAACACAAACATCACAGAGAAGCTTCTGAGAATGCTTCTGTTTAGCTTTTCTGTGAAGATTCTCCCGTTTCCAACGAAATCTTCAAAGAGGTCCAAATATCCACTTGCAGATTCCACAGAAAGAGTGATTGGAAACTGCTCTTTGAAAAGGAACCTTCAACTCTGTGACTTGAATGCAATCATCACAAAGAAGTTTCTGACAATGCTTCTATCTAGCTTTTACGGGAAGATAATTCCTTTTCCACCACAGGCCTCAAAGCCCTCCAAATGTCCACTTGCAGATTCTGGAAAAAGAGTGTTTCAAAGCTTCTCTCTCGAAAGGAAAGTTCAACTCTGTGAGTTGAATGCAAGCATCACAAAGAAGTTTCTGAGAATGCTACTGTCTAGCTTTTATATGAAGCTATTTCCTTTACTACCATAGGCCTCAAAGCGGTCCATATCTCCACTTGCAGATTCTACACAAAGAGAGTTTCCAAACTGCTCTGTCAAAGGGAATGTTCAACTCTGTGACTTGAATGCAATCATCACAAAGTAGTTTCTGAGAATGCTTCTGTTTAGTTCTGTGCGGTTTATCCCGTTTCCAACGAAATCCTCAGAGAGGCCTAAATATCCACTTGCACATTCTACAAATAGTGTGTTTCGAAACTGCTCCATCCAAAGGAATGTTCAGCTCTGTGAGTTAAACTCAGTCGTCACCAAGAGTTTTCTGTGAATGCTTCTGTTTTAGTTCTGTGTGGGTTATCCCGTTTCCAACGAAATCCTCAGAGAGGTCCAAATATCTACTTGCAGTTTCTACAGAAAGACCGTTTCAAACCTGAACTATCAAAGAAAGGTTCAACACTGTGAGTTGAATGCAAACATCACGAAGAAGGTTCTGAGAATGCTTCTGTTTAGTTCTGTGCAGTTTATCCCGTTTCCAACGAAATGCTCAGAGAGGACAAAATATCCACTTGCAGTTTCTACAAAAAGAGTGTTTCAAAGCTGAACTATCAAAGAAAGGTTCAGCACTGTGAGTTGAATGCAAACATCACGAAGAGGGTTCTGAGAATGCTTCTGTCTTCTTTTTATAGGAAGTTATTTCCTTTACTGCGGTAGGGATCAAAGAAGTGCAATTATCCCCTTGCAGTTTCTACAAAAAGAGTGTTTCAAACCTGAACTATCAAAGAAAGGTTCCACACTGAGAGTTGAATGCAGACATCACGAAGAAGGTTCTGAGAATGCTTCTGTTTAGTCAGCTGAAATTATCCCGTTTCCAACGAATTCCTCAGAGACGTCCAAATATGCACTTGCAGATTCTGCAGAAAGTGTGTTTCTAAACTGCTCCATCGCAAGGAATGTTCAGCTCTGTGAGTTCAACTCAATCATCCCAAAGAATTTTCTGAGAAAGCTTCTGTCTAGATATCATGTGAAGATATACCCGTTTCGAACGAAGGACACAGAGTGGTCCAAATATCCACTTGTAGATCCTGCAAAAAGAGTGTTTCAAACCTGAACTTTGGAAGGAAAGTTCAACTCTGGGATTTGAATGAAAACATCACAAAGAAGATTCTGAGACTGCTTCTGTATAGTTTTTATGTGAAGATGATTCCGTTTCCAACGAAATCTTCAAAGAGGTCTACATGTCCCCTTGCAGATGCCACAGAAAGAGAGTTTCAAAACTGCACTCTCAAAAGGAGTGTTCAACTCCGTGAGTTGAATGCAGTCATCACAGAGAAGCTTCTGAGAATGCTTCTATCTAGTATTTAGGTGAAGATATTTCCTTTTCCACCACAAACCACAAAGCCCTCCAAACGTCCACTTGCAGATTCTAGAAAAAGAGTGTTTCATAGCTGCTCTTTCCAAAGGAAAGTTCAACTCTGGGAGTTGAATACAAACATCACCAAAAAGTTCCTGAGAATGCATCTGTCTAGTTTTTCTATGAAGCTATTCCCTTTACTACCACAGGCCTCAAAGCGCTCCAAATCTCCACTTGCACATTCCACAACAAGAGTGTTTCCAAACTGCTCTATCAATAGGAATGTTCAACTCTGTGAGGTGAATGCAATCATCACAAAGCAGTTTCTGAGAATGCTTCCGTTTAGTTAGGTGCAGTTATCCCGTTTCCAACGAAATCCTCAGAGAGGTCCAAATATCCACTTGTAGATTCTACAAAAAGTGTGTCTCAAACCTGCTCCATCCAAAGGAATGGTCAGCTCTGTGATTTAAACTCAATCATCACAAAGTATTTTCTGAGAATGCTTCTGTCTAGATTTTATGCGAAGATATACCCGTTTCGAACGAAGGCCACAGAGTGGTCCAAATAGCCACTTGCAGATCCTACAGAAAGAGTGTTTCAAACCTGAACTATCAAAGGAAGGTTCAACTCTGGGATTTGAATGCAAACATCACCAAGAAGTTTCTGAGAATGCTTCTGTTTAGTTTTTATGTGAAGATATTCCCGTTTCCAAAGACATCTTCGGAGAGGTCCACATATCCACTTGCAGATTCCACAAAAAGAGAGTTTCAACACTGCTCTATCCATAGGAGGGTTCAACTCTGTGAGTTGAATGCAATCATCACAGAGAAGTTTCTGAGAAGGCTTCTCTCCAGTTTTTATGTGACCATAATTCGTTTTCCACCACAGGCCTGAAAGCGCTCCAAATGTCCACTTGCAGACACTACGAAAAGCATGTTTCAGAACTACTCTATGAAAAGCAACGTGAAACTCTGGGAGTTGAACACAAACATCACAGAGAAGTTTCTGAGAATGCTTCTGTTTTAGTTCTGTGCGTTTTATCCCGTTTCCAACGAAATCCTCAGAGAGGCCCAAATATCCACTTGCAGATTCCACAGAAAGAGTGATTGGAAACTGCTGTTTGAAAAGGAACCTTCAACTCTGTGAGTTGAATGCAATCATCACAAAGAAGTTTCTGACAATGCTTCTGTTTTAGTTCTGTGCGGTTTATCCCGTTTCCAACGAAATCCTCAGAGAGGACCAAACATCCACTTGCAGTTTCTACAAAAAGAGTGTTTCAAAGCTGCACTATCAAAGAAAGGTTCAGCACTGTGAGTTGAATGCAAACATCACGAAGAGGGCTCTGAGAATTCTTCTGTTTAGTTCTGTGCGGTTTATCCCGTTTCCAACGAAATCCTCAGAGAGGACCAAATATCCACTTGCAGTTTCTACAAGAAGAGTGTTTCAAAGCTGAACTATCAAAGAAAGGTTCAGCACTGTGAGTTGAATGCAAACATCACGAAGAGGGTTCTGAGAATGCTTCTGTCTTCTTTCTATAGGAAGTTATTTCCTTTACTACGGTAGGCCTCAAAGAAGTGCAATTATCCCCTTGCAGTTTCTACAAAAAGAGTGTTTCAAACCTGAACTATCAAAGAAAGGTTCCACACTGTGAGTTGAATGCAGACATCACGAAGAAGGTTCTGAGAATGCTTCTGTTTAGTCAGCTGAAATTATCCCGTTTCCAACGAATTCCTCAGAGAGGTCCAAATATGCACTTGCAGATTCTGCAGAAAGTGTGTTTCTAAACTGCTACATCGCAAGGAATGTTCAGCTCTGTGAGTTCCACTCAATCATCCCAAAGAATTTTCTGAGAAAGCTTCTGTCTAGATGTCGTGTGAAGATATACCCGTTTCGAACGAAGGACACAGAGTGGTCCAAATATCCACTTGTAGATCCTGCAAAAAGAGTGTTTCAAACGTGAACTTTGAAAGGAAAGTTCAACTCTGGGATTTGAATGCAAACATCACAAAGAAGATTCTGAGACTGCTTCTGTATAGTTTTTATGTGAAGATGATTCCGTTTCCAACGAAATCTTCAAAGAGGTCTACATGTCCCCTTGCAGATGCCACAGAAAGAGAGTTTCAAAACTGCGCTCTCAAAAGGAGTGTTCAACTCCGTGAGTTGAATGCAGTCATCACAGAGAAGCTTCTGAGAATGCTTCTATCTAGTATTTAGGTGAAGATATTTCCTTTTCCACCACAAACCACAAAGCCCTCCAAACGTCCACTTGCAGATTCTAGAAAAAGAGTGTTTCATAGCTGCTCTTTCCAAAGGAAAGTTCAACTCTGGGAGTTGAATACAAACATCACCAAAAAGTTCCTGAGAATGCATCTGTCTAGTTTTTCTATGAAGCTATTCCCTTTACTACCATAGGCCTCAAAGCGCTCCAAATCTCCACTTGCACATTCCACAACAAGAGTGTTTCCAAACTGCTCTATCAATAGGAATGTTCAACTCTGTGAGGTGAATGCAATCATCACAAAGCAGTTTCTGAGAATGCTTCCGTTTAGTTAGGTGCAGTTATCCCGTTTCCAACGAAATCCTCAGAGAGGTCCAAATATCCACTTGTAGATTCTACAAAAAGTGTGTCTCAAACCTGCTCCATCCAAAGGAATGGTCAGCTCTGTGATTTAAACTCAATCATCACAAAGTATTTTCTGAGAATGCTTCTGTCTAGATTTTATGCGAAGATATACCAGTTTCGAACGAAGGCCACAGAGTGGTCCAAATAGCCACTTGCAGATCCTACAAAAAGAGTGTTTCAAACCTGAACTATCAAAGGAAGGTTCAACTCTGGGATTTGAATGCAAACATCACCAAGAAGTTTCTGAGAATGCTTCTGTTTAGTTTTTATGTGAAGATATTCCCGTTTCCAAAGACATCTTCGGAGAGGTGCACATATCCACTTGCAGATTCCACAAAAAGAGAGTTTCAACAATGCTCTATCCATAGGAGGGTTCAAATCTGTGAGTTGAATGCAATCATCACAGAGAAGTTTCTGAGAAGGCTTCTCTCCAGTTTTTATGTGACCATAATTCGTTTTCCACCACAGGCCTGAAAGCGCTCCAAATGTCCACTTGTAGACACTACGAAAAGCATGTTTCAGAACTACTCTATGAAAAGCAATGTGAAACTCTGGGAGTTGAACACAAACATCACAGAGAAGTTTGCTGAGAATGCTTCTGTTTAGCTTTTCTGTGAAGATTATCCCGTTTCCAACGAAATCTTCAAAATAGGTCGAAATATCCACTTGCAGATTCCACAGAAAGAGTGATTGGAAACTGCTCTTTGAAAAGGAACCTTCAACTCTGAGTTGAATGCAATCATCACAAAGAAGTTTCTGACAATGCTTCTATCTAGCTTTTACGGGAAGATAATTCCTTTTCCACCACAGGCCTCAAAGCCCTCCAAATGTCCACTTCCAGATTCTGGAAAAAGAGTGTTTCAAAGCTTCTCTCTCGAAAGGAAAGTTCAACTCTGTGAGTTGAATGCAAGCATCACAAAGAAGTTTCTGAGAATGCTACTGTCTAGCTTTTATATGAAGCTATTTCCTTTACTACCATAGGCCTCAAAGCGGTCCATATCTCCACTTGCAGATTCTACACAAAGAGAGTTTCCAAACTGCTCTGTCAAAGGGAATGTTCAACTCTGTGACTTGAATGCAATCATCACAAAGTAGTTTCTGAGAATGCTTCTGTTTAGTTCTGTGCGGTTTATCCCGTTTCCAACGAAATCCTCAGAGAGGCCTAAATATCCACTTGCACATTCTACAAATAGTGTGTTTCGAAACTGCTCCATCCAAAGGAATGTTCAGCTCTGTGAGTTAAACTCAGTCGTCACCAAGAGTTTTCTGTGAATGCTTCTGTTTTAGTTCTGTGCGGGTTATCCCGTTTCCAACGAAATCCTCAGAGAGGTCCAAATATCTACTTGCAGTTTCTACAGAAAGACCGTTTCAAACCTGAACTATCAAAGAAAGGTTCAACACTGTGAGTTGAATGCAAACATCACGAAGAAGGTTCTGAGAATGCTTCTGTTTAGTTCTGCGCGGTTTATCCCGTTTCCAACGAAATCCTCAGAGAGGACCAAATATCCACTTGCAGTTTCTACAAAAAGAGTGTTTCAAAGCTGAACTATCAAAGAAAGTTTCAGCACTGTGAGTTGAATGCAAACATCACGAAGAATGTTCTGAGAATGCTTCTGTTTAGTTCTGTGCGGTTTATCCCGTTTCCAACGAAATCCTCAGAGAGGACGAAATATCCACTTGCAGTTTCTACAAAAAGAGTGTTTCAATGCTGAACTATCAAAGAAAGGTTCAGCACTGTGAGTTGAATGCAAACATCACGAAGAAGGTTCTGAGAATGCTTCTGTCTAGATTTTATGCGAAGATGTACCCGTTTCGAACGAAGGCCACAGAGTGGTCCAAATATCCACTTGCAGATCCTACAAAAAGAGTGTTTCAAACCTGAACTCTCAAAGGAAGGTTCAACTCTGGGATTTGAATGCAAACATCACCAAGAAGTTTCTGAGAATGCTTCTGTTTAGTTTTTATGTGAAGATATTCCCGTTTCCAAAGACATCTTCGGAGAGGTCCACATATCCACTTGCAGATTCCACAAAAAGACAGTTTCAACACTGCTCTATCCATAGGAGGGTTCAACTCTGTGAGTTGAATGCAATCATCACAGAGAAGTTTCTGAGAAGGCTTCTCTCCAGTTTTTATGTGACCATAATTCGTTTTCCACCACAGGCCTGAAAGCGCTCCAAATGTCCACTTGCAGACACTACGAAAAGCATGTTTCAGAACTACTCTATGAAAAGCAATGTGAAACTCTGGGAGTTGAACCCAAACATCACAGAGAAGTTTCTGAGAATGCTTCTGTTTAGCTTTTCTGTGAAGATTCTCCCGTTTCCAACGAAATCTTCAAAGAGGTCCAAATATCCACTTGCAGATTCCACAGAAAGAGTGATTGGAAACTGCTCTTTGAAAAGGAACCTTCAACTCTGTGACTTGAATGCAATCATCACAAAGAAGTTTCTGACAATGCTTCTATCTAGCTTTTACGGGAAGATAATTCCTTTTCCACCACAGGCCTCAAAGCCCTCCAAATGTCCACTTGCAGATTCTGGAAAAAGAGTGTTTCAAAGCTTCTCTCTCGAAAGGAAAGTTCAACTCTGTGAGTTGAATGCAAGCATCACAAAGAAGTTTCTCAGAATGCTACTGTCTAGCTTTTATATGAAGCTATTTCCTTTACTACCATAGGCCTCAAAGCGGTCCATATCTCCACTTGCAGATTCTACACAAAGAGAGTTTCCAAACTGCTCTGTCAAAGGGAATGTTCAACTCTGTGACTTGAATGCAATCATCACAAAGTAGTTTCTGAGAATGCTTCTGTTTAGTTCTGTGCGGTTTATCCCGTTTCCAACGAAATCCTCAGAGAGGCCCACATATCCACTTGCACATTCTACAAATAGTGTGTTTCGAAACTGCTCCATCCAAAGGAATGTTCAGCTCTGTGAGTTAAACTCAGTCGTCACCAAGAGTTTTCTGTGAATGCTTCTGTTTTAGTTCTGTGCGGTTTATCCCGTTTCCAACGAAATCCTCAGAGAGGTCCAAATATCTACTTGCAGTCTCTACACAAAGACCGTTTCAAACCTGAACTATCAAAGAAAGGTTCAACACTGTGAGTTGAATGCAAACATCACGAAGAAGGTTCTGAGAATGCTTCTGTTTAGTTCTGTGCGGTTTATCCCGTTTCCAACGAAATCCTCAGAGAGGACCAAATATCCACTTGCAGTTTCTACAAGAAGAGTGTTTCAAAGCTGAACTATCAAAGAAAGGTTCAGCACTGTGAGTTGAATGCAAACATCACGAAGAGGGTTCTGAGAATGCTTCTGTCTTCTTTCTATAGGAAGTTATTTCCTTTACTACGGTAGGCCTCAAAGAAGTGCAATTATCCCCTTGCAGTTTCTACAAAAAGAGTGTTTCAAACCTGAACTATCAAAGAAAGGTTCCACACTGTGAGTTGAATGCAGACATCACGAAGAAGGTTCTGAGAATGCTTCTGTTTAGTCAGCTGAAATTATCCCGTTTCCAACGAATTCCTCAGAGAGGTCCAAATATGCACTTGCAGATTCTGCAGAAAGTGTGTTTCTAAACTGCTACATCGCAAGGAATGTTCAGCTCTGTGAGTTCCACTCAATCATCCCAAAGAATTTTCTGAGAAAGCTTCTGTCTAGATGTCGTGTGAAGATATACCCGTTTCGAACGAAGGACACAGAGTGGTCCAAATATCCACTTGTAGATCCTGCAAAAAGAGTGTTTCAAACGTGAACTTTGAAAGGAAAGTTCAACTCTGGGATTTGAATGCAAACATCACAAAGAAGATTCTGAGACTGCTTCTGTATAGTTTTTATGTGAAGATGATTCCGTTTCCAACGAAATCTTCAAAGAGGTCTACATGTCCCCTTGCAGATGCCACAGAAAGAGAGTTTCAAAACTGCGCTCTCAAAAGGAGTGTTCAACTCCGTGAGTTGAATGCAGTCATCACAGAGAAGCTTCTGAGAATGCTTCTATCTAGTATTTAGGTGAAGATATTTCCTTTTCCACCACAAACCACAAAGCCCTCCAAACGTCCACTTGCAGATTCTAGAAAAAGAGTGTTTCATAGCTGCTCTTTCCAAAGGAAAGTTCAACTCTGGGAGTTGAATACAAACATCACCAAAAAGTTCCTGAGAATGCATCTGTCTAGTTTTTCTATGAAGCTATTCCCTTTACTACCATAGGCCTCAAAGCGCTCCAAATCTCCACTTGCACATTCCACAACAAGAGTGTTTCCAAACTGCTCTATCAATAGGAATGTTCAACTCTGTGAGGTGAATGCAATCATCACAAAGCAGTTTCTGAGAATGCTTCCGTTTAGTTAGGTGCAGTTATCCCGTTTCCAACGAAATCCTCAGAGAGGTCCAAATATCCACTTGTAGATTCTACAAAAAGTGTGTCTCAAACCTGCTCCATCCAAAGGAATGGTCAGCTCTGTGATTTAAACTCAATCATCACAAAGTATTTTCTGAGAATGCTTCTGTCTAGATTTTATGCGAAGATATACCCGTTTCGAACGAAGGCCACAGAGTGGTCCAAATAGCCACTTGCAGATCCTACAGAAAGAGTGTTTCAAACCTGAACTATCAAAGGAAGGTTCAACTCTGGGATTTGAATGCAAACATCACCAAGAAGTTTCTGAGAATGCTTCTGTTTAGTTTTTATGTGAAGATATTCCCGTTTCCAAAGACATCTTCGGAGAGGTCCACATATCCACTTGCAGATTCCACAAAAAGAGAGTTTCAACACTGCTCTATCCATAGGAGGGTTCAACTCTGTGAGTTGAATGCAATCATCACAGAGAAGTTTCTGAGAAGGCTTCTCTCCAGTTTTTATGTGACCATAATTCGTTTTCCACCACAGGCCTGAAAGCGCTCCAAATGTCCACTTGCAGACACTACGAAAAGCATGTTTCAGAACTACTCTATGAAAAGCAACGTGAAACTCTGGGAGTTGAACACAAACATCACAGAGAAGTTTCTGAGAATGCTTCTGTTTTAGTTCTGTGCGTTTTATCCCGTTTCCAACGAAATCCTCAGAGAGGCCCAAATATCCACTTGCAGATTCCACAGAAAGAGTGATTGGAAACTGCTGTTTGAAAAGGAACCTTCAACTCTGTGAGTTGAATGCAATCATCACAAAGAAGTTTCTGACAATGCTTCTGTTTTAGTTCTGTGCGGTTTATCCCGTTTCCAACGAAATCCTCAGAGAGGACCAAACATCCACTTGCAGTTTCTACAAAAAGAGTGTTTCAAAGCTGCACTATCAAAGAAAGGTTCAGCACTGTGAGTTGAATGCAAACATCACGAAGAGGGCTCTGAGAATTCTTCTGTTTAGTTCTGTGCGGTTTATCCCGTTTCCAACGAAATCCTCAGAGAGGACCAAATATCCACTTGCAGTTTCTACAAGAAGAGTGTTTCAAAGCTGAACTATCAAAGAAAGGTTCAGCACTGTGAGTTGAATGCAAACATCACGAAGAGGGTTCTGAGAATGCTTCTGTCTTCTTTCTATAGGAAGTTATTTCCTTTACTACGGTAGGCCTCAAAGAAGTGCAATTATCCCCTTGCAGTTTCTACAAAAAGAGTGTTTCAAACCTGAACTATCAAAGAAAGGTTCCACACTGTGAGTTGAATGCAGACAGCACGAAGAAGGTTCTGAGAATGCTTCTGTTTAGTCAGCTGAAATTATCCCGTTTCCAACGAATTCCTCAGAGAGGTCCAAATATGCACTTGCAGATTCTGCAGAAAGTGTGTTTCTAAACTGCTACATCGCAAGGAATGTTCAGCTCTGTGAGTTCCACTCAATCATCCCTAAGAATTTTCTGAGAAAGCTTCTGTCTAGATGTCGTGTGAAGATATACCCGTTTCGAACGAAGGACACAGAGTGGTCCAAATATCCACTTGTAGATCCTGCAAAAAGAGTGTTTCAAACGTGAACTTTGAAAGGAAAGTTCAACTCTGGGATTTGAATGCAAACATCACAAAGAAGATTCTGAGACTGCTTCTGTATAGTTTTTATGTGAAGATGATTCCGTTTCCAACGAAATCTTCAAAGAGGTCTACATGTCCCCTTGCAGATGCCACAGAAAGAGAGTTTCAAAACTGCGCTCTCAAAAGGAGTGTTCAACTCCGTGAGTTGAATGCAGTCATCACAGAGAAGCTTCTGAGAATGCTTCTATCTAGTATTTAGGTGAAGATATTTCCTTTTCCACCACAAACCACAAAGCCCTCCAAACGTCCACTTGCAGATTCTAGAAAAAGAGTGTTTCATAGCTGCTCTTTCCAAAGGAAAGTTCAACTCTGGGAGTTGAATACAAACATCACCAAAAAGTTCCTGAGAATGCATCTGTCTAGTTTTTCTATGAAGCTATTCCCTTTACTACCATAGGCCTCAAAGCGCTCCAAATCTCCACTTGCACATTCCACAACAAGAGTGTTTCCAAACTGCTCTATCAATAGGAATGTTCAACTCTGTGAGGTGAATGCAATCATCACAAAGCAGTTTCTGAGAATGCTTCCGTTTAGTTAGGTGCAGTTATCCCGTTTCCAACGAAATCCTCAGAGAGGTCCAAATATCCACTTGTAGATTCTACAAAAAGTGTGTCTCAAACCTGCTCCATCCAAAGGAATGTTCAGCTCTGTGATTTAAACTCAATCATCGCAAAGTGTTTTCTGAGAATGCTTCTGTCTAGATTTTATGCGAAGATATACCCGTTTCGAACGAAGGCCACAGAGTGGTCCAAATAGCCACTTGCAGATCCTACAAAAAGAGTGTTTCAAACCTGAACTATCAAAGGAAGGTTCAACTCTGGGATTTGAATGCAAACATCACCAAGAAGTTTCTGAGAATGCTTCTGTTTAGTTTTTATGTGAAGATATTCCCGTTTCCAAAGACATCTTCGGAGAGGTCCACATATCCACTTGCAGATTCCACAAAAAGAGAGTTTCAACACTGCTCTATCCATAGGAGGGTTCAACTCTGTGAGTTGAATGCAATCATCACAGAGAAGTTTCTGAGAAGGCTTCTCTCCAGTTTTTATGTGACCATAATTTGTTTTCCACCACAGGCCTGAAAGCGCTCCAAATGTCCACTTGCAGACACTACGAAAAGCATGTTTCAGAACTACTCTATGAAAAGCAACGTGAAACTCTGGGAGTTGAACACAAACATCACAGAGAAGTTTCTGAGAATGCTTCTGTTTAGCTTTTCTGTGAAGATTCTCCCGTTTCCAACGAAATCTTCAAAGAGGTCGAAATATCCACTTGCAGATTCCACAGAAAGAGTGATTGGAAACTGCTGTTTGAAAAGGAACCTTCAACTCTGTGAGTTGAATGCAATCATCACAAAGAAGTTTCTGACAATGCTTCTATCTAGCTTTTACGGGAAGATAATTCCTTTTCCACCACAGGCCTCAAAGCTCCCCAAATGTCCACTTGCACATTCTGGAAAAAGAGTGTTTCAAAGCTTCTCTCTCGAAAGGAAAGTTCAACTCTGTGAGTTGAATGCAAGCATCACAAAGTAGTTTCTGAGAATGCTACTGTCTAGCTTTTATATGAAGGTATTTCCTTTACTACCATAGGCCTCAAAGCGGTCCATATCTCCACTTGCAGATTCTACACAAAGAGAGTTTCCAAACTGCTCTGTCAAAGGGAATGTTCAACTCTGTGACTTGAATGCAATCATCACAAAGTAGTTTCTGAGAATGCTTCTGTTTTAGTTCTGTGCGTTTTATCCCGTTTCCAACGAAATCCTCAGAGAGGCCCAAATATCCACTTGCAGATTCTACAAATAGTGTGTTTCGAAACTGCTCCATCCAAAGGAATGTTCAGCTCTGTGAGTTAAACTCAGTCGTCACCAAGAGTTTTCTGTGAATGCTTCTGTTTTAGTTCTGTGCGGTTTATCCCGTTTCCAACGAAATCCTCAGAGAGGACCAAATATCCACTTGCAGTTTCTACAAAAAGAGTGTTTCAAAGCTGCACTATCAAAGAAAGGTTCAGCACTGTGAGTTGAATGCAAACATCACGAAGAGGGCTCTGAGAATTCTTCTGTTTAGTTCTGTGCGGTTTATCCCGTTTCCAACGAAATCCTCAGAGAGGACCAAATATCCACTTGCAGTTTCTACAAGAAGAGTGTTTCAAAGCTGAACTATCAAAGAAAGGTTCAGCACTGTGAGTTGAATGCAAACATCACGAAGAGGGTTCTGAGAATGCTTCTGTCTTCTTTCTATAGGAAGTTATTTCCTTTACTACGGTAGGCCTCAAAGAAGTGCAATTATCCCCTTGCAGTTTCTACAAAAAGAGTGTTTCAAACCTGAACTATCAAAGAAAGGTTCCACACTGTGAGTTGAATGCAGACATCACGAAGAAGGTTCTGAGAATGCTTCTGTTTAGTCAGCTGAAATTATCCCGTTTCCAACGAATTCCTCAGAGAGGTCCAAATATGCACTTGCAGATTCTGCAGAAAGTGTGTTTCTAAACTGCTACATCGCAAGGAATGTTCAGCTCTGTGAGTTCCACTCAATCATCCCAAAGAATTTTCTGAGAAAGCTTCTGTCTAGATGTCGTGTGAAGATATACCCGTTTCGAACGAAGGACACAGAGTGGTCCAAATATCCACTTGTAGATCCTGCAAAAAGAGTGTTTCAAACGTGAACTTTGAAAGGAAAGTTCAACTCTGGGATTTGAATGCAAACATCACAAAGAAGATTCTGAGACTGCTTCTGTATAGTTTTTATGTGAAGATGATTCCGTTTCCAACGAAATCTTCAAAGAGGTCTACATGTCCCCTTGCAGATGCCACAGAAAGAGAGTTTCAAAACTGCGCTCTCAAAAGGAGTGTTCAACTCCGTGAGTTGAATGCAGTCATCACAGAGAAGCTTCTGAGAATGCTTCTGTCTAGTATTTAGGTGAAGATATTTCCTTTTCCACCACAAACCACAAAGCCCTCCAAACGTCCACTTGCAGATTCTAGAAAAAGAGTGTTTCATAGCTGCTCTTTCCAAAGGAAAGTTCAACTCTGGGAGTTGAATACAAACATCACCAAAAGGTTCCTGAGAATGCATCTGTCTAGTTTTTCTATGAAGCTATTCCCTTTACTACCATAGGCCTCAAAGCGCTCCAAATCTCCACTTGCACATTCCACAACAAGAGTGTTTCCAAACTGCTCTATCAATAGGAATGTTCAACTCTGTGAGGTGAATGCAATCATCACAAAGCAGTTTCTGAGAATGCTTCCGTTTAGTTAGGTGCAGTTATCCCGTTTCCAACGAAATCCTCAGAGAGGTCCAAATATCCACTTGTAGATTCTACAAAAAGTGTGTCTCAAACCTGCTCCATCCAAAGGAATGGTCAGCTCTGTGATTTAAACTCAATCATCACAAAGTATTTTCTGAGAATGCTTCTGTCTAGATTTTATGCGAAGATGTACCCGTTTCGAAAGAAGGCCACAGAATGGTCCAAACATCCACTTGCAGATCCTACAAAAAGAGTGTTTCAAACCTGAACTATCAAAGGAAGGTTCAACTCTGGGATTTGAATGCAAACATCACCAAGAAGTTTCTGAGAATGCTTCTGTTTAGTTTTTATGTGAAGATATTCCCGTTTCCAAAGACATCCTCGGAGAGGTCCACATATCCACTTGCAGATTCCACAAAAAGAGAGTTTCAACACTGCTCTATCCATAGGAGGGTTCAACTCTGTGAGTTGAATGCAATCATCACAGAGAAGTTTCTGAGAAGGCTTCTCTCCAGTTTTTATGTGACCATAATTCGTTTTCCACCACAGGCCTGAAAGCGCTCCAAATGTCCACTTGCAGACACTACGAAAAGCATGTTTCAGAACTACTCTATGAAAAGCAACGTGAAACTCTGGGAGTTGAACACAAACATCACAGAGAAGTTTCTGAGAATGCTTCTGTTTTAGTTCTGTGCGTTTTATCCCGTTTCCAACGAAATCCTCAGAGAGGCCCAAATATCCACTTGCAGATTCCCCAGAAAGAGTGATTGGAAACTGCTGTTTGAAAAGGAACCTTCAACTCTGTGAGTTGAATGCAATCATCACAAAGAAGTTTCTGACAATGCTTCTGTTTTAGTTCTGTGCGGCTTATCCCGTTTCCAACGAAATCCTCAGAGAGGACCAAATATCCACTTGCAGTTTCTACAAAAAGAGTGTTTCAAAGCTGCACTATCAAAGAAAGGTTCAGCACTGTGAGTTGAATGCAAACATCACGAAGAGGGCTCTGAGAATTCTTCTGTTTAGTTCTGTGCGGTTTATCCCGTTTCCAACGAAATCCTCAGAGAGGACCAAATATCCACTTGCAGTTTCTACAAGAAGAGTGTTTCAAAGCTGAACTATCAAAGAAAGGTTCAGCACTGTGAGTTGAATGCAAACATCACGAAGAGGGTTCTGAGAATGCTTCTGTCTTCTTTCTATAGGAAGTTATTTCCTTTACTACGGTAGGCCTCAAAGAAGTGCAATTATCCCCTTGCAGTTTCTACAAAAAGAGTGTTTCAAACCTGAACTATCAAAGAAAGGTTCCACACTGTGAGTTGAATGCAGACATCACGAAGAAGGTTCTGAGAATGCTGCTTCTGTTTAGTCAGCTGAAATTATCCCGTTTCCAACGATTTCCTCAGAGAGGTCCACATATGCACTTGCAGATTCTGCAGAAAGTGTGTTTCTAAACTGCTACATCGCAAGGAGTGTTCAGCTCTGTTTGCTCAACTCAATCATCCCAAAGAATTTTCTGAGAAAGCTTCTGTCTAGATGTCATGTGAAGATATACCCGTTTCGAACGAAGGACACAGAGTGGTCCAAATATCCACTTGTAGATCCTGCAAAAAGACTGTTTCAAACGTGAACTTTGAAAGGAAAGTTCAACTCTGGGATTTGAATGCAAACATCACAAAGAAGATTCTGAGACTGCTTCTGTATAGTTTTTATGTGAAGATGATTCCGTTTCCAACGAAATCTTCAAAGAGGCCTACATGTCCCCTTGCGGATGCCACAGAAAGAGAGTTTCAAAACTGCGCTCTCAAAAGGAGTGTTCAACTCCGTGAGTTGAATGCAGTCATCACAGAGAAGCTTCTGAGAATGCTTCTATCTAGTATTTAGGTGAAGATATTTCCTTTTCCACCACAAACCACAAAGCCCTCCAAACGTCCACTTGCAGATTCTAGAAAAAGAGTGTTTCATAGCTGCTCTTTCCAAAGGAAAGTTCAACTCTGGGAGTTGAATACAAACATCACCAAAAAGTTCCTGAGAATGCATCTGTCTAGTTTTTCTATGAAGCTATTCCCTTTACTACCATAGGCCTCAAAGCGCTCCAAATCTCCACTTGCACATTCCACAACAAGAGTGTTTCCAAACTGCTCTATCAATAGGAATGTTCAACTCTGTGAGGTGAATGCAATCATCACAAAGCAGTTTCTGAGAATGCTTCCGTTTAGTTAGGTGCAGTTATCCCGTTTCCAACGAAATCCTCAGAGAGGTCCAAATATCCACTTGTAGATTCTACAAAAAGTGTGTCTCAAACCTGCTCCATCCAAAGGAATGGTCAGCTCTGTGATTTAAACTCAATCATCACAAAGTATTTTCTGAGAATGCTTCTGTCTAGATTTTATGCGAAGATATACCCGTTTCGAACGAAGGCCACAGAGTGGTCCAAATAGCCACTTGCAGATCCTACAGAAAGAGTGTTTCAAACCTGAACTATCAAAGGAAGGTTCAACTCTGGGATTTGAATGCAAACATCACCAAGAAGTTTCTGAGAATGCTTCTGTTTAGTTTTTATGTGAAGATATTCCCGTTTCCAAAGACATCTTCGGAGAGGTCCACATATCCACTTGCAGATTCCACAAAAAGAGAGTTTCAACACTGCTCTATCCATAGGAGGGTTCAACTCTGTGAGTTGAATGCAATCATCACAGAGAAGTTTCTGAGAAGGCTTCTCTCCAGTTTTTATGTGACCATAATTCGTTTTCCACCACAGGCCTGAAAGCGCTCCAAATGTCCACTTGCAGACACTACGAAAAGCATGTTTCAGAACTACTCTATGAAAAGCAACGTGAAACTCTGGGAGTTGAACACAAACATCACAGAGAAGTTTCTGAGAATGCTTCTGTTTTAGTTCTGTGCGTTTTATCCCGTTTCCAACGAAATCCTCAGAGAGGCCCAAATATCCACTTGCAGATTCCACAGAAAGAGTGATTGGAAACTGCTGTTTGAAAAGGAACCTTCAACTCTGTGAGTTGAATGCAATCATCACAAAGAAGTTTCTGACAATGCTTCTGTTTTAGTTCTGTGCGGTTTATCCCGTTTCCAACGAAATCCTCAGAGAGGACCAAACATCCACTTGCAGTTTCTACAAAAAGAGTGTTTCAAAGCTGCACTATCAAAGAAAGGTTCAGCACTGTGAGTTGAATGCAAACATCACGAAGAGGGCTCTGAGAATGCTTCTGTTTAGTTCTGTGCGGTTTATCCCGTTTCCAACGAAATCCTCAGAGAGGACCAAATATCCACTTGCAGTTTCTACAAGAAGAGTGTTTCAAAGCTGAACTATCAAAGAAAGGTTCAGCACTGTGAGTTGAATGCAAACATCACGAAGAGGGTTCTGAGAATGCTTCTGTCTTCTTTCTATAGGAAGTTATTTCCTTTACTACGGTAGGCCTCAAAGAAGTGCAATTATCCCCTTGCAGTTTCTACAAAAAGAGTGTTTCAAACCTGAACTATCAAAGAAAGGTTCCACACTGTGAGTTGAATGCAGACATCACGAAGAAGGTTCTGAGAATGCTTCTGTTTAGTCAGCTGAAATTATCCCGTTTCCAACGAATTCCTCAGAGAGGTCCAAATATGCACTTGCAGATTCTGCAGAAAGTGTGTTTCTAAACTGCTACATCGCAAGGAATGTTCAGCTCTGTGAGTTCCACTCAATCATCCCAAAGAATTTTCTGAGAAAGCTTCTGTCTAGATGTCGTGTGAAGATATACCCGTTTCGAACGAAGGACACAGAGTGGTCCAAATATCCACTTGTAGATCCTGCAAAAAGAGTGTTTCAAACGTGAACTTTGAAAGGAAAGTTCAACTCTGGGATTTGAATGCAAACATCACAAAGAAGATTCTGAGACTGCTTCTGTATAGTTTTTATGTGAAGATGATTCCGTTTCCAACGAAATCTTCAAAGAGGTCTACATGTCCCCTTGCAGATGCCACAGAAAGAGAGTTTCAAAACTGCGCTCTCAAAAGGAGTGTTCAACTCCGTGAGTTGAATGCAGTCATCACAGAGAAGCTTCTGAGAATGCTTCTATCTAGTATTTAGGTGAAGATATTTCCTTTTCCACCACAAACCACAAAGCCCTCCAAACGTCCACTTGCAGATTCTAGAAAAAGAGTGTTTCATAGCTGCTCTTTCCAAAGGAAAGTTCAACTCTGGGAGTTGAATACAAACATCACCAAAAAGTTCCTGAGAATGCATCTGTCTAGTTTTTCTATGAAGCTATTCCCTTTACTACCATAGGCCTCAAAGCGCTCCAAATCTCCACTTGCACATTCCACAACAAGAGTGTTTCCAAACTGCTCTATCAATAGGAATGTTCAACTCTGTGAGGTGAATGCAATCATCACAAAGCAGTTTCTGAGAATGCTTCCGTTTAGTTAGGTGCAGTTATCCCGTTTCCAACGAAATCCTCAGGAGAGGTCCAAATATCCACTTGTAGATTCTACAAAAGGTGTGTCTCAAACCTGCTCCATCCAAAGGAATGTTCAGCTCTGTGAGTTAAACTCAATCATCACAAAGTATTTTCTGAGAATGCTTCTGTCTAGATTTTATGCGAAGATATACCCGTTTCGAACGAAGGCCACAGAGTGGTCCAAATATCCACTTGCAGATCCTACAAAAAGAGTGTTTCAAACCTGAACTATCAAAGGAAGGTTCAACTCTGGGATTTGAATGCAAACATCACCAAGAAGTTTCTGAGAATGCTTCTGTTTAGTTTTTATGTGAAGATATTCCCGTTTCCAAAGACATCTTCGGAGAGGTCCACATATCCACTTGCAGATTCCACAAAAAGAGAGTTTCAACACTGCTCTATCCATAGGAGGGTTCAACTCTGTGAGTTGAATGCAATCATCACAGAGAAGTTTCTGAGAAGGCTTCTCTCCAGTTTTTATGTGACCATAATTCGTTTTCCACCACAGGCCTGAAAGCGCTCCAAATGTCCACTTGCAGACACTACGAAAAGCATGTTTCAGAACTACTCTATGAAAAGCAATGTGAAACTCTGGGAGTTGAACACAAACATCACAGAGAAGTTTCTGAGAATGCTTCTGTTTAGCTTTTCTGTGAAGATTATCCCGTTTCCAACGAAATCTTCAAAATAGGTCCAAATATCCACTTGCAGATTCCACAGAAAGAGTGATTGGAAACTGCTCTTTGAAAAGGAACCTTCAACTCTGTGAGTTGAATGCAATCATCACAAAGAAGTTTCTGACAATGCTTCCATCTAGCTTTTACGGGAAGATAATTCCTTTTCCACCACAGGCCTCAAAGCCCTCCAAATGTCCACTTGCAGATTCTGGAAAAAGAGTGTTTCAAAGCTTCTCTCTCGAAAGGAAAGTTCAACTCTGTGAGTTGAATGCAAGCATCACAAAGAAGTTTCTGAGAATGCTACTGTCTAGCTTTTATATGAAGCTATTTCCTTTACTACCATAGGCCTCAAAGCGGTCCATATCTCCACTAGCAGATTCTACACAAAGAGAGTTTCCAAACTGCTCTGTCAAAGGGAATGTTCAACTCTGTGACTTGAATGCAATCATCACAAAGTAGTTTCTGAGAATGCTTCTCTTTAGTTCTGTGCGGTTTATCCCGTTTCCAACGAAATCCTCAGAGAGGCCCAAATATCCACTTGCAGATTCTACAAATAGTGTGTTTCGAAACTGCTCCATCCAAAGGAATGTTCAGCTCTGTGAGTTAAACTCATTCGTCACCAAGAGTTTTCTGTGAATGCTTCTGTTTTAGTTCTGTGCGGTTTATCCCGTTTCCAACGAAATCCTCAGAGAGGTCCAAATATCTACTTGCAGTTTCTACATAAAGACCGTTTCCAACCTGAACTATCAAAGAAAGGTTCAACACTGTGAGTTGAATGCAAACATCACGAAGAAGGTTCTGAGAATGCTTCTGTTTAGTTCTGTGCGGTTTATCCCGTTTCCAACGAAATCCTCAGAGAGGACCAAATATCCACTTGCAGTTTCTACAAGAAGAGTGTTTCAAAGCTGAACTATCAAAGAAAGGTTCAGCACTGTGAGTTGAATGCAAACATCACGAAGAGGGTTCTGAGAATGCTTCTGTCTTCTTTCTATAGGAAGTTATTTCCTTTACTACGGTAGGCCTCAAAGAAGTGCAATTATCCCCTTGAAGTTTCTACAAAAAGAGTGTTTCAAACCTGAACTATCAAAGAAAGGTTCCACACTGTGAGTTGAATGCAGACATCACGAAGAAGGTTCTGAGAATGTTTCTGTTTAGTCAGCTGAAATTATCCCGTTTCCAACGAATTCCTCAGAGAGGTCCAAATATGCACTTGCAGATTCTGCAGAAAGTGTGTTTCTAAACTGCTACATCGCAAGGAATGCTCAGCTCTGTGAGTTCAAGTCAATCATCCCAAACAATTTTCTGAGAAAGCTTCTGTCTAGATGTCATGTGAAGATATACCCGTTTCGAACGAAGGACACAGAGTGGTCCAAATATCCACTTGTAGATCCTGCAAAAAGAGTGTTTCAAACGTGAACTTTGAAAGGAAAGTTCAACTCTGGGATTTGAATGCAAACATCACAAAGAAGATTCTGAGACTGCTTCTGTATAGTTTTTATGTGAAGATGATTCCGTTTCCAACGAAATCTTCAAAGAGGTCCACATGTCCCCTTGCGGATGCCACAGAAAGAGAGTTTCAAAACTGCGCTCTCAAAAGGAGTGTTCAACTCCGTGAGTTCAATGCAGTCATCACAGAGAAGCTTCTGAGAATGCTTCTATCTAGTATTTAGGTGAAGATATTTCCTTTTCCACCACAAACCACAAAGCCCTCCAAACGTCCACTTGCAGATTCTAGAAAAAGAGTGTTTCATAGCTGCTCTTTCCAAAGGAAAGTTCAACTCTGGGAGTTGAATACAAACATCACCAAAAAGTTCCTGAGAATGCATCTGTCTAGTTTTTCTATGAAGCTATTCCCTTTACTACCATAGGCCTCAAAGCGCTCCAAATCTCCACTTGCACATTCCACAACAAGAGTGTTTCCAAACTGCTCTATCAATAGGAATGTTCAACTCTGTGAAGTGAATGCAATCATCACAAAGCAGTTTCTGAGAAGGCTTCCGTTTAGTTAGGTGCAGTTATCGCGTTTCCAACGAA